>NC_000017.11:25373579-25684802 GCF_000001405.40 Homo sapiens | reverse complement strand
TCTGTTTTAGTTCTGTGCGGGTTATCCCGTTTCCAACGAAATCCTCAGAGAGGTCCAAATATCTACTTGCAGTTTCTACAGAAAGACCGTTTCAAACCTGAACTATCAAAGAAAGGTTCAACACTGTGAGTTGAATGCAAACATCACGAAGAAGGTTCTGAGAATGCTTCTGTTTAGTTCTGTGCGGTTTATCCCGTTTCCAACGAAATCCTCAGAGAGGACCAAATATCCACTTGCAGTTTCTACAAGAAGAGTGTTTCAAAGCTGAACTATCAAAGAAAGATTCAGCACTGTGAGATGAATGCAAACATCACGAAGAGGGTTCTGAGAATGCTTCTGTCTTCTTTTTATAGGAAGTTATCTCCTTTACTACGGTAGGCCTCAAAGAAGTGCAATGATCCCCTTGCAGTTTCTACAAAAAGAGTGTTTCAAACCTGAACTATCAAAGAAAGGTTCCACACTGTGAGTTGAATGCAGACATCACGAAGAAGTTCTGAGAATGCTTCTGTTTAGTCAGCTGAAATTATCCCGTTTCCAACGAATTCCTCAGAGAGGTCCACATATGCACTTGCAGATTCTGCAGAAAGTGTGTTTCTAAACTGCTACATCGCAAGGAGTGTTCAGCTCTGTTTGCTCAACTCAATCATCCCAAAGAATTTTCTGAGAAAGCTTCTGTCTAGATGTCATGTGAAGATATACCCGTTTCGAACGAAGGACACAGAGTGGTCCAAATATCCACTTGTAGATCCTGCAAAAAGAGTGTTTCAAACGTGAACTTGGAAAGGAAAGTTCAACTCTGGGATTTGAATGCAAACATCACAAAGAAGATTCTGAGACTGCTTCTGTATAGTTTTTATGTGAAGATGATTCCGTTTCCAACGAAATCTTCAAAGAGGTCTACATGTCCCCTTGCAGATGCCACAGAAAGAGAGTTTCAAAACTGCGCTCTCAAAAGGAGTGTTCAACTCCGTGAGTTGAATGCAGTCATCACAGAGAAGCTTCTGAGAATGCTTCTATCTAGTATTTAGGTGAATATATTTCCTTTTCCACCACAAACCACAAAGCCCTCCAAACGTCCACTTGCAGATTCTAGAAAAAGAGTGTTTCATAGCTGCTCTTTCCAAAGGAAAGTTCAACTCTGGGAGTTGAATACAAACATCACCAAAAAGTTCCTGAGAATGCATCTGTCTAGTTTTTCTATGAAGCTATTCCCTTTACTACCATAGGCCTCAAAGCGCTCCAAATCTCCACTTGCACATTCCACAACAAGAGTGTTTCCAAACTGCTCTATCAATAGGAATGTTCAACTCTGTGAGGTGAATGCAATCATCACAAAGCAGTTTCTGAGAATGCTTCCGTTTAGTTAGGTGCAGTTATCCCGTTTCCAACGAAATCCTCAGAGAGGTCCAAATATCCACTTGTAGATTCTACAAAAAGTGTGTCTCAAACCTGCTCCATCCAAAGGAATGGTCAGCTCTGTGATTTAAACTCAATCATCACAAAGTATTTTCTGAGAATGCTTCTGTCTAGATTTTATGCGAAGATATACCCGTTTCGAACGAAGGCCACAGAGTGGTCCAAATAGCCACTTGCAGATCCTACAGAAAGAGTGTTTCAAACCTGAACTATCAAAGGAAGGTTCAACTCTGGGATTTGAATGCAAACATCACCAAGAAGTTTCTGAGAATGCTTCTGTTTAGTTTTTATGTGAAGATATTCCCGTTTCCAAAGACATCTTCGGAGAGGTCCACATATCCACTTGCAGGTTCCACAAAAAGAGAGTTTCAACACTGCTCTATCCATAGGAGGGTTCAACTCTGTGAGTTGAATGCAATCATCACAGAGAAGTTTCTGAGAAGGCTTCTCTCCAGTTTTTATGTGACCATAATTCGTTTTCCACCACAGGCCTGAAAGCGCTCCAAATGTCCACTTGCAGACACTACGAAAAGCATGTTTCAGAACTACTCTATGAAAAGCAACGTGAAACTCTGGGAGTTGAACACAAACATCACAGAGAAGTTTCTGAGAATGCTTCTGTTTAGCTTTTCTGTGAAGATTCTCCCGTTTCCAATGAAATCTTCAAAGAGGTCGAAATATCCACTTGCAGATTCCACAGAAAGAGTGATTGGAAACTGCTGTTTGAAAAGGAACCTTCAACTCTGTGAGTTGAATGCAATCATCACAAAGAAGTTTCTGACAATGCTTCTATCTAGCTTTTACGGGAAGATAATTCCTTTTCCACCACAGGCCTCAAAGCTCCCCAAATGTCCACTTGCACATTCTGGAAAAAGAGTGTTTCAAAGCTTCTCTCTCGAAAGGAAAGTTCAACTCTGTGAGTTGAATGCAAGCATCACAAAGAAGTTTCTGAGAATGCTACTGTCTAGCTTTTATATGAAGCTATTTCCTTTACTACCATAGGCCTCAAAGCGGTCCATATCTCCACTTGCAGATTCTACACCAAGAGAGTTTCCAAACTGCTCTGTCAAAGGGAATGTTCAACTCTGTGACTTGAATGCAATCATCACAAAGTAGTTTCTGAGAATGCTTCTGTTTTAGTTCTGTGCGTTTTATCCCGTTTCCAACGAAATCCTCAGAGAGGCCCAAATATCCACTTGCAGATTCTACAAATAGTGTGTTTCGAAACTGCTCCATCCAAAGGAATGTTCAGCTCTGTGAGTTAAACTCAGTCGTCACCAAGAGTTTTCTGTGAATGCTTCTGTTTTAGTTCTGTGCGGGTTATCCCGTTTCCAACGAAATCCTCAGAGAGGTCCAAATATCTACTTGCAGTTTCTACAGAAAGACCGTTTCAAACCTGAACTATCAAAGAAAGGTTCAACACTGTGAGTTGAATGCAAACATCACGAAGAAGGTTCTGAGAATGCTTCTGTTTTAGTTCTGTGCGGTTTATCCCGTTTCCAACGAAATCCTCAGAGAGGACCAAACATCCACTTGCAGTTTCTACAAAAACAGTGTTTCAAAGCTGCACTATCAAAGAAAGGTTCAGCACCGTGAGTTCAATGCAAACATCACGAAGAGGGCTCTGAGAATGCTTCTGTTTAGTTCTGTGCGGTTTATCCCGTTTCCAACGAAATCCTCACAGAGGACCAAATATCCACTTGCAGTTTCTACAAGAAGAGTGTTTCAAAGCTGAACTATCAAAGAAAGGTTCAGCACTGTGAGTTGAATGCAAACATCACGAAGAGGGTTCTGAGAATGCTTCTGTCTTCTTTCTATAGGAAGTTATTTCCTTTACTACGGTAGGCCTCAAAGAAGTGCAATTATCCCCTTGCAGTTTCTACAAAAAGAGTGTTTCAAACCTGAACTATCAAAGAAAGGTTCCACACTGTGAGTTGAATGCAGACATCACGAAGAAGGTTCTGAGAATGCTTCTGTTTAGTCAGCTGAAATTATCCCGTTTCCAACGAATTCCTCAGAGAGGTCCAAATATGCACTTGCAGATTCTGCAGAAAGTGTGTTTCTAAAGTGCTACATCGCAAGGAATGTTCAGCTCTGTGAGTTCCACTCAATCATCCCAAAGAATTTTCTGAGAAAGCTTCTGTCTAGATGTCGTGTGAAGATATACCCGTTTCGAACGAAGGACACAGAGTGGTCCAAATATCCACTTGTAGATCCTGCAAAAAGAGTGTTTCAAACGTGAACTTTGAAAGGAAAGTTCAACTCTGGGATTTGAATGCAAACATCACAAAGAAGATTCTGAGACTGCTTCTATATAGTTTTTATGTGAAGATGATTCCGTTTCCAACGAAATCTTCAAAGAGGTCTACATGTCCCCTTGCAGATGCCACAGAAAGAGAGTTTCAAAACTGCGCTCTCAAAAGGAGTGTTCAACTCCGTGAGTTGAATGCAGTCATCACAGAGAAGCTTCTGAGAATGCTTCTATCTAGTATTTAGGTGAAGATATTTCCTTTTCCACCACAAACCACAAAGCCCTCCAAACGTCCACTTGCAGATTCTAGAAAAAGAGTGTTTCATAGCTGCTCTTTCCAAACGAAAGTTCAACTCTGGGAGTTGAATACAAACATCACCAAAAAGTTCCTGAGAATGCATCTGTCTAGTTTTTCTATGAAGCTATTCCCTTTACTACCATAGGCCTCAAAGCGCTCCAAATCTCCACTTGCACATTCCACAACAAGAGTGTTTCCAAACTGCTCTATCAATAGGAATGTTCAACTCTGTGAGGTGAATGCAATCATCACAAAGCAGTTTCTGAGAATGCTTCCGTTTAGTTAGGTGCAGTTATCCCATTTCCAACGAAATCCTCAGAGAGGTCCAAATATCCACTTGTAGATTCTACAAAAAGTGTGTCTCAAACCTGCTCCATCCAAAGGAATGTTCAGCTCTGTGAGTTAAACTCAATCATCACAAAGTATTTTCTGAGAATGCTTCTGTCTAGATTTTATGTGAAGATGTACCCGTTTCGAACGAAGGCCACAGAGTGGTCCAAATATCCACTTGCAGATCCTACAAAAAGAGTGTTTCAAACCTGAACTATCACAGGAAGGTTCAACTCTGGGATTTGAATGCAAACATCACCAAGAAGTTTCTGAGAATGCTTCTGTTTAGTTTTTATGTGAAGATATTCCCGTTTCCAAAGACATCTTCGGAGAGGTCCACATATCCACTTGCAGATTCCACAAAAAGAGAGTTTCAACACTGCTCTATCCATAGGAGGGTTCAACTCTGTGAGTTGAATGCAATCACCACAGAAAAGTTTCTGAGAAGGCTTCTCTCCAGTTTTTATGTGACCATAATTCGTTTTCCACCACAGGCCTGAAAGCGCTCCAAATGTCCACTTGCAGACACTACGAAAAGCATGTTTCAGAACTACTCTATGAAAAGCAACGTGAAACTCTGGGAGTTGAACACAAACATCACAGAGAAGTTTCTGAGAATGCTTCTGTTTAGCTTTTCTGTGAAGATTCTCCCGTTTCCAACGAAATCTTCAAAGAGGTCGAAATATCCACTTGCAGATTCCACAGAAAGAGTGATTGGAAACTGCTGTTTGAAAAGGAACCTTCAACTCTGTGAGTTGAATGCAATCATCTCAAAGAAGTTTCTGACAATGCTTCTATCTAGCTTTTACGGGAAGATAATTCCTTTTCCACCACAGGCCTCAAAGCCCTCCAAATGTCCACTTGCAGATTCTGGAAAAAGAGTGTTTCAAAGCTTCTCTCTCGAAAGGAAAGTTCAACTCTGTGAGTTGAATGCAAGCATCACAAAGAAGTTTCTGAGAATGCTACTGTCTAGCTTTTATATGAAGCTATTTCCTTTACTACCGTAGGCCTCAAAGCGGTCCATATCTCCACTTGCAGATTCTACACAAAGAGAGTTTCCAAACTGCTCTGTCAAAGGGAATGTTCAACTCTGTGACTTGAATGCAATCATCACAAAGTAGTTTCTGAGAATGCTTCTGTTTAGTTCTGTGCGGTTTATCCCGTTTCCAACGAAATCCTCAGAGAGGCCCACATATCCACTTGAACATTCTACCAATAGTGTGTTTCGAAACTGCTCCATCCAAAGGAATGTTCAGCTCTGTGAGTTAAACTCAGTCGTCACCAAGAGTTTTCTGTGAATGCTTCTGTTTTAGTTCTGTGCGGGTTATCCCGTTTCCAACGAAATCCTCAGAGAGGTCCAAATATCTACTTGCAGTTTCTACAGAAAGACCGTTTCAAACCTGAACTATCAAAGAAAGGTTCAACACTGTGAGTTGAATGCAAACATCACGAAGAAGGTTCTGAGAATGCTTCTGTTTAGTTCTGTGCGGTTTATCCCGTTTCCAACGAAATCCTCAGAGAGGACCAAATATCCACTTGCAGTTTCTACAAAAAGAGTGTTTCAAAGCTGCACTATCAAAGAAAGGTTCAGCACTGTGATTTGAATGCAAACATCACGAAGAGGGCTCTGAGAATTCTTCTGTCTTCTTTCTATAGGAAGTTATTCCCTTTACTACGGTAGGCCTCAAAGAAGTGCAATTATCCCCTTGCAGTTTCTACAAAAAGAGTGTTTCAAACCTGAACTATCAAAGAAAGGTTCCACACTGTGAGTTGAATGCAGACATCACGAAGAAGGTTCTGAGAATGCTTCTGTTTAGTCAGCTGAAATTATCCCGTTTCCAACGAATTCCTCAGAGAGGTCCAAATATGCACTTGCAGATTCTGCAGAAAGTGTGTTTCTAAACTGCTACATCGCAAGGAATGTTCAGCTCTGTGAGTTCCACTCAATCATCCCAAAGAATTTTCTGAGAAAGCTTCTGTCTAGATGTCATGTGAAGATATACCCGTTTCGAACGAAGGACACAGAGTGGTCCAAATATCCACTTGTAGATCCTGCAAAAAGAGTGTTTCAAACGTGAACTTTGAAAGGAAAATTCAACTCAGGGATTTGAATGCAAACATCACAAAGAAGATTCTGAGACTGCTTCTGTATAGTTTTTATGTGAAGATGATTCCGTTTCCAACGAAATCTTCAAAGAGGTCTACATGTCCCCTTGCAGATGCCACAGAAAGAGAGTTTCAAAACTGCACTCTCAAAAGGAGTGTTCAACTCCGTGAGTTGAATGCAGTCATCACAGAGAAGCTTCTGAGAATGCTTCTATCTAGTATTTAGGTGAAGATATTTCCTTTTCCACCACAAACCACAAAGCCCTCCAAACGTCCACTTGCAGATTCTAGAAAAACAGTGTTTCATAGCTGCTCTTTCCAAAGGAAAGTTCAACTCTGGGAGTTGAATACAAACATCACCAAAAAGTTCCTGAGAATGCATCTGTCTAGTTTTTCTATGAAGCTATTCCCTTTACTACCATAGGCCTCAAAGCGCTCCAAATCTCCACTTGCACATTCCACAACAAGAGTGTTTCCAAACTGCTCTATCAATAGGAATGTTCAACTCTGTGAGGTGAATGCAATCATCACAAAGCAGTTTCTGAGAATGCTTCCACTTAGTAAGGTGCAGTTATCCCGTTTCCAACGATATCCTCAGAGAGGTCCAAATATCCACTTGTAGATTCTACAAAAAGTGTGTCTCAAGCCTGCTCCATCCAAAGGAATGTTCAGCTCTGTGAGTTAAAGTCAATCATCACAAAGTATTTTCTGAGAATGCTTCTGTCTAGATTTTATGCGAAGATGTACCCGTTTCGAATGAAGGCCACAGAGTGGTCCAAATATCCACTTGCAGATCCTACAAAAAGAGTGTTTCAAACCTGAACTATCAAAGGAAGGTTCAACTCTGGGATTTGAATGCAAACATCACCAAGAAGTTTCTGAGAGTGCTTCTGTTTAGTTTTTATGTGAAGATATTCCCGTTTCCAAAGACATCTTCGGAGAGGTCCACATATCCGCTTGCAGATTCCACAAAAAGAGAGTTTCAACACTGCTCTATCCATAGGAGGGTTCAACTCTGTGAGTTGAATGCAATCATCACAGAGAAGTTTTTGAGAAGGCTTCTCTCCAGTTTTTATGTGACCATAATTCGTTTTCCACCACAGGCCTGAAAGCGCTCCAAATGTCCACTTGCAGACACTACGAAAAGCATGTTTCAGAACTACTCTATGAGAAGCAATGTGAAACTCTGGGAGTTGAACACAAACATCACAGAGAAGTTTCTGAGAATGCTTCTGTTTAGCTTTTCTGTGAAGATTATCCCGTTTCCAATGAAATCTTCAAAGAGGTCCAAATATCCACTTGCAGATTCCACAGAAAGAGTGATTGGAAACTGCTCTTTGAAAAGGAACCTTCAACTCTGTGACTTGAATGCAATCATCACAAAGAAGTTTCTGACAATGCTTCTATCTAGGCTTTTACGGGAAGATAATTCCTTTTCCACGACAGGCCTCAAAGCCCTCCAAATGTCCACTTGCAGATTCTGGAAAAAGAGTGTTTCAAAGCTTCTCTCTCGAAAGGAAAGTTCAACTCTGTGAGTTGAATGCAAGCATCACAAAGAAGTTTCTGAGAATGCTACTGTCTAGCTTTTATATGAAGCTATTTCCTTTACTACCATAGGCCTCAAAGCGGTCCATATCTCCACTTGCAGATTCTACACAAAGAGAGTTTCCAAAATGCTCTGTCAAAGGGAATGTTCAACTCTGTGTCTTGAATGCAATCATCACAAAGTAGTTTCTGAGAATGCTTCTGTTTAGTTCTGTGCGGTTTATCCCGTTTCCAACGAAATCCTCAGAGAGGCCCACATATCCACTTGCACATTCTACAAATAGTGTGTTTCGAAACTGCTCCATCCAAAGGAATGTTCAGCTCTGTGAGTTAAACTCAGTCGTCACCAAGAGTTTTCTGTGAATGCTTCTGTTTTAGTTCTGTGCGGTTTATCCCGTTTCCAACGAAATCCTCAGAGAGGTCCAAATATCTACTTGCAGTTTCTACAGAAAGACCGTTTCCAACCTGAACTATCAAAGAAAGGTTCAACACTGTGAGTTGAATGCAAACATCACGAAGAAGGTTCTGAGAATGCTTCTGTTTTTGTTCTGTGCGGTTTATCCCGTTTCCAACGAAATCCTCAGAGAGGTCCAAATATCTACTTGCATTTTCTACAGAAAGACCGTTTCAAAGCTGAACTATCAAAGAAAGGTTCAACACTGTGAGTTGAATGCAAACATCACGAAGAGGGTTCTGAGAATGCTTCTGTTTAGTTCTGTGTGTTTTATCCCTTTTCCAACGAAATCCTCAGAGAGGACCAAATATCCATTTGCAGTTTCTACAAAAAGAGTGTTTCAAAGCTGAACAATCAAAGAAAGGTTCAGCACTGTGAGTTGAATGCAAACATCACGAAGAGGGTTCTGAGAATGCTTCTGTCTTCTTTTTATAGGAAGATATTTCCTTTACTACGGTACTCCTCAAAGAGTGCAATTATCCCCTTGCAGTTTCTACAAAAAGAGTGTTTCAAACCTGAACTATCAAAGAAAGGTTCCACACTGTGACTTGAATGCAGACATCACGAAGAAGGTTCTGAAAATGCTTCTGTTTAGTCAGCTGAAATTATCCCGTTTCCAACGAATTCCTCACAGAGGTCCAAATATGCACTTGCAGATTCTGCAGAAAGTGTGTTTCTAAACTGCTACATCGCAAGGAATGCTCAGCTCTGTGAGTTCAACTCAATCATCCCAAAGAATTTTCTGAGAAAGCTTCTGTCTAGATGTCATGTGAAGATATACCCGTTTCGAACGAAGGACACAGAGTGGTCCAAATATCCACTTGTAGATCCTGCAAAAAGAGTGTTTCAAACGTGAACTTTGAAAGGAAAGTTCAACTCGGGGATTTGAATGCAAACATCACAAAGAAGATTCTGAGACTGCTTCTGTGTAGTTTTTATGTGAAGATGATTCCGTTTCCAACGAAATTTTCAAAGAGGTCTACATGTCCCCTTGCAGATGCCACAGAAAGAGAGTTTCAAAACTGCGCTCTCAAAAGGAGTGTTCAACTCCGTGAGTTGAATGCAGTCATCACAGAGAAGCTTCTGAGGATGCTTCTATCTAGTATTTAGGTGAAGATATTTCCTTTTCCACCACAAACCACAAAGCCCTCCAAACGTCCACTTGCAGATTCTAGAAAAACAGTGTTTCATAGCTGCTCTTTCCAAAGGAAAGTTCAACTCTGGGAGTTGAATACAAACATCACCAAAAAGTTCCTGAGAATGCATCTGTCTAGTTTTTCTATGAAGCTATTCCCTTTACTACCATAGGCCTCAAAGCGCTCCAAATCTCCACTTGCACATTCCACAAGAAGAGTGTTTCCAAACTGCTCTATCAATAGGAATGTTCAACTCTGTGAGGTGAATGCAATCATCACAAAGCAGTTTACTGAGAATGCTTCCGTTTAGTTAGGTGCAGTTATCCCGTTTCCAACGAAATCCTCAGAGAGGTCCAAATATCCACTTGTAGATTCTACAAAAAGTGTGTCTCAAACCTGCTCCATCCAAAGGAATGGTCAGCTCTGTGATTTAAACTCAATCATCACAAAGTATTTTCTGAGAATGCTTCTCTCCAGTTTTTATGTGACCATAATTCGTTTTCCACCACAGGCCTGAAAGCGATCCAAATGTCCACTTGCAGACACTACGAAAAGCATGTTTCAGAACTACTCTATGAAAAGCAACGTGAAACTCTGGGAGTTGAACACAAACATCACAGAGAAGTTTCTGAGAATGCTTCTGTTTTAGTTCTGTGCGTTTTATCCCGTTTCCAACGAAATCCTCAGAGAGGCCCAAATATCCACTTGCAGATTCCACAGAAAGAGTGATTGGAAACTGCTGTTTGAAAAGGAACCTTCAACTCTGTGAGTTGAATGCAATCATCACAAAGAAGTTTCTGACAATGCTTCTATCTAGCTTTTACGGGAAGATAATTCCTTTTCCACCACAGGCCTCAAAGCCCTCCAAATGTCCACTTGCAGATTCTGGAAAAAGAGTGTTTCAAAGCTTCTCTCTCGAAAGGAAAGTTCAACTCTGTGAGTTGAATGCAAGCATCTCAAAGAAGTTTCTGAGAATGCTACTGTCTAGCTTTTATATGAAGCTATTTCCTTTACTACCATAGGCCTCAAAGCGGTCCATATCTCCACTTGCAGATTCTACACAAAGAGAGTTTCCAAACTGCTCTGTCAAAGGGAATGTTCAACTCTGTTACTTGAATGCAATCATCACAAAGTAGTTTCTGAGAATGCTTCTGTTTAGTTCTGTGCGGTTTATCCCGTTTCCAACGAAATCCTCAGAGAGGCCCAAATATCCACTTGCACATTCTACAAATAGTGTGTTTCGAAACTGCTCCATCCAAAGGAATGTTCAGCTCTGTGAGTTAAACTCAGTCGTCACCAAGAGTTTTTTCTGAATGCTTCTGTTTTAGTTCTGTGCGGGTTATCCCGTTTCCAACGAAATCCTCAGAGAGGTCCAAATATCTACTTGCAGTTTCTACAGAAAGACCGTTTCAAACCTGAACTATCAAAGAAAGGTTCAACACTGTGAGTTGAATGCAAACATCACGAAGAAGGTTCTGAGAATGCTTCTGTTTAGTTCTGTGCAGTTTATCCCGTTTCCAACGAAATCCTCAGAGAGGACCAAATATCCACTTGCAGTTTCTACAAAAAGAGTGTTTCAAAGCTGAACTATCAAAGAAAGGTTCAGCACTGTGAGTTGAATGCAAACATCACGAAGAGGGTTCTGAGAATGCTTCTGTCTTCTTTTTATAGGAAGTTATTTCCTTTACTACGGTACTCCTCAAAGAGTGCAATTATCCCCTTGCAGTTTCTACAGAAAGAGTGTTTCAAACCTGAACTATCAAAGAAAGGTTCCACACTGTGAGTTGAATGCAGACATCACGAAGAAGGTTCTGAGAATGCTTCTGTTTAGTCAGCTGAAATTATCCCGTTTCCAACGAATTCCTCACAGAGGTCCAAATATGCACTTGCAGATTCTGCAGAAAGTGCGTTTCTAAACTGCTACATCGCAAGGAATGCTCAGCTCTGTGAGTTCAACTCAATCATCCCAAAGAATTTTCTGAGAAAGCTTCTGTCTAGATGTCATGTGAAGATATACCCGTTTCGAACGAAGGACACAGAGTGGTCCAAATATCCACTTGTAGATCCTGCAAAAAGAGTGTTTCAAACGTGAACTTTGAAAGGAAAGTTCAACTCGGGGATTTGAATGCAAACATCACAAAGAAGATTCTGAGACTGCTTCTGTGTAGTTTTTATGTGAAGATGATTCCGTTTCCAACGAAATCTTCAAAGAGGTCTACATGTCCCCTTGCAGATGCCACAGAAAGAGAGTTTCAAAACTGCGCTCTCAAAAGGAGTGTTCAACTCCGTGAGTTGAATGCAGTCATCACAGAGAAGCTTCTGAGGATGCTTCTATCTAGTATTTAGGTGAAGATATTTCCTTTTCCACCACAAACCACAAAGCCCTCCAAACGTCCACTTGCAGATTCTAGAAAAAGAGTGTTTCATAGCTGCTCTTTCCAAAGGAAAGTTCAACTCTGGGAGTTGAATACAAACATCACCAAAAAGTTCCTGAGAATGCATCTGTCTAGTTTTTCTATGAAGCTATTCCCTTTACTACCATAGGCCTCAAAGCGCTCCAAATCTCCACTTGCACATTCCACAACAAGAGTGTTTCCAAACTGCTCTATCAATAGGAATGTTCAACTCTGTGAGGTGAATGCAATCATCACAAAGCAGTTTCTGAGAATGCTTCCGTTTAGTTAGGTGCAGTTATCCCGTTTCCAGCGAAATCCTCAGAGAGGTCCAAATATCCACTTGTAGATTCTACAAAAAGTGTGTCTCAAACCTGCTCCATCCAAAGGAATGTTCAGCTCTGTGAGTTCAACTCAATCATCACAAAGTATTTTCTGAGAATGCTTCTGTCTAGATTTTATGCGAAGATATACCCGTTTCGAACGAAGGCCACAGAGTGGTCCAAATAGCCACTTGCAGATCCTACAAAAAGAGTGTTTCAAACCTGAACTATCAAAGGAAGGTTCACCTCTGGGATTTGAATGCAAACATCACCAAGAAGTTTCTGAGAATGCTTCTGTTTAGTTTTTATGTGAAGATATTCCCGTTTCCAAAGACATCTTCGGAGAGGTCCACATATCCACTTGCAGATTCCACAAAAAGAGAGTTTCAACACTGCTCTATCCATAGGAGGGTTCAACTCTGTGAGTTGAATGCAATCATCACAGAGAAGTTTCTGAGAAGGCTTCTCTCCAGTTTTTATGTGACCATAATTCGTTTTCCACCACAGACCTGAAAGCGCTCCAAATGTCCACTTGCAGACACTACGAAAAGCATGTTTCAGAACTACTCTATGAAAAGCAACGTGAAACTCTGGGAGTTGAACACAAACATCACAGAGAAGTTTCTGAGAATGCTTCTGTTTTAGTTCTGTGCGTTTTATCCCGTTTCCAACGAAATCCTCAGAGAGGCCCAAATATCCACTTGCAGATTCCACAGAAAGAGTGATTGGAAACTGCTGTTTGAAAAGGAACCTTCAACTCTGTGAGTTGAATGCAATCATCACAAAGAAGTTTCTGACAATGCTTCTGTTTTAGTTCTGTGCGGTTTATCCCGTTTCCAACGAAATCCTCAGAGAGGACCAAATATCCACTTGCAGGTTCTACAAAAAGAGTGTTTCAAAGCTGCACTATCAAAGAAAGGTTCAGCACTGTGAGTTGAATGCAAACATCACGAAGAGGGCTCTGAGAATTCTTCTGTTTAGTTCTGTGCGGTTTATCCCGTTTCCAACGAAATCCTCAGAGAGGACCAAATATCCACTTGCAGTTTCTACAAGAAGAGTGTTTCAAAGCTGAACTATCAAAGAAAGGTTCAGCACTGTGAGTTGAATGCAAACATCACGAAGAGGGTTCTGAGAATGCTTCTGTCTTCTTTTTGTAGGAAGTTATCTACTTTACTACGGTAGGCCTCAAAGAAGTGCAATGATCCCCTTGCAGTTTCTACAAAAAGAGTGTTTCAAACCTGAACTATCAAAGAAAGGTTCCACACTGTGAGTTGAATGCAGACATCACGAAGATGGTTCTGAGAATGCTTCTGTTTAGTCAGCTGAAATTATCCCGTTTCCAACGAATTCCTCAGAGAGGTCCAAATATGCACTTGCAGATTCTGTAGAAAGTGTGTTTCTAAACTGCTACATCGCAAGGAATGTTCAGCTCTGTGAGTTCAACTCAATCATCCCAAAGAATTTTCTGAGAAAGCTTCTGTCTAGATGTCGTGTGAAGATATACCCGTTTCGAACGAAGGACACAGAGTGGTCCAAATATCCACTTGTAGATCCTGCAAAAAGAGTGTTTCAAACGTGAACTTTGAAAGGAAAGTTCAACTCTGGGATTTGAATGCAAACATCACAAAGAAGATTCTGAGACTGCTTCTGTATAGTTTTTATGTGAAGATGATTCCGTTTCCAACGAAATCTTCAAAGAGGTCTACATGTCCCCTTGCAGATGCCACAGAAAGAGAGTTTCAAAACTGCGCTCTCAAAAGGAGTGTTCAACTCCGTGAGTTGAATGCAGTCATCACAGAGAAGCTTCTGAGAATGCTTCTATCTAGTATTTAGGTGAAGATATTTCCTTTTCCACCACAAACCACAAAGCCCTCCAAACGTCCACTTGCAGATTCTAGAAAAAGAGTGTTTCATAGCTGCTCTTTCCAAAGGAAAGTTCAACTCTGGGAGTTGAATACAAACATCACCAAAAAGTTCCTGAGAATGCATCTGTCTAGTTTTTCTATGAAGTTATTCCCTTTACTACCATAGGCCTCAAAGCGCTCCAAATCTCCACTTGCACATTCCACAACAGGAGTGTTTCCAAACTGCTCTATCAATAGGAATGTTCAACTCTGTGAGGTGAATGCAATCATCACAAAGCAGTTTCTGAGAACGCTTCCGTTTAGTTAGGTGCAGTTAACCCGTTTCCAACGAAATCCTCAGAAAGGTCGAAATATCCACTTGTAGATTCTACAAAAAGTGTGTCTCAAACCTGCTCCATCCAAAGGAATGTTCAGCTCTGTGAGTTAAACTCAATCATCACAAAGTATTTTCTGAGAATGCTTCTGTCTACATATTATGCGAAGATGTACCCGTTTTGAACGAAGGCCACAGTGTGGTCCAAATATCCACTTGCAGATCCTACAAAAAGAGTGTTTCAAACCTGAACTATCAAAGGAAGGTTCAACTCTGGGATTTGAATGCAAACATCACCAAGAAGTTTCTGAGAATGCTTCTGTTTAGTTTTTATGTGAAGATATTCCCGTTTCCAAAGACATCTTCGGCGAGGTCCACATATCCACTTGCAGATTCCACAAAAACAGAGTTTCAACACTGCTCTATCCATAGGAGGGTTCAACTCTGTGAGTTGAATGCAATCATCACAGAGAAGTTTCTGAGAAGGCTTCTCTCCAGTTTTTATGTGACCATAATTCGTTTTCCACCACAGGCCTGAAAGCGCTCCAAATGTCCACTTGCAGACACTACGAAAAGCATGTTTCAGAACTACTCTATGAAAAGCAACGTGAAACTCTGGGAGTTGAACACAAACATCACAGAGAAGTTTCTGAGAATGCTTCTGTTTAGCTTTTCTGTGAAGATTCTCCCGTTTCCAACGAAATCTTCAAAGAGGTCGAAATATCCACTTGCAGATTCCACAGAAAGAGTGATTGGAAACTGCTGTTTGAAAAGGAACCTTCAACTCCTGTGAGTTGAATGCAATCATCACAAAGAAGTTTCTGACAATGCTTCTCTCTAGTTTTTACGGGAAGATATTTCCTTTTCCAACACAGGCCTCAAAGCCCTCCAAATGTCCACTTGCAGATTCTAGAAAAAGAGTGTTTCAAAGCTTCTCTCTCAAAAGGAAAGTTCAACTCTATGAGTTGAATGCAAACATCACGAAGAAGTTTCTGAGAATGCTACTGTCTAGTTTTTATATGAAGTTATTTCCTTTACTGCCATAGGCCTCAAAGCGGTCCATATCTCCACTTGCAGATTCTACAAAAAGAGAGTTTCCAAACTGCTCTGTCAAAGAGAATGTTCAAATCCATGACTTGAATGCAATCATCACAAAGTAGTTTCTGAGAATGCTGCTGTTTAGTTCTGTGAATTTTAACCCGTTTCCAAAAAAATACTCAGAGTTCCAAATATCCACTTGCAGATTCTACAAAAAGTGTGTTTCGAAACTACTCCATCCAAAGGAATGTTCAGCTCTGTGAGATAAACTCAGTCGTCACAAAGAGTTTTGTGAGAATGCTTCTGTTTTAGTTCTGTGCTGTTTATCCCGTTTCCAACGAAATCCTCAGAGAGGTCCAAATATCTACTTGCAGTTTCTACAGAAAGACCGTTTCAAACCTGAACTATCAAAGAAAGGTTCAACACTGTGAGTTGAATGCAAACATCACGAAGAAGGTTCTGAGAATGCTTCTGTTTCGTTCTGTGCGTTTTATCCCGTTTCCAACGAAATCCTCAGAGAGGACCAAATATCCACTTGCAGTTTCTACAAAAAGAGTGTTTCAAAGCTGAACTATCAAAGAAAGGTTCAGCACTGTGAGTTGAATGCAAACATCACGAAGAGGGTTCTGAGAATGCTTCTGTCTTCTTTTTATAGGAAGTTATTTCCTTTACTACGGTACTCCTCAAAGAGTGCAATTATCCCCTTGCAGTTTCTACAAAAAGAGTTTTTAAAACCTGAACTATCAAAGAAAGGTTCCACACTTTGAGTTGAATGCAGACATCACGAAGAAGGTTCTGAGAATTCTTCTGTTTAGTCAGCTGAAATTATCCCGTTTCCAACGAATTCCTCACAGAGGTCCAAATATGCACTTGCAGATTCTGCAGAAAGTGTGTTTCTAAACTGCTACATCGCAAGGAATGCTCAGCTCTGTGAGTTCAACTCAATCATCCCAAAGAATTTTCTGAGAAAGCTTCTGTCTAGATGTCATGTGAAGATATACCCGTTTCGAACGAAGGACACAGAGTGGTCCAAATATCCACTTGTAGATCCTGCAAAAAGAGTGTTTCAAACGTGAACTTTGAAAGGAAAGTTCAACTCTGGGATTTGAATGCAAACACCACAAAGAAGATTCTGAGACTGCTTCTGTATAGTTTTTATGTGAAATTGATTCCGTTTCCAACGAAATCTTCAAACAGGTCTACATGTTCCCTTGCGGATGCCACAGAAAGAGAGTTTCAAAACTGCGCTCTCAAAAGGAGTGTTCAACTCCGTGAGTTGAATGCAGTCATCACAGAGAAGCTTCTGAGAATGCTTCTATCTAGTATTTAGGTGAAGATATTTCCTTTTCCACCACAAACCACAAAGCCCTCCAAACGTCCACTTGCAGATTCTAGAAAAAGAGTGTTTCATAGCTGCTCTTTCCAAAGGAAAGTTCAACTCTGGGAGTTGAATACAAACATCACCAAAAAGTTCCTGAGAATGCATCTGTCTAGTTTTTCTATGAAGCTATTCCCTTTACTACCATAGGCCCCAAAGCGCTCCAAATCTCCACTTGCACATTCCACAAGAAGAGTGTTTCCAAACTGCTCTATCAATACGAATGTTCAACTCTGTGAGGTGAATGCAATCATCACAAAGCAGTTTCTGAGAATGCTTCCGTTTAGTTAGGTGCAGTTATCCCGTTTCCAACGAAATCCTCAGAGAGGTCCAAATATCCACTTGTAGATTCTACAAAAAGTGTGTCTCAAACCTGCTCCATCCAAAGGAATGGTCAGCTCTGTGATTTAAACTCAATCATCACAAAGTATTTTCTGAGAATGCTTCTGTCTAGATTTTATGTGAAGATGTACCCGTTTCGAACGAAGGCCACAGAGTGGTCCAAATATCCACTTGCAGATCCTACAAAAAGAGTGTTTCAAACCTGAACTATCAAAGGAAGGTTCAACTCTGGGATTTGAATGCAAACATCACCAAGAAGTTTCTGAGAATGCTTCTGTTTAGTTTTTATGTGAAGATATTCCCGTTTCCAAAGACATCTTCGGAGAGGTCCACATATCCACTTGCAGATTCCACAGAAAGAGAGTTTCAACACTGCTCTATCCATAGGAGGGTTCAACTCTGTGAGTTGAATGCAATCATCACAGAGAAGTTTCTGAGAAGGCTTCTCTCCAGTTTTTATGTGACCATAATTCGTTTTCCACCACAGGCCTGAAAGCGCTCCAAATGTCCACTTGCAGACACTACGAAAAGCATGTTTCAGAACTACTCTATGAAAAGCAATGTGAAACTCTGGGAGTTGAACACAAACATCACAGAGAAGTTTCTGAGAATGCTTCTGTTTTAGTTCTGTGCGTTTTATCCCGTTTCCAACGAAATCCTCAGAGAGGCCCAAATATCCACTTGCAGATTCCACAGAAAGAGTGATTGGAAACTGCTGTTTGAAAAGGAACCTTCAACTACTGTGAGTTGAATGCAATCATCACAAAGAAGTTTCTGACAATGCTTCTATCTAGCTTTTACGGGAAGATAATTCCTTTTCCACCACAGGCCTCAAAGCCCTGCAAATATCCACTTGAACATTCTGGAAAAAGAGTGTTTCAAAGCTTCTCTCTCGAAAGGAAATTTCAACTCTGTGAGTTGAATGCAAGCATCACAAAGAAGTTTCTGAGAATGCTACTGTCTAGCGTTTATATGAAGCTATTCCCTTTACTACCATAGTCCTCAAAGCATTCCATATCTCCACTTGCAGATTCTACACAAAGAGAGTTTCCAAACTGCTCCGTCAAAGGGAATGTTCAGCTCTGTGACTTGAATGCAATCATCACAAAGTAGTTTCTGAGAATGCTTCTGTTTAGTTCTGTGTGGTTTATCCCGTTTCCAACGAAATCCTCAGAGAGGCCCCAATATCCACTTGCACATTCTACAAATAGTGTGTTTCGAAACTGCTCCATCCAAAGGGATGTTCAGCTCTGTGAGTTAAACTCAGTCGTCACCGAGAGTTTTCTGTGAATGCTTCTGTTTTAGTTCTGTGCGGGTTATCCCGTTTCCAACGAAATCCTCAGAGAGGTCCAAATATCTACTTGCAGTTTCTACAGAAAGACCGTTTCAAACCTGAACTATCAAAGAAAGGTTCAACACTGTGAGTTGAATGCAAACATCACGAAGAAGGTTCTGAGAATGCTTCTGTTTAGTTCTGTGCGGTTTATCCCGTTTCCAACGAAATCCTCAGAGAGGACCAAATATCCACTTGCAGTTTCTACAAGAAGAGTGTTTCAAAGCTGAACTATCAAAGAAAGGTTCAGCTCTGTGAGTTGAATGCAAACATCACAAAGAGGGTTTTGAGAATGCTTCTGTCTTCTTTCTATAGGAAGTTATTTCCTTTACTACGGTAGGCCTCAAAGAAGTGCAATTATCCCCTTGCAGTTTCTACAAAAAGAGTGTTTCAAACCTGAACTATCAAAGAAAGGTTCCACACTGTGAGTTGAATGCAGACATCACGAAGAAGGTTCTGAGAATGCTTCTGTTTAGTCAGCTGAAATTATCCCGTTTCCAACGAATTCCTCAGAGAGGTCCAAATATGCACTTGCAGATTCTGCAGAAAGTGTGTTTCTAAACTGCTACATCGCAAGGAATGTTCAGCTCTGTGAGTTCCACTCAATCATCCCAAAGAATTTTCTGAGAAAGCTTCTGTCTAGATGTCGTGTGAAGATATACCCGTTTCGAACGAAGGACACAGAGTGGTCCAAATATCCACTTGTAGATCCTGCAAAAAGAGTGTTTCAAACGTGAACTTTGAAAGGAAAGTTCAACTCTGGGATTTGAATGCAAACATCACAAAGAAGATTCTGAGACTGCTTCTGTATAGTTTTTATGTGAAGATGATTCCGTTTCCAACGAAATCTTCAAAGAGGTCTACATGTCCCCTTGCAGATGCCACAGAAAGAGAGTTTCAAAACTGCGCTCTCAAAAGGAGTGTTCAACTCCGTGAGTTGAATGCAGTCATCACAGAGAAGCTTCTGAGAATGCTTCTATCTAGTATTTAGGTGAAGATATTTCCTTTTCCACCACAAACCACAAAGCCCTCCAAACGTCCACTTGCAGATTCTAGAAAAAGAGTGTTTCATAGCTGCTCTTTCCAAAGGAAAGTTCAACTCTGGGAGTTGAATACAAACATCACCAAAAAGTTCCTGAGAATGCATCTGTCTAGTTTTTCTATGAAGCTATTCCCTTTACTACCATAGGCCTCAAAGCGCTCCAAATCTCCACTTGCACATTCCACAACAAGAGTGTTTCCAAACTGCTCTATCAATAGGAATGTTCAACTCTGTGAGGTGAATGCAATCATCACAAAGCAGTTTCTGAGAATGCTTCCGTTTAGTTAGGTGCAGTTATCCCGTTTCCAACGAAATCCTCAGAGAGGTCCAAATATCCACTTGTAGATTCTACAAAAAGTGTGTCTCAAACCTGCTCCATCCAAAGGAATGGTCAGCTCTGTGATTTAAACTCAATCATCACAAAGTATTTTCTGAGAATGCTTCTGTCTAGATTTTATGCGAAGATATACCCGTTTCGAACGAAGGCCACAGAGTGGTCCAAATAGCCACTTGCAGATCCTACAAAAAGAGTGTTTCAAACCTGAACTATCAAAGGAAGGTTCAACTCTGGGATTTGAATGCAAACATCACCAAGAAGTTTCTGAGAATGCTTCTGTTTAGTTTTTATGTGAAGATATTCCCGTTTCCAAAGACATCTTCGGAGAGGTCCACATATCCACTTGCAGATTCCACAAAAAGAGAGTTTCAACACTGCTCTATCCATAGGAGGGTTCAACTCTGTGAGTTGAATGCAATCATCACAGAGAAGTTTCTGAGAAGGCTTCTCTCCAGTTTTTATGTGACCATAATTCGTTTTCCACCACAGGCCTGAAATCGCTCCAAATGTCCACTTGCAGACACTACGAAAAGCATGTTTCAGAACTACTCTATGAAAAGCAACGTGAAACTCTGGGAGTTGAACACAAACATCACAGAGAAGTTTCTGAGAATGCTTCTGTTTAGCTTTTCTGTGAAGATTCTCCCGTTTCCAACGAAATCTTCAAAGAGGTTGAAATATCCACTTGCAGATTCCACAGAAAGAGTGATTGGAAACTGCTGTTTGAAAAGGAACCTTCAACTCTGTGAGTTGAATGCAATCATCTCAAAGAAGTTTCTGACAATGCTTCTATCTAGCTTTTACGGGAAGATAATTCCTTTTCCACCACAGGCCTCAAAGCTCCCCAAATGTCCACTTGCACATTCTGGAAAAAGAGTGTTTCAAAGCTTCTCTCTCGAAAGGAAAGTTCAACTCTGTGAGTTGAATGCAAGCATCACAAAGAAGTTTCTGAGAATGCTACTGTCTAGCTTTTATATGAAGCTATTTCCTTTACTACCATAGGCCTCAAAGCGGTCCATATCTCCACTTGCAGATTCTACACAAAGAGAGTTTCCAAACTGCTCTGTCAAAGGGAATGTTCAACTCTGTGACTTGAATGCAATCATCACAAAGTAGTTTCTGAGAATGCTTCTGTTTTAGTTCTGTGCGTTTTATCCCGTTTCCAACGAAATCCTCAGAGAGGCCCAAATATCCACTTGCAGATTCTACAAATAGTGTGTTTCGAAACTGCTCCATCCAAAGGAATGTTCAGCTCTGTGAGTTAAACTCAGTCGTCACCAAGAGTTTTCTGTGAATGCTTCTGTTTTAGTTCTGTGCGGTTTATCCCGTTTCCAACGAAATCCTCAGAGAGGACCAAATATCCACTTGCAGTTTCTACAAAAAGAGTGTTTCAAAGCTGCACTATCAAAGAAAGGTTCAGCACTGTGAGTTGAATGCAAACATCACGAAGAGGGCTCTGAGAGTTCTTCTGTTTAGTTCTGTGCGGTTTATCCCGTTTCCAACGAAATCCTCAGAGAGGACCAAATATCCACTTGCAGTTTCTACAAGAAGAGTGTTTCAAAGCTGAACTATCAAAGAAAGGTTCAGCACTGTGAGTTGAATGCAAACATCACGAAGAGGGTTCTGAGAATGCTTCTGTCTTCTTTCTATAGGAAGTTATTTCCTTTACGACGGTAGGCCTCAAAGAAGTGCAATTATCCCCTTGCAGTTTCTACAAAAGGAGTGTTTCAAACCTGAACTATCAAAGAAAGGTTCCACACTGTGAGTTGAATGCAGACATCACGAAGAAGGTTCTGAGAATGCTTCTGTTTAGTCAGCTGAAATTATCCCGTTTCCAACGAATTCCTCAGAGAGGTCCAAATATGCACTTGCAGATTCTGCAGAAAGTGTGTTTCTAAACTGCTACATCGCAAGGAATGTTCAGCTCTGTGAGTTCCACTCAATCATCCCAAAGAATTTTCTGAGAAAGCTCTGTCTAGATGTCGTGTGAAGATATACCCGTTTCGAACGAAGGACACAGAGTGGTCCAAATATCCACTTGTAGATCCTGCAAAAAGAGTGTTTCAAACGTGAACTTTGAAAGGAAAGTTCAACTCTGGGATTTGAATGCAAACATCACAAAGAAGATTCTGAGACTGCTTTCTGTATAGTTTTTATGTGAAGATGATTCCGTTTCCAACGAAATCTTCAAAGAGGTCTACATGTCCCCTTGCAGATGCCACAGAAAGAGAGTTTCAAAACTGCGCTCTCAAAAGGAGTGTTCAACTCCGTGAGTTGAATGCAGTCATCACAGAGAAGCTTCTGAGAATGCTTCTATCTAGTATTTAGGTGAAGGATATTTCCTTTTCCACCACAAACCACAAAGCCCTCCAAACGTCCACTTGCAGATTCTAGAAAAACAGTGTTTCATAGCTGCTCTTTCCAAAGGAAAGTTCAACTCTGGGAGTTGAATACAAACATCACCAAAAAGTTCCTGAGAATGCATCTGTCTAGTTTTTCTATGAAGCTATTCCCTTTACTACCATAGGCCTCAAAGCGCTCCAAATCTCCACTTGCACATTCCACAACAAGAGTGTTTCCAAACTGCTCTATCAATAGGAATGTTCAACTCTGTGAGGTGAATGCAATCATCACAAAGCAGTTTCTGATAATGCTTCCGTTTAGTTAGGTGCAGTTATCCCGTTTCCAACGATATCCTCAGAGAGGTCCAAATATCCACTTGTAGATTCTACAAAAAGTGTGTCTCAAACCTGCTCCATCCAAAGGAATGTTCAGCTCTGTGAGTTCAACTCAATCATCACAAAGTATTTTCTGAGAATGCTTCTGTCTAGATTTTATGCGAAGATGTACCCGTTTCGAACGAAGGCCACAGAGTGGTCCAAATATCCACTTGCAGATCCTACAAAAAGAGTGTTTCAAACCTGAACTATCAAAGGAAGGTTCAACTCTGGGATTTGATTGCAAACATCACCAAGAAGTTTCTGAGAATGCTTCTGTTTAGTTTTTATGTGAAGATATTCCCGTTTCCAAAGACATCTTCGGAGAGGTCCACATATCCGCTTGCAGATTCCACAAAAAGAGAGTTTCAACACTGCTCTATCCACAGGAGGGTTCAACTCTGTGAGTTGAATGCAATCATCACAGAGAAGTTTCTGAGAAGGCTTCTCTCCAGTTTTTATGTGACCATAATTCGTTTTCCACCACAGGCCTGAAAGCGCTCCAAATGTCCACTTGCAGACACTACGAAAAGCATGTTTCAGAACTACTCTATGAGAAGCAATGTGAAACTCTGGGAGTTGAACACAAACATCACAGAGAAGTTTCTGAGAATGCTTCTGTTTAGCTTTCCTTTGAAGATTCTCCCGTTTCCAACGAAATCTTCAAAGAGGTCCAAATATCCACTTGCAGATTCCACAGAAAGAGTGATTGGAAACTGCTCTTTGAAAAGGAACCTTCAACTCTGTGAGTTGAATGCAATCATCACAAAGAAGTTTCTGACAATGCTTCTGTCTAGCTTTTACGGGAAGATAATTCCTTTTCCACCACAGGCCTCAAAGCCCTCCAAATGTCCACTTGCAGATTCTGGAAAAAGAGTGTTTCAAAGCTTCTCTCTCGAAAGGAAAGTTCAACTCTGTGAGTTGAATGCGAGCATCACAAAGAAGTTTCTGAGAATGCTACTGTCTAGCTTTTATATGAAGCTATTTCCTTTACTACCATAGGCCTCAAAGCGGTCTATATCTCCACTTGCAGATTCTACACAGAGAGAGTTTCCAAACTGCTCTGTCAAAGGGAATGTTCAACTCTGTGACTTGAATGCAATCATCACAAAGTAGTTTCTGAGAATGCTTCTGTTTAGTTCTGTGCGTTTTATCCCGTTTCCAACGAAATCCTCAGAGAGGCCCAAATATCCACTTGCAGATTCTACAAATAGTGTGTTTCGAAACTGCTCCATCCAAAGGAATGTTCAGCTCTGTGAGTTAAACTCAGTCGTCACCAAGAGTTTTCTGTGAATGCTTCTGTCTTCTTTCTATAGGAAGTTATTTCCTTTACTACGGTAGGCCTCAAAGAAGTGCAATTATCCCCTTGCAGTTTCTACAAAAAGAGTGTTTCAAACCTGAACTATCAAAGAAAGGTTCCACACTGTGAGTTGAATGCAGACATCACGAAGAAGGTTCTGAGAATGCTTCTGTGTAGTCAGCTGAAATTATCCCGTTTCCAACGAATTCCTCAGAGAGGTCCAAATATGCACTTGCAGATTCTGCAGAAAGTGTGTTTCTAAACTGCTACATCGCAAGGAATGTTCAGCTCTGTGAGTTCCACTCAATCATCCCAAAGAATTTTCTGAGAAAGCTTCTGTCTAGATGTCGTGTGAAGATATACCCGTTTCGAACGAAGGACACAGAGTGGTCCAAATATCCACTTGTAGATCCTGCAAAAAGAGTGTTTCAAACGTGAACTTTGAAAGGAAAGTTCAACTCTGGGATTTGAATGCAAACATCACAAAGAAGATTCTGAGACTGCTTCTGTATAGTTTTTATGTGAAGATGATTCCGTTTCCAACGAAATCTTCAAAGAGGTCTTCATGTCCCCTTGCGGATGCCACAGAAAGAGAGTTTCAAAACTGCGCTCTCAAAAGGAGTGTTCAACTCCGTGAGTTGAATGCAGTCATCACAGAGAAGCTTCTGAGAATGCTTCTATCTAGTATTTAGGTGAAGATATTTCCTTTTCCACCACAAACCACAAAGCCCTCCAAACGTCCACTTGCAGATTCTAGAAAAAGAGTGTTTCATAGCTGCTCTTTCCAAAGGAAAGTTCAACTCTGGGAGTTGAATACAAACATCACCAAAAAGTTCCTGAGAATGCATCTGTCTAGTTTTTCTATGAAGCTCTTCCCTTTACTACCATAGGCCTCAAAGCGCTCCAAATCTCCACTTGCACATTCCACAACAAGAGTGTTTCCAAACTGCTCTATCAATAGGAATGTTCAACTCTGTGAGGTGAATGCAATCATCACCAAGCAGTTTCTGAGAAGGCTTCCGTTTAGTTAGGTGCAGTTATCCCGTTTCCAACGAAATCCTCAGAGAGGTCCAAATATCCACTTGTAGATTCTACAAAAAGTGTGTCTCAAACCTGCTCCATCCAAAGGAATGTTCAGCTCTGTGAGTTCAACTCAATCATCACAAAGTATTTTCTGAGAATGCTTCTGTCTAGATTTTATGCGGAGATGTACCCGTTTGGAACGAAGGCCACAGAGTGGTCCAAATATCCACTTGCAGATCCTACAAAAAGAGTGTTTCAAACCTGAACTATCAAAGGAAGGTTCAACTCTGGGATTTGAATGCAAACATCACCAAGAATTTTCTGAGAATGCTTCTGTTTAGTTTTTATGTGAAGATATTCCCGTTTCCAAAGACATCTTCGGAGAGGTCCACATATCCACTTGCAGATTCCACAAAAAGAGAGTTTCAACACTGCTCTATCCATAGGAGGGTTCAACTCTGTGAGTTGAATGCAATCAGCACAGAGAAGTTTCTGAGAAGGCTTTTCTCCAGTTTTTATGTGACCATAATTCGTTTTCCACCACAGGCCTGAAAGCGCTCCAAATGTCCACTTGTAGACACTACGAAAAGCATGTTTCAGAACTACTCTATGAAAAGCAATGTGAAACTCTGGGAGTTGAACACAAACATCACAGAGAAGTTTCTGAGAATGCTTCTGTTTAGCTTTCCTGTGAAGATTCTCCCGTTTCCAACGAAATCTTCAAAATAGGTCCAAATATCCACTTGCAGATTCCACAGAAAGAGTGATTGGAAACTGCTCTTTGAAAAGGAACCTTCAACTCTGTGAGTTGAATGCAATCATCACAAAGAAGTTTCTGACAATGCTTCTATCTAGCTTTTACGGGAAGATAATTCCTTTTCCACCACAGGCCTCAAAGCCCTCCAAATGTCCACTTGCAGATTCCGGAAAAAGAGTGTTTCAAAGCTTCTCTCTCGAAAGGAAAGTTCAACTCTGTGAGTTGAATGCAAGCATCACAAAGAAGTTTCTGAGAATGCTACTGTCTAGCTTTTATATGAAGCTATTTCCTTTACTACCATAGGCCTCAAAGCGGTCCATATCTCCACTTGCAGATTCTACACAAAGAGAGTTTCCAAACTGCTCTGTCAAAGGGAATGTTCAACTCTGTGACTTGAATGCAATCATCACAAAGTAGTTTCTGAGAATGCTTCTGTTTTAGTTCTGTGCGTTTTATCCCGTTTCCATCGAAATCCTCAGAGTAGGCTCAAATATCCACTTGCAGATTCTACAAATAGTGTGTTTCGAAACTGCTCCATCCAAAGGAATGTTCAGCTCTGTGAGTTAAACTCAGTCGTCACCAAGAGTTTTCTGTGAATGCTTCTGTTTTAGTTCTGTGCGGTTTATCCAGTTTCCAACGAAATCCTCAGAGAGGTCCAAATATCCACTTGCAGTTTCTAGAAAAAGAGTGTTTCAAAGCTGCACTATCAAAGAAAGGTTCAGCACTGTGAGTTGAATGCAAACATCACGAAGAGGGCTCTGAGAATGCTTCTGTTTAGTTCTGTGCAGGTTATCCCGTCTACAACGAAATCCTCAGAGAGGACAAAATATCCACTTGCAGTTTCTACAAGAAGAGCGTTTCAAAGCTGAACTATCAAAGAAAGGTTCAGCACTGTGAGTTGAATGCAAACATCACGAAGAGGGTTCTGAGAATGCTTCTGTCTTCTTTCTATAGGAAGTTATTTCCTTTACTACGGTAGGCTTCAAAGAAGTGCAATTATCCCCTTGCAGTTTCTACAAAAAGAGTGTTTCAAACCTGAACTATCAAAGAAAGGTTCCACACTGTGAGTTGAATGCAGACATCACGAAGAAGGTTCTGAGAATGCTTCTGTTTAGTCAGCTGAAATTATCCCGTTTCCAACGAATTCCTCAGAGAGGTCCAAATATGCACTTGCAGATTCTGCAGAAAGTGTGTTTCTAAACTGCTACATCGCAAGGAATGTTCAGCTCTGTGAGTTCCACTCAATCATCCCACAGAATTTTCTGAGAAAGCTTCTGTCTAGATGTCATGTGAAGATATACCCGTTTCGAACGAAGGACACAGAGTGGTCCAAATATCCACTTGTAGATCCTGCAAAAAGAGTGTTTCAAACGTGAACTTTGAAAGGAAAGTTCAACTCGGGGATTTGAATGCAAACATCACAAAGAAGATTCTGAGACTGCTTCTGTATAGTTTTTATGTGAAGATGATTCCGTTTCCAACGAAATCTTCAAAGAGGTCTACATGTCCCCTTGCAGATGCCACAGAAAGAGAGTTTCAAAACTGCGCTCTCAAAAGGAGTGTTCAACTCCGTGAGTTGAATGCAGTCATCACAGAGAAGCTTACTGAGAATGCTTTCTATCTAGTATTTAGGTGAAGATATTTCCTTTTCCACCACAAACCACAAAGCCCTCCAAACGTCCACTTGCAGATTCTAGAAAAAGAGTGTTTCATAGCTGCTCTTTCCAAAGGAAAGTTCAACTCTGGGAGTTGAATACAAACATCACCAAAAAGTTCCTGAGAATGCATCTGTCTAGTTTTTCTATGAAGCTATTCCCTTTATTACCATAGGCCTCAAAGCGCTCCAAATCTCCACTTGCACATTCCACAACAAGAGTGTTTCCAAACTGCTCTATCAATAGGAATGTTCAACTCTGTGAGGTGAATGCAATCATCACAAAGCAGTTTCTGAGAATGCTTCCGTTTAGTTAGGTGCAGTTATCCCGTTTCCAACGAAATCCTCAGAGAGGTCCAAATATCCACTTGTAGATTCTACAAAAAGTGTGTCTCAAACCTGCTCCATCCAAAGGAATGGTCAGCTCTGTGATTTAAACTCAATCATCACAAAGTATTTTCTGAGAATGCTTCTGTCTAGATTTTATGCGAAGATGTACCCGTTTCAAACGAAGGCCACAGAGTGGTCCAAATATCCACTTGCAGATCCTACAAAAAGAGTGTTTCAAACCTGAACTCTCAAAGGAAGGTTCAACTCTGGGATTTGAATGCAAACATCACCAAGAAGTTTCTGAGAATGCTTCTGTTTAGTTTTTATGTGAAGATATTCCCTTTTCCAAAGACATCTTTGGAGAGGTCCACATATCCGCTTGCAGATTCCACAAAAAGAGAGTTTCAACACTGCTCTATCCATAGGAGGGTTCAACTCTGTGAGTTGAATGCAATCATCACAGAGAAGTTTCTGAGAAGGCTTCTCTCCAGTTTTTATGTGACCATAATTCGTTTTCCACCACAGGCCTGAAAGCGCTCCAAATGTCCACTTGCAGACACTACGAAAAGCATGTTTCAGAACTACTCTATGAGAAGCAATGTGAAACTCTGGGAGTTGAACACAAACATCACAGAGAAGTTTCTGAGAATGCTTCTGTTTAGCTTTTCTGTGAAGATTCTCCCGTTTCCAACGAAATCTTCAAAGAGGTCCAAATATCCACTTGCAGATTCCTCAGAAAGAGTGATTGGAAACTGCTCTTTGAAAAGGAACCTTCAACTCTGTGACTTGAATGCAATCATCACAAAGAAGTTTCTGACAATGCTTCTATCTAGCTTTTACGGGAAGATAATTCCTTTTCCACCACAGGCCTCAAAGCCCTCCAAATGTCCACTTGCAGATTCTGGAAAAAGAGTGTTTCAAAGCTTCTCTCTCGAAAGGAAAGTTCAACTCTGTGAGTTGAATGCAAGCATCACAAAGAAGTTTCTGAGAATGCTACTGTCTAGCTTTTATATGAAGCTATTTCCTTTACTACCATAGGCCTCAAAGCGGTCCATATCTCCACTTGCAGATTCTACACAAAGAGAGTTTCCAAACTGCTCTGTCAAAGGGAATGTTCAACTCTGTGACTTGAATGCAATCATCACAAAGTAGTTTCTGAGAATGCTTCTGTTTAGTTCTGTGCGGTTTATCCCGTTTCCAACGAAATCCTCAGAGAGGCCCACATATCCACTTGCACCTTCTAGAAATAGTGTGTTTCGAAACTGCTCCATCCAAAGGAATGTTCAGCTCTGTGAGTTAAACTCAGTCGTCACCAAGAGTTTTCTGTGAATGCTTCTGTTTTAGTTGTGTGCGGTTTATCCCGTTTCCAACGAAATCCTCAGAGAGGTCCAAATATCTACTTGCAGTTTCTACAGAAAGACCGTTTCAAACCTGAACTATCAAAGAAAGGTTCAACACTGTGAGTTGAATGCAAACATCACGAAGAAGGTTCTGAGAATGCTTCTGTTTAGTTCTGTGCGGTTTATCCCGTTTCCAACGAAATCCTCAGAGAGGACCAAATATCCACTTGCAGTTTCTACAAAAAGAGTGTTTCAAAGCTGAACTATCAAAGAAAGGTTCAGCACCGTGAGTTGAATGCAAACATCACGAAGAGGGTTCTGAGAATGCTTCTGTCTTCTTTCTATAGGAAGTTATTTCCTTTACTACGGTAGGCCTCAAAGAAGTGCAATTATCCCCTTGCAGTTTCTACAAAAAGAGTGTTTCAAACCTGAACTATCAAAGAAAGGTTCCACACTGTGAGTTGAATGCAGACATCACGAAGAAGGTTCTGAGAATGCTTCTGTTTAGTCAGCTGAAATTATCCCGTTTCCAACGAATTCCTCAGAGAGGTCCAAATATGCACTTGCAGATTCTGCAGAAAGTGTGTTTCTAAACTGCTCCATCGCAAGGAATGTTCAGCTCTGTGAGTTCCACTCAATCATCCCAAAGAATTTTCTGAGAAAGCTTCTGTCTAGATGTCATGTGAAGATATACCCGTTTCGAACGAAGGACACAGAGTGCTCCAAATATCCACTTGTAGATCCTGCAAAAAGAGTGTTTCAAACGTGAACTTTGAAAGGAAAGTTCAACTCTGGGATTTGAATGCAAACATCACAAAGAAGATTCTGAGACTGCTTCTGTATAGTTTTTATGTGAAGATGATTCCGTTTCCAACGAAATCTTCAAAGAGGTCTACATGTCCCCTTGCAGATGCCACAGAAAGAGAGTTTCAAAACTGCGCTCTCAAAAGGAGTGTTCAACTCCGTGAGTTGAATGCAGTCATCACAGAGAAGCTTCTGAGAATGCTTCTATCTAGTATTTAGGTGAAGATATTTCCTTTTCCACCACAAACCACAAAGCCCTCCAAACGTCCACTTGCAGATTCTAGAAAAAGAGTGTTTCATAGCTGCTCTTTCCAAAGGAAAGTTCAACTCTGGGAGTTGAATACAAACATCACCAAAAAGTTCCTGAGAATGCATCTGTCTAGTTTTTCTATGAAGCTATTCCCTTTACTACCATAGGCCTCAAAGCGCTCCAAATCTCCACTTGCACATTCCACAACAAGAGTGTTTCCAAACTGCTCTATCAATAGGAATGTTCAACTCTGTGAGGTGAATGCAATCATCACAAAGCAGTTTCTGAGAATGCTTCCGTTTAGTTAGGTGCAGTTATCCCGTTTCCAACGAAATCCTCAGAGAGGTCCAAATATCCACTTGTAGATTCTACAAAAAGTGTGTCTCAAACCTGCTCCATCCAAAGGAATGTTCAGCTCTGTGAGTTCAACTCAATCATCACAAAGTATTTTCTGAGAATGCTTCTGTCTAGATTTTATGCAAAGATGTACCCGTTTCGAACGAAGGCCACAGAGTGGTCCAAATATCCACTTGCAGATCCTACAAAAAGAGTGTTTCAAACCTGAACTATCAAAGGAAGGTTCAACTCTGGGATTTGAATGCAAACATCACCAAGAAGTTTCTGAGAATGCTTCTGTTTAGTTTTTATGTGAAGATATTCCCGTTTCCAAAGACATCTTCGGAGAGGTCTACATATCCACTTGCAGATTCCACAAAAAGAGAGTTTCAACACTGCTCTATCCATAGGAGGGTTCAACTCTGTGAGTTGAATGCAATCATCACAGAGAAGTTTCTGAGAAGGCTTCTCTCCAGTTTTTATGTGACCATAATTCGTTTTCCACCACAGGCCTGAAAGCGCTCCAAATGTCCACTTGCAGACACTACGAAAAGCATGTTTCAGAACTACTCTATGAAAAGCAATGTGAAACTCTGGGAGTTGAACACAAACATCACAGAGAAGTTTCTGAGAATGCTTCTGTTTAGCTTTTCTGTGAAGATTCTCCCGTTTCCAACGAAATCTTCAAAGCGGTCCAAATATCTACTTGCAGATTCCACAGAAAGAGTGATTGGAAACTGCTCTTTGAAAAGGAACCTTCAACTCTGTGAGTTGAATGCAATCATCACAAAGAAGTTTCTGACAATGCTTCTATCTAGCTTTTACGGGAAGATAATTCCTTTTCCACCACAGGCCTCAAAGCCCTCCAAATGTCCACTTGCAGATTCTGGAAAAAGAGTGTTTCAAAGCTTCTCTCTCGAAAGGAAAGTTCAACTCTGTGAGTTGAATGCAAGCATCACAAAGAAGTTTCTGAGAATGCTACTGTCTAGCTTTTATATGAAGCTCTTTCCTTTACTACCATAGGCCTCAAAGCGGTCCATATCTCCACTTGCAGATTCTACACAAAGAGAGTTTCCAAACTGCTCTGTCAAAGGGAATGTTCAACTCTGTGACTTGAATGCAATCATCACAAATTAGTTTCTGAGAATGCTTCTGTTTAGTTCTGTGCGGTTTATCCCGTTTCCAACGAAATCCTCAGAGAGGCCCAAATATCCACTTGCACATTCTACAAATAGTGTGTTTCGAAACTGCTCCATCCAAAGGAATGTTCAGCTCTGTGAGTTAAACTCAGTCGTCACCAAGAGTTTTCTGTGAATGCTTCTGTTTTAGTTCTGTGCGGTTTATCCCGTTTCCAACGAAATCCTCAGAGAGGTCCAAATATCTACTTGCAGTTTCTACAGAAAGACCGTTTCCAACCTGAACTATCAAAGAAAGGTTCAACACTGTGAGTTGAATGCAAACATCACGAAGAAGGTTCTGAGAATGCTTCTGTTTAGTTCTGTGTGGTTTATCCCGTTTCCAACGAAATCCTCAGAGAGGACCAAATATCCACTTGCAGTTTCTACAAGAAGAGTGTTTCAAAGCTGAACTATCAAAGAAAGGTTCAGCACTGTGAGTTGAATGCAAACATCACGAAGAGGGTTCTGAGAATGCTTCTGTCTTCTTTCTATAGGAAGTTATTTCCTTTACTACGGTAGGCCTCAAAGAAGTGCAATTATCCCCTTGCAGTTTCTACAAAAAGAGTGTTTCAAACCTGAACTATCAAAGAAAGGTTCCACACTGTGAGTTGAATGCAGACATCACGAAGAAGGTTCTGAGAATGCTTCTGTTTAGTCAGCTGAAATTATCCCGTTTCCAACGAATTCCTCAGAGAGGTCCAAATATGCACTTGCAGATTCTGCAGAAAGTGTGTTTCTAAACTGCTACATCGCAAGGAATGCTCAGCTCTGTGAGTTCAACTCAATCATCCCAAAGAATTTTCTGAGAAAGCTTCTGTCTAGATGTCATGTGAAGATATACCTGTTTCGAACGAAGGACACAGAGTGGTCCAAATATCCACTTGTAGATCCTGCAAAAAGAGTGTTTCAAACGTGAACTTTGAAAGGAAAGTTCAACTCTGGGATTTGAATGCAAACATCACAAAGAAGATTCTGAGACTGCTTCTGTATAGTTTTTATGTGAAGATGATTCCGTTTCCAACGAAATCTTCAAAGAGGTCTACATGTCCCCTTGCAGATGCCACAGAAAGAGAGTTTCAAAACTGCGCTCTCAAAAGGAGTGTTCAACTCCGTGAGTTGAATGCAGTCATCACAGAGAAGCTTCTGAGACTGCTTCTATCTAGTATTTAGGTGAAGATATTTCCTTTTCCACCACAAACCACAAAGCCCTCCAAACGTCCACTTGCAGATTCTAGAAAAACAGTGTTTCATAGCTGCTCTTTCCAAAGAAAAGTTCAACTCTGGGAGTTGAATACAAACATCACCAAAAAGTTCCTGAGAATGCATCTGTCTAGTTTTTCTATGAAGCTATTCCCTTTACTACCACAGGCCTCAAAGCGCTCCAAATCTCCACTTGCACATTCCACAACAAGAGTGTTTCCAAACTGCTCTATCAATAGGAATGTTCAACTCTGTGAGGTGAATGCAATCATCACAAAGCAGTTTCTGAGAATGCTTCCGTTTAGTTCGGTGCAGTTATCCCGTTTCCAACGAAATCCTCAGAGAGGTCCAAATATCCACTTGTGGATTCTACAAAAAGTGTGTCTCAAGCCTGCTCCATCCAAAGGAATGTTCAGCTCTGTGAGTTAAACTCAATCATCACAAAGTATTTTCTGAGAATGCTTCTGTCTAGATTTTATGCGAAGATATACCCGTTTCGAACGAAGGCCACAGAGTGGTCCAAATAGCCACTTCCAGATCCTACAAAAAGAGTGTTTCAAACCTGAACTATCAAAGGAAGGTTCAACTCTGGGATTTGAATGCAAACATCACCAAGAAGTTTCTGAGAATGCTTCTGTTTAGTTTTTATGTGAAGATATTCCCGTTTCCAAAGACATCTTCGGAGAGGTCCACATATCCACTTGCAGATTCCACAAAAAGAGAGTTTCAACACTGCTCTATCCATAGAGGGTTCAACTCTGTGAGTTGAATGCAATCATCACAGAGAAGTTTCTGAGAAGGCTTCTCTCCAGTTTTTATGTGACCATAATTCGTTTTCCACCACAGGCCTGAAAGCGCTCCAAATGTCCACTTGCAGACACTACGAAAAGCATGTTTCAGAACTACTCTATGAAAAGCAACGTGAAACTCTGGGAGTTGAACACAAACATCACAGAGAAGTTTCTGAGAATGCTTCTGTTTAGCTTTTCTGTGAAGATTCTCCCGTTTCCAACGAAATCTTCAAAGAGGTCCAAACATCCACTTGCAGATTCCAAAGAAAGAGTGTTTGGAAACTGCTGTTTAAAAAGGAACCTTCAACTCTGTGAGTTGAATGCAATCATCACAAAGAAGTTTCTGACAATGCTTCTATCTAGCTTTTACGGGAAGATAATTCCTTTTCCACCACAGGCCTCAAAGCCCTCCAAATGTCCACTTGCAGACTCTGGAAAAAGAGTGTTTCGAAGCTTCTCTCTCGAAAGGAAAGTTCAACTCTGTGAGTTGAATGCAAGCATCACAAAGAAGTTTCTGAGAATGCTACTGTCTAGCTTTTATATGAAGCTATTTCCTTTACTACCATAGTCCTCAAAGCATTCCATATCTCCACTTGCAGATTCTACACAAAGAGAGTTTCCAAACTGCTCTGTCAAAGGGAATGTTCAGCTCTGTGACTTGAATGCAATCATCACAAAGTAGTTTCTGAGAATGCTTCTGTTTAGTTCTGTGCGGTTTATCCCGTTTCCAACGAAATCCTCAGAGAGGCCCAAATATCCACTTGCAAATCTACAAATAGTGTGTTTCGAAACTGCTCCATCCAAAGGAATGTTCAGCTCTGTCAGTTAAACTCATTCGTCACCAAGAGTTTTCTGTGAATGCTTCTGTCTTCTTTCTATAGGAAGTTATTTCCTTTACTACGGTAGGCCTCAAAGAAGTGCAATTATCCCCTTGCAGATTCTACAAAAAGAGTGTTTCAAAGCTGAACTATCAAAGAAAGGTTCAGCACTGTGAGTTGAATGCAAACATCACGAAGAAGGTTCTGAGAATGCTTCTGTTTAGTCAGCTGAAATTATCCCGTTTCCAACGAATTCCTCAGAGAGGTCCAAATATGCACTTGCAGATTCTGCAGAAAGTGTGTTTCTAAACTGCTACATCGCAAGGAATGTTCAGCTCTGTGAGTTCCACTCAATCATCCCAAAGAATTTTCTGAGAAAGCTTCTGTCTAGATGTCATGTGAAGATATACCCGTTTCGAACGAAGGACACAGAGTGGTCCAAATATCCACTTGTAGATCCTGCAAAAAGAGTGTTTCAAACGTGAACTTTGAAAGGAAAGTTCAACTCTGGGATTTGAATGCAAACATCACAAAGAAGATTCTGAGACTGCTTCTGTATAGTTTTTATGTGAAGATGATTCCGTTTCCAACGAAATCTTCAAAGAGGTCTACATGTCCCCTTGCGGATGCCACAGAAAGAGAGTTTCAAAACTGCGCTCTCAAGAGGAGTGTTCAACTCCGTGAGTTGAATGCAGTCATCACAGAGAAGCTTCTGAGAATGCTTCTCTCTAGTATTTAGGTGAAGATATTTCCTTTTCCACCACAAACCACAAAGCCCTCCAAACGTCCACTTGCAGATCCTAGAAAAAGAGTGTTTCATAGCTGCTCTTTCCAAAGGAAAGTTCAACTCTGGGAGTTGAATACAAACATCACCAAAAAGTTCCTGAGAATGCATCTGTCTAGTTTTTCTATGAAGCTATTCCCTTTACTACCACAGGCCTCAAAGCGCTCCAAATCTCCACTTGCACATTCCACAACAAGAGTGTTTCCAAACTGCTCTATCAATAGGAATGTTCAACTCCTGTGAGGTGAATGCAATCATCACAAAGCAGTTTCTGAGAATGCTTTCCGTTTAGTTAGGTGCAGTTATCCCGTTTCCAACGAAATCCTCAGAGAGGTCCAAATATCCACTTGTAGATTCTACAAAAAGTGTGTCTCAAACCTGCTCCATCCAAAGGAATGGTCAGCTCTGTGATTTAAACTCAATCATCACAAAGTATTTTCTGAGAATGCTTCTCTCCAGTTTTTATGTGACCATAATTCGTTTTCCACCACAGGCCTGAAAGCGATCCAAATGTCCACTTGCAGACACTACGAAAAGCATGTTTCAGAACTACTCTATGAAAAGCAACGTGAAACTCTGGGAGTTGAACACAAACATCACAGAGAAGTTTCTGAGAATGCTTCTGTTTTAGTTCTGTGCGTTTTATCCCGTTTCCAACGAAATCCTCAGAGAGGCCCAAATATCCACTTGCAGATTCCACAGAAAGAGTGATTGGAAACTGCTGTTTGAAAAGGAACCTTCAACTCTGTGAGTTGAATGCAATCATCACAAAGAAGTTTCTGACAATGCTTCTATCTAGCTTTTACGGGAAGATAATTCCTTTTCCACCACAGGCCTCAAAGCCCTCCAAATGTCCACTTGCACATTCTGGAAAAAGAGTGTTTCAAAGCTTCTCTCTCGAAAGGAAAGTTCAACTCTGTGAGTTGAATGCAAGCATCACAAAGAAGTTTCTGAGAATGCTACTGTCTAGCTTTCATATGAAGCTATTTCCTTTACTACCATAGGCCTCAAAGCGGTCCATATCTCCACTTGCAGATTCTACACAAATAGAGTTTCCAAACTGCTCTGTCAAAGGGAATGTTCAACTCTGTGACTTGAATGCAATCATCACAAAGTAGTTTCTGAGAATTCTTCTGTTTAGTTCTGTGCGGTTTATCCCGTTTCCAACGAAATCCTCAGAGAGGCCCAAATATCCACTTGCACATTCTACAAATAGTGTGTTTCGAAACTGCTCCATCCAAAGGAATGTTCAGCTCCTGTGAGTTAAACTCAGTCGTCACCAAGAGTTTTTTCTGAATGCTTCTGTTTAGTTCTGTGCGTTTTATCCCTTTTCCAACGAAATCCTCAGAGAGGACCAAATATCCATTTGCAGTTTCTACAAAAAGAGTGTTTCAAAGCTGAACTATCAAAGAAAGGTTCAGCACTGTGAGTTGAATGCAAACATCACGAAGAGGGTTCTGAGAATGCTTCTGTCTTCTTTTTATAGGAAGTTATTTCCTTTACTACGGTACTCCTCAAAGAGTGCAATTATCCCCTTGCAGTTTCTACAAAAAGAGTGTTTCAAACCTGAACTATCAAAGAAAGGTTCCACACTGTGAGTTGAATGCAGACATCACGAAGAAGGTTCTGAGAATGCTTCTGTTTAGTCAGCTGAAATTATCCCGTTTCCAACGAATTCCTCAGAGAGGTCCAAATATGCACTTGCAGATTCTGCAGAAAGTGTGTTTCTAAACTGCTACATCGCAAGGAATGCTCACCTCTGTGAGTTCAAATCAATCATCCCAAACAATTTTCTGAGAAAGCTTCTGTCTAGATGTCATGTGAAGATATACCCGTTTCGAACGAAGGACACAGAGTGGTCCAAATATCCACTTGTAGATCCTGCAAAAAGAGTGTTTCAAACGTGAACTTTGAAAGGAAAGTTCAACTCTGGGATTTGAATGCAAACATCACAAAGAAGATTCTGAGACTGCTTCTGTATAGTTTTTATGTGAAGATGATTCCGTTTCCAACGAAATCTTCAAAGAGGTCTACATGTCCCCTTGCGGATGCCACAGAAAGAGAGTTTCAAAACTGCGCTCTCAAAAGGAGTGTTCAACTCCGTGAGTTGAATGCAGTCATCACAGAGAAGCTTCTGAGAATGCTTCTATCTAGTATTTAGGTGAAGATATTTCCTTTTCCACCACAAACCACAAAGCCCTCCAAACGTCCACTTGCAGATTCTAGAAAAAGAGTGTTTCATAGCTGCTCTTTCCAAAGGAAAGTTCAACTCTGGGAGTTGAATACAAACATCACCAAAAAGTTCCTGAGAATGCATCTGTCTAGTTTTTCTATGAAGCTGTTCCCTTTACTACCATAGGCCTCAAAGCGCTCCAAATCTCCACTTGCACATTCCACAACAAGAGTGTGTCCAAACTGCTCTATCAATAGGAATGTTCAACTCTGTGAGGTGAATGCAATCATCACAAAGCAGTTTCTGAGAATGCTTCCGTTTAGTTAGGTGCAGTTATCCCGTTTCCAACGAAATCCTCAGAGAGGTCCAAATATCCACTTGTAGATTCTACAAAAAGTGTGTCTCAAACCTGCTCCATCCAAAGGAATGTTCAGCTCTGTGAGTTCAACTCAATCATCACAAAGTATTTTCTGAGAATGCTTCTGTCTAGATTTTATGCGAAGATGTACCCGTTTCGAACGAAGGCCACAGAGTGGTCCAAATATCCACTTTCAGATCCTACAAAAAGAGTGTTTCAAACCTGAACTCTCAAAGGAAGGTTCAACTCTGGGATTTGAATGCAAACATCACCAAGAAGTTTCTGAGAATGCTTCTGTTTAGTTTTTATGTGAAGATATTCCCGTTTCCAAAGACATCTTCGGAGAGGTCCACATATCCGCTTGCAGATTCCACAAAAAGAGAGTTTCAACACTTCTCTATCCATAGGAGGGTTCAACTCTGTGGAGTTGAATGCAATCATCACAGAGAAGTTTCTGAGAAGGCTTCTCTCCAGTTTTTATGTGACCATAATTCGTTTTCCACCACAGGCCTGAAAGCGCTCCAAATGTCCACTTGCAGACACTACGAAAAGCATGTTTCAGAACTACTCTATGAAAAGCAATGTGAAACTCTGGGAGTTGAACACAAACATCACAGAGAAGTTTCTGAGAATGCTTCTGTTTAGCTTTCCTGTGAAGATTCTCCCGTTTCCAACGAAATCTTCAAAATAGGTCCAAATATCCACTTGCAGATTCCACACAAAGAGTGATTGGAAACTGCTCTTTGAAAAGGAACCTTCAACTCTGTGAGTTGAATGCAATCATCACAAAGAAGTTTCTGACAATGCTTCTATCTAGCTTTTACGGGAAGATAATTCCTTTTCCACCACAGGCCTCAAAGCCCTCCAAATGTCCACTTGCAGATTCTGGAAAAAGAGTGTTTCCAAGCTTCTCTCTCGAAAGGAAAGTTCAACTCTGTGAGTTGAATGCAAGCATCACAAAGAAGTTTCTGAGAATGCTACTGTCTAGCTTTTATATGAAGCTATTTCCTTTACTACCATAGGCCTCAAAGCGGTCCATATCTCCACTTGCAGATTCTACACAAAGAGAGTTTCCAAACTGCTCTGTCAAAGGGAATGTTCAACTCTGTGACTTGAATGCAATCATCACAAAGTAGTTTCTGAGAATGCTTCTGTTTAGTTCTGTGCGGTTTATCCCGTTTCCAACGAAATCCTCAGAGAGGCCCAAATATCCACTTGCACATTCTACAAATAGTGTGTTTCGAAACTGCTCCATCCAAAGGAATGTTCAGCTCTGTGAGTTAAACTCAGTCGTCACCAAGAGTTTTCTGTGAATGCTTCTGTTTTAGTTCTTTGCGGTTTATCCCGTTTCCAACGAAATCCTCAGAGAGGTCCAAATATCTACTTGCAGATTCTACAGAAAGACCGTTTCAAACCTGAACTATCAAAGGAAGGTTCAACACTGTGAGTTGAATGCAAACATCACGAAGAAGGTTCTGAGAATGCTTCTGTTTAGTTCTGTGCGGTTTATCCCGTTTCCAACGAAATCCTCAGAGAGGACCAAATATCCACTTGCAGTTTCTACAAGAAGAGTGTTTCAAAGCTGAACTATCAAGAAAGGTTCAGCACTGTGAGTTGAATGCAAACATCACGAAGAGGGTTCTGAGAATGCTTCCGTTTTAGTTCTGTGCGGTTTATCCCGTTTCCAACGAAATCCTCAGAGAGGTCCAAATATCTACTTGCATTTTCTACAGAATGACCGTTTCAAACCTGAACTATCAAGGAAAGGTTCAACACTGTGAGTTGAATGCAAACATCACGAAGAAGGTTCTGAGAATGCTTCTGTTTAGTTCTGTGCGGTTTATCCCGTTTCCAACGAAATCCTCAGAGAGGACCCAAATATCCACTTGCAGTTTCTACAAGAAGAGTGTTTCAAAGCTGAACTATCAAAGAAAAGTTCAGCACTGTGAGTTGAATGCAAACATCACGAAGAGGGTTCTGAGAATGCTTCTGTCTTCTTTCTATAGGAAGTTATTTCCTTTACTACGGTAGGCCTCAAAGAAGTGCAATTATCCCCTTGCAGTTTCTACAAAAAGAGTGTTTCAAACCTGAGCTATCAAAGAAAGGTTCCACACTGTGAGTTGAATGCAGACATCACGAAGAAGGTTCTGAGAATGCTTCTGTTTAGTCAGCTGAAATTATCCCGTTTCCAACGAATTCCTCAGAGAGGTCCAAATATGCACTTGCAGATTCTGCAGAAAGTGTGTTTCTAAACTGCTACATCGCAAGGAATGTTCAGCTCTGTGAGTTCCACTCAATCATCCCAAAGAATTTTCTGAGAAAGCTTCTGTCTAGATGTCATGTGAAGATATACCCGTTTCGAACGAAGGACACAGAGTGGTCCAAATATCCACTTGTAGATCCTGCAAAAAGAGTGTTTCAAACGTGAACTTTGAAAGGAAAGTTCAACTCTGGGATTTGAATGCAAACATCACAAAGAAGATTCTGAGACTGCTTCTGTATAGTTCTTATGTGAAGATGATTCCGTTTCCAACGAAATCTTCAAAGAGGTCTACATGTCCCCTTGCAGATGCCACAGAAAGAGAGTTTCAAAACTGCGCTCTCAAAAGGAGTGTTCAACTCCGTGAGTTGAATGCAGTCATCACAGAGAAGCTTCTGAGAATGCTTCTATCTAGTATTTAGGTGAAGATATTTCCTTTTCCACCACAAACCACAAAGCCCTCCAAACGTCCACTTGCAGATTCTAGAAAAAGAGTGTTTCATAGCTGCTCTTTCCAAAGGAAAGTTCAACTCTGGGAGTTGAATACAAACATCACCAAAAAGTTCCTGAGAATGCATCTGTCTAGTTTTTCTATGAAGCTATTCCCTTTACTACCATAGGCCTCAAAGCGCTCCAAATCTCCACTTGCACATTCCACAACAAGAGTGTTTCCAAACTGCTCTATCAATAGGAATGTTCAACTCTGTGAGGTGAATGCAACCATCACAAAGCAGTTTCTGAGAATGCTTCCGTTTAGTTAGGTGCAGTTATCCCGTTTCCAACGAAATCCTCAGAGAGGTCCAAATATCCACTTGTAGATTCTACAAAAAGTGTGTCTCAAACCTGCTCCATCCAAAGGAATGGTCAGCTCTGTGATTTAAACTCAATCATCACAAAGTATTTTCTGAGAATGCTTCTGTCTAGATTTTATGCGAAGATATACCCGTTTCGAACGAAGGCCACAGAGTGGTCCAAATAGCCACTTGCAGATCCTACAGAAAGAGTGTTTCAAACCTGAACTATCAAAGGAAGGTTCAACTCTGGGATTTGAATGCAAACATCACCAAGAAGTTTCTGAGAATGCTTCTGTTTAGTTTTTATGTGAAGATATTCCCGTTTCCAAAGACATCTTCGGAGAGGTCCACATATCCACTTGCAGATTCCACAAAAAGAGAGTTTCAACACTGCTCTATCCATAGGAGGGTTCAACTCTGTGAGTTGAATGCAATCATCACAGAGAAGTTTCTGAGAAGGCTTCTCTCCAGTTTTTATGTGACCATAATTCGTTTTCCACCACAGGCCTGAAAGCGCTCCAAATGTCCACTTGCAGACACTACGAAAAGCATGTTTCAGAACTACTCTATGAAAAGCAACGTGAAACTCTGGGAGTTGAACACAAACATCACAGAGAAGTTTCTGAGAATGCTTCTGTTTAGCTTTTCTGTGAAGATTCTCCCGTTTCCAACGAAATCTTCAAAGAGGTCGAAATATCCACTTGCAGATTCCACAGAAAGAGTGATTGGAAACTGCTGTTTGAAAAGGAACCTTCAACTCTGTGAGTTGAATGCAATCATCTCAAAGAAGTTTCTGACAATGCTTCTATCTAGCTTTTACGGGAAGATAATTCCTTTTCCACCACAGGCCTCAAAGCTCCCCAAATGTCCACTTGCACATTCTGGAAAAAGAGTGTTTCAAAGCTTGTCTCTCGAAAGGAAAGTTCAACTCTGTGAGTTGAATGCAAGCATCACAAAGAAGTTTCTGAGAATGTTACTGTCTAGCTTTTATATGAAGCTATTTCCTTTACTACCATAGGCCTCAAAGCGGTCCATATCTCCACTTGCAGATTCTACACAAAGAGAGTTTCCAAACTGCTCTGTCAAAGGGAATGTTCAACTCTGTGACTTGAATGCAATCATCACAAAGTAGTTTCTGAGAATGCTTCTGTTTTAGTTCTGTGCGGTTTATCCCGTTTCCAACGAAATCCTCAGAGAGGCCCAAATATCCACTTGCAGATTCTACAAATAGTGTGTTTCGAAACTGCTCCATCCAAAGGAATGTTCAGCTCTGTGAGTTAAACTCAGTCGTCACCAAGAGTTTTCTGTGAATGCTTCTGTTTTAGTTCTGTGCGGGTTATCCCGTTTCCAACGAAATCCTCAGAGAGGTCCAAATATCTACTTGCAGTTTCTACAGAAAGACCGTTTCAAACCTGAACTATCAAAGGAAGGTTCAACACTGTGAGTTGAATGCAAACATCACGAAGAAGGTTCTGAGAATGCTTCTGTTTAGTTCTGTGCAGTTTATCCCGTTTCCAACGAAATCCTCAGAGAGGACCAAATATCCACTTGCAGTTTCTACAAAAAGAGTGTTTCAAACCTGAACTATCAAAGAAAGGTTCAGCACTGTGAGTTGAATGCAAACATCACGAAGAGGGTTCTGAGAATGCTTCTGTCTTCTTTTTATAGGAAGTTATTTCCTTTACTACGGTACTCCTCAAAGAGTGCAATTATCCCCTTGCAGTTTCTACAAAAAGAGTGTTTCAAACCTGAACTATCAAAGAAAGGTTCCACACTGTGAGTTGAATGCAGACATCACGAAGAAGGTTCTGAGAATGCTTCTGTTTAGTCAGCTGAAATTATCCCGTTTCCAACGAATTCCTCACAGAGGTCCAAATATGCACTTGCAGATTCTGCAGAAAGTGTGTTTCTAAACTGCTACATCGCAAGGAATGCTCAGCTCTGTGAGTTCAACTCAATCATCCCAAAGAATTTTCTGAGAAAGCTTCTGTCTAGATGTCATGTGAAGATATACCCGTTTCGAACGAAGGACACAGAGTGGTCCAAATATCCACTTGTAGATCCTGCAAAAAGAGTGTTTCAAACGTGAACTTTGAAAGGAAAGTTCAACTCGGGGATTTGAATGCAAACATCACAAAGAAGATTCTGAGACTGCTTCTGTATAGTTTTTATGTGAAGATGATTCCGTTTCCAACGAAATCTTCAAAGAGGTCTACATGTCCCCTTGCAGATGCCACAGAAAGAGAGTTTCAAAACTGCGCTCTCAAAAGGAGTGTTCAACTCCGTGAGTTGAATGCAGTCATCACAGAGAAGCTTCTGAGGATGCTTCTATCTAGTATTTAGGTGAAGATATTTCCTTTTCCACCACAAACCACAAAGCCCTCCAAACGTCCACTTGCAGATTCTAGAAAAACAGTGTTTCATAGCTGCTCTTTCCAAAGGAAAGTTCAACTCTGGGAGTTGAATACAAACATCACCAAAAAGTTCCTGAGAATGCATCTGTCTAGTTTTTCTATGAAGCTATTCCCTTTACTACCATAGGCCTCAAAGCGCTCCAAATCTCCACTTGCACATTCCACAACAAGAGTGTTTCCAAACTGCTCTATCAATAGGAATGTTCAACTCTGTGAGGTGAATGCAATCATCACAAAGCAGTTTCTGAGAATGCTTCCGTTTAGTTAGGTGCAGTTATCCCGTTTCCAACGAAATCCTCAGAGAGGTCCAAATATCCACTTGTAGATTCTACAAAAGGTGTGTCTCAAACCTGCTCCATCCAAAGGAATGTTCAGCTCTGTGAGTTAAACTCAATCATCACAAAGTATTTTCTGAGAATGCTTCTGTCTAGATTTTATGCGAAGATATACCCGTTTCGAACGAAGGCCACAGAGTGGTCCAAATATCCACTTGCAGATCCTACAAAAAGAGTGTTTCAAACCTGAACTATCAAAGGAAGGTTCAACTCTGGGATTTGAATGCAAACATCACCAAGAAGTTTCTGAGAATGCTTCTGTTTAGTTTTTATGTGAAGATATTCCCGTTTCCAAAGACATCTTCGGAGAGGTCCACGTATCCACTTGCAGATTCCACAAAAAGAGAGTTTCAACACTGCTCTATCCATAGGAGGGTTCAACTCTGTGAGTTGAATGCAATCATCACAGAGAAGTTTCTGAGAAGGCTTCTCTCCAGTTTTTATGTGACCATAATTCGTTTTCCACCACAGGCCTGAAAGCGCTCCAAATGTCCACTTGTAGACACTACGAAAAGCATGTTTCAGAACTACTCTATGAAAAGCAATGTGAAACTCTGGGAGTTGAACACAAACATCACAGAGAAGTTTCTGAGAATGCTTCTGTTTAGCTTTCCTGTGAAGATTCTCCCGTTTCCAACGAAATCTTCAAAATAGGTCCAAATATCCACTTGCAGATTCCACAGAAAGAGTGATTGGAAACTGCTCTTTGAAAAGGAACCTTCAACTCTGTGAGTTGAATGCAATCATCACAAAGAAGTTTCTGACAATGCTTCTATCTAGCTTTTACGGGAAGATAATTCCTTTTCCACCACAGGCCTCAAAGCCCTCCAAATGTCCACTTGCACATTCTGGAAAAAGAGTGTTTCAAAGCTTCTCTCTCGAAAGGAAAGTTCAACTCTGTGAGTTGAATGCAAGCATCACAAAGAAGTTTCTGAGAATGCTACTGTCTAGCTTTTATATGAAGATATTTCCTTTACTACCATAGGCCTCAAAGCGGTCCATATCTCCACTTGCAGATTCTACACAAAGAGAGTTTCCAAACTGCTCTGTCAAAGGGAATGTTCAACTCTGTGACTTGAATGCAATCATCACAAAGTAGTTTCTGAGAATGCTTCTGTTTTAGTTCTATGCGTTTTATCCCGTTTCCAACGAAATCCTCAGAGAGGCCCACATATCCACTTGCAGATTCTACAAATAGTGTGGTTCGAAACTGCTCCATCCAAAGGAATGTTCAGCTCTGTGAGTTAAACTCAGTCGTCACCAAGAGTTTTCTGTGAATGCTTCTGTTTAGTTCTGTGCGGTTTATCCCGTTTCCAACGAAATCCTCAGAGAGGTCCAAATATCTACTTGCAGTTTCTACAGAAAGACCGTTTCAAACCTGAACTATCAAAGAAAGGTTCAACACTGTGAGTTGAATGCAAACATCACGAAGAAGGTTCTGAGAATGCTTCTGTTTATTTCCGTGCGGTTTATCCCGTTTACAACGAAATCCTCAGAGAGGACAAAATATCCACTTGCAGTTTCTACAAGAAGAGTGTTTCAAAGCTGAACTATCAAAGAAAGGTTCAGCACTGTGAGTTGAATGCAAACATCACGAAGAGGGTTCTGAGAATGCTTCTGTCTTCTTTCTATAGGAAGTTATTTCCTTTACTACGGTAGGCCTCAAAGAAGTGCAATTATCCCCTTGCAGTTTCTACAAAAAGAGTGTTTCAAACCTGAACTATCAAAGAAAGGTTCCACACTGTGAGTTGAATGCAGACATCACGAAGAAGGTTCTGAGAATGCTTCTGTTTAGTCAGCTGAAATTATCCCGTTTCCAACGAATTCCTCAGAGAGGTCCAAATATGCACTTGCAGATTCTGCAGAAAGTGTGTTTCTAAACTGCTCCATCGCAAGGAATGTTCAGCTACTGTGAGTTCCACTCAATCATCCCAAAGAATTTTCTGAGAAAGCTTCTGTCTAGATGTCGTGTGAAGATATACCCGTTTCGAACGAAGGACACAGAGTGGTCCAAATATCCACTTGTAGATCCTGCAAAAAGAGTGTTTCAAACGTGAACTTTGAAAGGAAAGTTCAACTCTGGGATTTGAATGCAAACATCACAAAGAAGATTCTGAGACTGCTTCTGTATAGTTTTTATGTGAAGATGATTCCGTTTCCAACGAAATCTTCAAAGAGGTCTACATGTCCCCTTGCAGATGCCACAGAAAGAGAGTTTCAAAACTGCGCTCTCAAAAGGAGTGTTCAACTCCATGAGTTGAATGCAGTCATCACAGAGAAGCTTCTGAGAATGCTTCTATCTAGTATTTAGGTGAAGATATTTCCTTTTCCACCACAAACCACAAAGCCCTCCAAACGTCCACTTGCAGATTCTAGAAAAAGAGTGTTTCATAGCTGCTCTTTCCAAAGGAAAGTTCAACTCTGGGAGTTGAATACAAACATCACCAAAAAGAAGTTCCTGAGAATGCATCTGTCTAGTTTTTCTATGAAGCTATTCCCTTTACTACCATAGGCCTCAAAGCGCTCCAAATCTCCACTTGCACATTCCACAACAAGAGTGTTTCCAAACTGCTCTATCAATAGGAATGTTCAACTCTGTGAGGTGAATGCAATCATCACAAAGCAGTTTCTGAGAATGCTTCCGCTTAGTTAGGTGCAGTTATCCCGTTTCCAACGAAATCCTCAGAGAGGTCCAAATATCCACTTGTAGATTCTACAAAAAGTGTGTCTCAAACGTGCTCCATCCAAAGGAATGTTCAGCTCTGTGAGTTAAACTCAATCATCACAAAGTATTTTCTGAGAATGCTTCTGTCTAGATTTTATGCGAAGATGTACCCGTTTCGAACGAAGGCCACAGAGTGGTCCAAATATCCACTTGCAGATCCTACAAAAAGAGTGTTTCAAACCTGAACTATCAAAGGAAGGTTCAACTCTGGGATTTGAATGCAAACATCACCAAGAAGTTTCTGAGAATGCTTCTGTTTAGTTTTTATGTGAAGATATTCCCGTTTCCAAAGACATCTTCGGAGAGGTCCACATATCCACTTGCAGATTCCACAAAAAGAGAGTTTCAACACTGCTCTATCCATAGGAGGGTTCAACTCTGTGAGTTGAATGCAATCATCACAGAGAAGTTTCTGAGAAGGCTTCTCTCCAGTTTTTATGTGACCATAATTCGTTTTCCACCACAGGCCTGAAAGCGCTCCAAATGTCCACTTGCAGACACTACGAAAAGCATGTTTCAGAACTACTCTATGAGAAGCAATGTGAAACTCTGGGAGTTGAACACAAACATCACAGAGAAGTTTCTGAGAATGCTTCTGTTTAGCTTTTCTGTGAAGATTCTCCCGTTTCCAACGAAATCTTCAAAGAGGTCCAAATATCCACTTGCAGATTCCACAGAAAGAGTGATTGGAAACTGCTCTTTGAAAAGGAACCTTCAACTCTGTGAGTTGAATGCAATCATCACAAAGAAGTTTCTGACAATGCTTCTATCTAGCTTTTACGGGAAGATAATTCCTTTTCCACCACAGGCCTCAAAGCCCTCCAAATGTCCACTTGCAGATTCTGGAAAAAGAGTGTTTCAAAGCTTCTCTCTCGAAAGGAAAGTTCAACTCTGTGAGTTGAATGCAAGCATCACAAAGAAGTTTCTGAGAATGCTACTGTTTAGCTTTTATATGAAGCTATTTCCTTTACTACCATAGTCCTCAAAGTGGTCCATATCTCCACTTGCAGATTCTACACAAAGAGAGTTTCCAAACTGCTCTGTCAAAGGGAATGTTCAACTCTGTGACTTGAATGCAATCATCACAAAGTAGTTTCTGAGAATGCTTCTGTTTAGTTCTGTGCGGTTTATCCCGTTTCCAACGAAATCCTCAGAGAGGCCCCAATATCCACTTGCACATTCTACAAATAGTGTGTTTCGAAACTGCTCCATCCAAAGAGATGTTCAGCTCTGTGAGTTAAACTCAGTCGTCACCAAGAGTTTTCTGTGAATGCTTCTGTTTAGTTCTGTGCGGTTTATCCCGCTTCCAACAAAATCCTCACAGAGGACCAAATATCCACTTGCAGTTTCTACAAAAAGAGTGTTTCAAAGCTGAACTATCAAAGAAACGTTCAGCACTGTGATTTGAATGCAAACATCACGAAGAAGGTTCTGAGAATGCTTCTGTTTAGTTCTGTGCGGTTTATCCCGTTTCCAACGAAATCCTCAGAGAGGACCAAATATCCACTTGCAGTTTCTACAAGAAGAGTGTTTCAAAGCTGAACTATCAAAGAAAGGTTCAGCACTGTGAGTTGAATGCAAACATCACGAAGAGGGTTCTGAGAATGCTTCTGTCTTCTTTCTATAGGAAGTTATTTCCTTTACTACGGTAGGCCTCAAAGAAGTGCAATTATCCCCTTGCAGTTTCTACAAAAAGAGTGTTTCAAACCTGAACTATCAAAGAAAGGTTCCACACTGTGAGTTGAATGCAGACATCACGAAGAAGGTTCTGAGAATGCTTCTGTTTAGTCAGCTGAAATTATCCCGTTTCCAACGAATTCCTCAGAGAGGTCCAAATATGCACTTGCAGATTCTGCAGAAAGTGTGTTTCTAAACTGCTCCATCGCAAGGAATGTTCAGCTCTGTGAGTTCCACTCAATCATCCCAAAGAATTTTCTGAGAAAGCTTCTGTCTAGATGTCATGTGAAGATATACCCGTTTCGAACGAAGGACACAGAGTGGTCCAAATATCCACTTGTAGATCCTGCAAAAAGAGTGTTTCAAACGTGAACTTTGAAAGGAAAGTTCAACTCTGGGATTTGAATGCAAACATCACAAAGAAGATTCTGAGACTGCTTCTGTATAGTTTTTATGTGAAGATGATTCCGTTTCCAACGAAATCTTCAAAGAGGTCTACATGTCCCCTTGCAGATGCCACAGAAAGAGAGTTTCAAAACTGCGCTCTCAAAAGGAGTGTTCAACTCCGTGAGTTGAATGCAGTCATCACAGAGAAGCTTCTGAGAATGCTTCTATCTAGTATTTAGGTGAAGATATTTCCTTTTCCACCACAAACCACAAAGCCCTCCAAACGTCCACTTGCAGATTCTAGAGAAACAGTGTTTCATAGCTGCTCTTTCCAAAGGAAAGTTCAACTCTGGGAGTTGAATACAAACATCACCAAAAAGTTCCTGAGAATGCATCTGTCTAGTTTTTCTATGAAGCTATTCCCTTTACTACCATAGGCCTCAAAGCGCTCCAAATCTCCACTTGCACATTCCACAACAAGAGTGTTTCCAAACTGCTCTATCAATAGGAATGTTCAACTCTGTGAGGTGAATGCAATCATCACAAAGCAGTTTCTGAGAATGCTTCCGTTTAGTTAGGTGCAGTTATCCCGTTTCCAACGAAATCCTCAGAGAGGTCCAAATATCCACTTGTAGATTCTACAAAAAGTGTGTCTCAAACCTGCTCCATCCAAAGGAATGTTCAGCTCTGTGAGTTAAACTCAATCATCACAAAGTATTTTCTGAGAATGCTTCTGTCTAGATTTTATGTGAAGATGTACCCGTTTCGAACGAAGGCCACAGAGTGGTCCAAATATCCACTTGAAGATCCTACAAAAAGAGTGTTTCAAACCTGAACTATCACAGGAAGGTTCAACTCTGGGATTTGAATGCAAACATCACCAAGAAGTTTCTGAGAATGCTTCTGTTTAGTTTTTATGTGAAGATATTCCCGTTTCCAAAGACATCTTCGGAGAGGTCCACATATCCACTTGCAGATTCCACAAAAAGAGAGTTTCAACACTGCTCTATCCATAGGAGGGTTCAAACCTGTGAGTTGAATGCAATCATCACAGAGAAGTTTCTGAGAAGGCTTCTTTCCAGTTTTTATGGGACCATAATTCGTTTTGCACCACAGGCCTGAAAGCGCTCCAAATGTCCACTTGCAGACACTACGAAAAGCATGTTTCAGAACTACTCTATGAAAAGCAATGTGAAACTTCTGGGAGTTGAACACAAACATCACAGAGAAGTTTCTGAGAATGCTTCTGTTTAGCTTTTCTGTGAAGATTCTCCCGTTTCCAACGAAATCTTCAAAGAGATCCAAATATCCACTTGCAGATTCCACAGAAAGAGTGTTTGGAAACTGCTGTTTGAAAAGGAACCTTCATCTCTGTGAGTTGAATGCAATCATCACAAAGAAGTTTCTGACAATGCTTCCATCTAGTTTTTACGGGAAGATAATTCCCTTTCCACCACAGGCCTCAAATCCCTCCAAATATCCACTTGCAGATTCTAGAGAAAGAGTGTTTCAAAGCTTGTCTCTCAAAAGGAAAGTTCAACTCTGTGAGTTGAATGCAAACATTACAAAGAAGTTTCTGAGAATGCCACTGTCTAGCTTTTATATGAAGCTATTTCCTTTACTACCATAGGCCTCAAAGCGGTCCATATCTCCACTTGCAGATTCTACACAAAGAGAGTTTCCAAACTGCTCTGTCAAAGGGAATGTACAACTCTGTGACTTGAATGCAATCATCACAAAGTAGTTTCTGAGAATGCTTCTGTTTAGTTCTGTGCGGTTTATCCCGTTTCCAACGAAATCCTCAGAGAGGCCTAAATATCCACTTGCACATTCTACAAATAGTGTGTTTCGAAACTGCTCCATCCAAAGGAATGTTCAGCTCTGTGAGTTAAACTCAGTCGTCACCAAGAGTTTTCTGTGAATGCTTCTGTTTTAGTTCTGTGCGGGTTATCCCGTTTCCAACGAAATCCTCAGAGAGGTCCAAATATCTACTTGCAGTTTCTACAGAAAGACCGTTTCAAACCTGAACTATCAAAGAAAGGTTCAACACTGTGAGTTGAATGCAAACATCACGAAGAAGGTTCTGAGAATGCTTCTGTTTAGTTCTGTGCGGTTTATCCCGTTTCCAATGAAATCCTCAGAGAGGACCAAATATCCACTTGCAGTTTCTACAAGAAGAGTGTTTCAAAGCTGAACTATCAAAGAAAGGTTCACGCACTGTGAGTTGAATGCAAACATCACGAAGAGGGTTCTGAGAATGCTTCTGTCTTCTTTTTATAGGAAGTTATTTCCTTTACTACGGTACTCCTCAAAGAGTGCAATTATCCCCTTGCAGTTTCTACAAAAAGAGTGTTTCAAACCTGAACTATCAAAGAAAGGTTCCACACTGTGAGTTGAATGCAGACATCACGAAGAAGGTTCTGAGAATGCTTCTGTTTAGTCAGCTGAAATTATCCCGTTTCCAACGAATTCCTCACAGAGGTCCAAATATGCACTTGCAGATTCTGCAGAAAGTGTGTTTCTAAACTGCTACATCGCAAGGAATGCTCAGCTCTGTGAGTTCAACTCAATCATCCCAAAGAATTTTCTGAGAAAGCTTCTGTCTAGATGTCATGTGAAGATATACCCGTTTCGAACGAAGGCCACAGAGTGGTCCAAATATCCACTTGTAGATCCTGCAAAAAGAGTATTTCAAACGTGAACTTTGAAAGGAAAGTTCAACTCTGGGATTTGAATGCAAACATCACAAAGAAGATTCTGAGACTGCTTCTGTATAGTTTTTATGTGAAGATGATTCCGTTTCCAACGAAATCTTCAAAGAGGTCTACATGTCCCCTTGCAGATGCCACAGAAAGAGAGTTTCAAAACTGCGCTCTCAAAAGGAGTGTTCAATTCCGTGAGTTGAATGCAGTCATCACAGAGAAGCTTCTGAGAATGCTTCTATCTAGTATTTAGGTGAAGATATTTCCTTTTCCACCACAAACCACAAAGCCCTCCAAACGTCCACTTGCAGATTCTAGAAAAAGAGTGTTTCATAGCTGCTCTTTCCAAAGGAAAGTTCAACTCTGGGAGTTGAATACAAACATCACCAAAAAGTTCCTGAGAATGCATCTGTCTAGTTTTTCTATGAAGCTATTCCCTTTACTACCATAGGCCTCAAAGCGCTCCAAATCTCCACTTGCACATTCCACAACAAGAGTGTTTCCAAACTGCTCTATCAATAGGAATGTTCAACTCTGTGAGGTGAATGCAATCATCACAAAGCAGTTTCTGAGAATGCTTCCGTTTAGTTAGGTGCAGTTATCCCGTTTCCAACGAAATCCTCAGAGAGGTCCAAATATCCACTTGTAGATTCTACAAAAAGTGTGTCTCAAACCTGCTCCATCCAAAGGAATGGTCAGCTCTGTGATTTAAACTCAATCATCACAAAGTATTTTCTGAGAATGCTTCTGTCTAGATTTTTTGCGAAGATGTACCCGTTTCGAACGAAGGCCACAGAGTGGTCCAAATATCCACTTGCAGATCCTACAAAAAGAGTGTTTCAAACCTGAACTCTCAAAGGAAGGTTCAACTCTGGGATTTGAATGCAAACATCACCAAGAAGTTTCTGAGAATGCTTCTGTTTAGTTTTTATGTGAAGATATTCCCGTTTCCAAAGACATCTTCGGAGAGGTCCACATATCCGCTTGCAGATTCCACAAAAAGAGAGTTTCAACACTGCTCTATCCATAGGAGGGTTCAACTCTGTGAGTTGAATGCAATCATCACAGAGAAGTTTCTGAGAAGGCTTCTCTCCAGTTTTCATGTGACCATAATTCGTTTTCCACCACAGGCCTGAAAGCGCTCCAAATGTCCACTTGCAGACACTACGAAAAGCATGTTTCAGAACTACTCTATGAGAAGCAATGTGAAACTCTGGGAGTTGAACACAAACATCACAGAGAAGTTTCTGAGAATGCTTCTGTTTAGCTTTTCTGTGAAGATTCTCCCGTTTCCAACGAAATCTTCAAAGAGGTCCAAATATCCACTTGCAGATTCCACAGAAAGAGTGATTGGAAACTGCTCTTTGAAAAGGAACCTTCAACTCTGTGAGTTGAATGCAATCATCACAAAGAAGTTTCTGACAATGCTTCTATCTAGCTTTTACAGGAAGATAATTCCTTTTCCACCACAGGCCTCAAAGCCCTCCAAATGTCCACTTGCAGATTCTGGAAAAAGAGTGTTTCAAAGCTTCTCTCTCGAAAGGAAAGTTCAACTCTGTGAGTTGAATGCAAGCATCACAAAGAAGTTTCTGAGAATGCTACTGTCTAGCTTTTATATGAAGCTATTTCCTTTACTACCATAGGCCTCAAAGCGGTCCATATCTCCACTTGCAGATTCTACACAAAGAGAGTTTCCAAACTGCTCTGTCAAAGGGAATGTTCAACTCTGTGACTTGAATGCAATCATCACAAAGTAGTTTCTGAGAATGCTTCTGTTTAGTTCTGTGCGGTTTATCCCGTTTCCAACGAAATCCTCAGAGAGGCCCACATATCCACTTGCACCTTCTAGAAATAGTGTGTTTCGAAACTGCTCCATCCAAAGGAATGTTCAGCTCTGTGAGTTAAACTCAGTCGTCACCAAGAGTTTTCTGTGAATGCTTCTGTTTTAGTTCTGTGCGGTTTATCCCGTTTCCAACGAAATCCTCAGAGAGGTCCAAATATCTACTTGCAGTTTCTACAGAAAGACCGTTTCAAACCTGAACTATCAAAGAAAGGTTCAACCCTTTGAGTTGAATGTAAACATCACGAAGAATGTTCTGAGAATGCTTCTGTTTAGTTCTGTGCGGTTTATCCCGTTTCCAACGAAATCCTCAGAGAGGACCAAATATCCACTTGCAGTTTCTACAAAAAGAGTGTTTCAAAGCTGAACTATCAAAGAAAGGTTCAGCACCGTGAGTTGAATGCAAACATCACGAAGAGGGTTCTGAGAATGCTTCTGTCTTCTTTTTATAGGAAGTTATTTCCTTTACTACGGTAGGCCTCAAAGAAGTGCAATTATCCCCTTGCAGTTTCTACAAAAAGAGTGTTTCAAACCTGAACTATCAAAGAAAGGTTCCACACTGTGAGTTGAATGCAGACATCACGAAGAAGGTTCTGAGAATGCTTCTGTTTAGTCAGCTGAAATTATCCCGTTTCCAACGAATTCCTCAGAGAGGTCCAAATATGCACTTGCAGATTCTGCAGAAAGTGTGTTTCTAAACTGCTACATCGCAAGGAATGTTCAGCTCTGTGAGTTCAACTCAATCATCCCAAAGAATTTTCTGATAAAGCTTCTGTCTAGATGTCATGTGAAGATATACCCGTTTCGAACGAAGGACACAGAGTGGTCCAAATATCCACTTGTAGATCCTGCAAAAAGAGTGTTTCAAACGTGAACTTTGAAAGGAAAGTTCAGTTATGGGATTTGAATGCAAACATCACCAAGAAGATTCTGAGACTGCTTCTGTATAGTTTTTATGTGAAGATGATTCCGTTTCCAACGAAATCTTCAAAGAGGTCTACATGTCCCCTTGCAGATGCCACAGAAAGAGAGATTCAAAACTGCGCTCTCAAAAGGAGTGTTCAACTCCGTGAGTTGAATGCAGTCATCACAGAGAAGCTTCTGAGAATGCTTCTATCTAGTATTTAGGTGAAGATATTTCCTTTTCCACCACAAACCAAAAAAGACCTCCAAACGTCCACTTGCAGATTCTAGAAAAAGAGTGTTTCATAGCTGCTCTTTTCAAAGGAAAGTTCAACTCTGGGAGTTGAATACAAACATCACCAAAAAGTTCCTGAGAATGCATCTGTCTAGTTTTTCTATGAAGCTATTCCCTTTACTACCATAGGCCTCAAAGCGCTCCAAATCTCCACTTGCACATTCCACAAGAAGAGTGTTTCCAAACTGCTCTATCAATAGGAATGTTCAACTCTGTGAGGTGAATGCAATCATCACAAAGCAGTTTCTGACAATGCTTCCGTTTAGTTAGGTGCAGTTATCCCGTTTCCAACGAAATCTTCAGAGAGGTCCAAATATCCACCTGTAGATTCTACAAAAAGTGTGTTTCAAACCTGCTCCATCGAAAGGAATGTTCAGCTCTGTGAGTTCAACTCAATCATCACAAAATATTTTCTGAGAATGCTTCTCTCTAGATTTTATGCGAAGATGTACCCGTTTCGAACGAAGGCCACAGAGTGGTCCAAATATCCACTTGCAGATCCTACAAAAAGAGTGTTTCAAACCTGAACTATCAAAGGAAGGTTCAACTCTGGGATTGCAATGCAAACATCACCAAGAACTTTCTGAGAATGCTTCTGTTTAGTTTTTATGTGAAGATATTCCCGTTTCCAAAGACATCTTCGGAGAGGTCCACATATCCACTTGCAGATTCCACAAAAAGAGAGTTTCAACACTGCTCTGTCCATAGGAGGGTTCAACTCTGTGAGTTGAATGCAATCATCACAGAAAAGTTTCTGAGAAGGCTTCTCTCCAGTTTTTATGTGACCATAATTCGTTTTCCACCACAGGCCTGAAAGCGCTCCAAATGTCCACTTGCAGACACTACGAAAAGCATGTTTCAGAACTACTCTATGAAAAGCAACGTGAAACTCTGGGAGTTGAACACAAACATCACAGAGAAGTTTCTGAGAATGCTTCTGTTTTAGTTCTGTGCGTTTTATCCCGTTTCCAACGAAATCCTCAGAGAGGCCCAAATATCCACTTGCAGATTCCACAGAAAGAGTGATTGGAAACTGCTGTTTGAAAAGGAACCTTCAACTCTGTGAGTTGAATGCAATCATCACAAAGAAGTTTCTGACAATGCTCTGTTTTAGTTCTGTGCGGTTTATCCCGTTTCCAACGAAATCCTCAGAGAGGACCAAACATCCACTTGCAGTTTCTACAAAAAGAGTGTTTCAAAGCTGCACTATCAAAGAAAGGTTCAGCACTGTGAGTTGAATGCAAACATCACGAAGAGGGCTCTGAGAATTCTTCTGTCTTCTTTTTATAGGAACTTATCTCCTTTACTACGGTAGGCCTCAAAGAAGTGCAATGATCCCCTTGCAGTTTCTACAAAAAGAGTGTTTCAAACCTGAACTATCAAAGAAAGGTTCCACACTGTGAGTTGAATGCAGACATCACGAAGAAGGTTCTGAGAATGCTTCTGTTTAGTCAGCTGAAATTATCCCATTTCCAACGAATTCCTCAGAGAGGTCCACATATGCACTTGCAGATTCTGCAGAAAGTGTGTTTCTAAACTGCTACATCGCAAGGAGTGTTCAGCTCTGTTTGCTCAACTCAATCATCCCAAAGAATTTTCTGAGAAAGCTTCTGTCTAGATGTCATGTGAAGATATACCCGTTTCGAACGAAGGACACAGAGTGGTCCAAATATCCACTTGTAGATCCTGCAAAAAGAGTGCTTCAAACGTGAACTTTGAAAGGAAAGTTCAACTCTGGGATTTGAATGCAAACATCACAAAGAAGATTCTGAGACTGCTTCTGTATAGTTTTTATGTGAAGATGATTCCGTTTCCAACGAAATCTTCAAAGAGGTCTACATGTCCCCTTGCAGATGCCACAGAAAGAGAGTTTCAAAACTGCGCTCTCAAAAGGAGTGTTCAACTCCGTGAGTTGAATGCAGTCATCACAGAGAAGCTTCTGAGAATGCTTCTATCTAGTATTTAGGTGAAGATATTTCCTTTTCCACCACAAACCACAAAGCCCTCCAAACGTCCACTTGCAGATTCTAGAAAAACAGTGTTTCATAGCTGCTCTTTCCAAAGGAAAAGTTCAACTCTGGGAGTTGAATACAAACATCACCAAAAAGTTCCTGAGAATGCATCTGTCTAGTTTTTCTATGAAGCTATTCCCTTTACTACCATAGGCCTCAAAGCGCTCCAAATCTCCACTTGCACATTCCACAACAAGAGTGTTTCCAAACTGCTCTATCAATAGGAATGTTCAACTCTGTGAGTTGAATGCAATCATCACAAGCAGTTTCTGAGAATGCTTCCGTTTAGTTAGGTGCAGTTATCCCGTTTCCAACGAAATCCTCAGAGAGGTCCAAATATCCACTTGTAGATTCTACAAAAAGTGTGTCTCAAACCTGCTCCATCCAAAGGAATGTTCAGCTCTGTGAGTTAAACTCAATCATCACAAAGTATTTTCTGAGAATGCTTCTGTCTAGATTTTATGCGAAGATGTACCCGTTTCGAACGAAGGCCACAGAGTGGTCCAAATATCCACTTGCAGATCCTACAAAAAGAGTGTTTCAAACCTGAACTATCAAAGGAAGGTTCAACTCTGGGATTTGAATGCAAACATCACCAAGAAGTTTCTGAGAATGCTTCTGTTTAGTTTTTATGTGAAGATATTCCCGTTTCCAAAGACATCTTCGGAGAGGTCCACATATCCACTTGCAGATTCCACAAAAAGAGAGTTTCAACACTGCTCTATCCATAGGAGGGTTCAACTCTGTGAGTTGAATGCAATCATCACAGAGAAGTTTCTGAGAAGGCTTCTCTCCAGTTTTTATGTGACCATAATTCGTTTTCCACCACAGGCCTGAAAGCGCTCCAAATGTCCACTTGTAGACACTACGAAAAGCATGTTTCAGAACTACTCTATGAAAAGCAATGTGAAACTCTGGGAGTTGAACACAAACATCACAGAGAAGTTTCTGAGAATGCTTCTGTTTAGCTTTTCTGTGAAGATTCTCCCGTTTCCAACGAAATCTTCAAAGAGGTCGAAATATCCACTTGCAGATTCCACAGAAAGAGTGATTGGAAACTGCTGTTTGAAAAGGAACCTTCAACTCTGTGAGTTGAATGCAATCATCACAAAGAAGTTTCTGACAATGCTTCTATCTAGCTTTTACGGGAAGATAATTCCTTTTCCTCCACAGGCCTCAAAGCTCCCCAAATGTCCACTTGCACATTCTGGAAAAAGAGTGTTTCAAAGCTTCTCTCTCGAAAGGAAAGTTCAACTCTGTGAGTTGAATGCAAGCATCACAAAGAAGTTTCTGAGAATGCTACTGTCTAGGTTTTATATGAAGCTATTTCCTTTACTACCATAGGCCTCAAAGCGGTCCATATCTCCACTTGCAGATTCTACACAAAGAGAGTTTCCAAACTGCTCTGTCAAAGGGAATGTTCAACTCTGTGACTTGAATGCAATCATCACAAAGTAGTTTCTGAGAATGCTTCTGTTTAGTTCTGTGCGGTTTATCCCGTTTCCAACGAAATCCTCAGAGAGGCCTAAATATCCACTTGCACATTCTACAAATAGTGTGTTTCGAAACTGCTCCATCCAAAGGAATGTTCAGCTCTGTGAGTTAAACTCAGTCGTCACCAAGAGTTTTCTGTGAATGCTTCTGTTTTAGTTCTGTGCGGGTTATCCCGTTTCCAACGAAATCCTCAGAGAGGTCCAAATATCTACTTGCAGTTTCTACAGAAAGACCGTTTCAAACCTGAACTATCAAAGAAAGGTTCAACACTGTGAGTTGAATGCAAACATCACGAAGAAGGTTCTGAGAATGCTTCTGTTTAGTTCTGTGCAGTTTATCCCGTTTCCAACGAAATCCTCAGAGAGGACCAAATATCCACTTGCAGTTTCTACAAAAAGAGTGTTTCAAAGCTGAACTATCAAAGAAAGGTTCAGCACTGTGAGTTGAATGCAAACATCACGAAGAGGGTTCTGAGAATGCTTCTGTCTTCTTTTTATAGGAAGTTATTTCCTTTACTACGGTACTCCTCAAAGAGTGCAATTATCCCCTTGCAGTTTCTACAAAAAGAGTGTTTCAAACCTGAACTATCAAAGAAAGGTTCCACACTGTGAGTTGAATGCAGACATCATGAAGAAGGTTCTGAGAATGCTTCTGTTTAGTCAGCTGAAATTATCCCGTTTCCAACGAATTCCTCACAGAGGTCCAAATATGCACTTGCAGATTCTGCAGAAAGTGTGTTTCTAAACTGCTACATCGCAAGGAATGCTCAGCTCTGTGAGTTCAACTCAATCATCCCAAAGAATTTTCTGAGAAAGCTTCTGTCTAGATGTCATGTGAAGATATACCCGTTTCGAACGAAGGACACAGAGTGGTCCAAATATCCACTTGTAGATCCTGCAAAAAGAGTGTTTCAAACGTGAACTTTGAAAGGAAAGTTCAACTCGGGGATTTGAATGCAAACATCACAAAGAAGATTCTGAGACTGCTTCTGTATAATTTTTATGTGAAGATGATTCCGTTTCCAACGAAATCTTCAAAGAGGTCCACATGTCCCCTTGCGGATGCCACAGAAAGAGAGTTTCAAAACTGCGCTCTCAAAAGGAGTGTTCAACTCCGTGAGTTGAATGCAGTCATCACAGAAAAGCTTCTGAGGATGCTTCTATCCTAGTATTTAGGTGAAGATATTTCCTTTTCCACCACAAACCACAAAGCCCTCCAAACGTCCACTTGCAGATTCTAGAAAAAGAGTGTTTCATAGCTGCTCTTTCCAAAGGAAAGTTCAACTCTGGGAGTTGAATACAAACATCACCAAAAAGTTCCTGAGAATGCATCTGTCTAGTTTTTCTATGAAGCTATTCCCTTTACTACCATAGGCCTCAAAGCGCTCCAAATCTCCACTTGCACATTCCACAACAAGAGTGTTTCCAAACTGCTCTATCAATAGGAATGTTCAACTCTGTGAGGTGAATGCAATCATCACAAAGCAGTTTCTGAGAATGCTTCCGTTTAGTTCGGTGCAGTTATCCCGTTTCCAACGAAATCCTCAGAGAGGTCCAAATATCCACTTGTAGATCCTACAAAAAGTGTGTCTCGAACCTGCTCCATCCAAAGGAATGTTCAGCTCTGTGAGTTAAACTCAATCATCACAAAGTATTTTCTGAGAATGCTTCTGTCTAGATTTTATGCGAAGATGTACCCGTTTCGAACGAAGGCCACAGAGTGGTCCAAATATCCACTTGCAGATCCTACAAAAAGAGTGTTTCAAACCTGAACTATCAAAGGAAGGATCAACTCTGCGATGTGAATGCAAACATCACCAAGAAGTTTCTGAGAATGCTTCTGTGTAGTTTTTATGTGAAGATATTCCCGTTTCCAAAGACATCTTCGGAGAGGTCCACATATCCACTTGCAGATTCCACAAAAAGAGAGTTTCAACACTGCTCTATCCATAGGAGGGTTCAACTCTGTGAGTTGAATGCAATCATCACAGAGAAGTTTCTGAGAAGGCTTCTCTCCAGTTTTTATGTGACCATAATTCGTTTTCCACCACAGGCCTGAAAGCGCTCCAAATGTCCACTTGCAGACACTACGAAAAGCACGTTTCAGAACTACTCTATGAAAAGCAATGTGACACTCTGGGAGTTGAACACAAACATCACAGAGAAGTTTCTGAGAATGCTTCTGTTTAGATTTTCTGTGAAGATTCTCCCGTTTCCAACGAAATCTTCAAAGAGGTCCAAATATCCACTTGCAGATTCCACAGAAAGAGTGTTTGGAAACTGCTGTTTGTAAAGGAACCTTCATCTCCGTGAGTTGAATGCAATCATCACAAAGAAGTTTCTGACAATGCTTCTATCTAGCTTTTACGGGAAGTTAATTCCTTTTCCACCACAGGCCTCAAAGCCCTCCAAATGTCCACTTGCAGATTCTGGAAAAAGAGTGTTTCAAAGCTTCTCTCTCGAAAGGAAAGTTCAACTCTGTGAGTTGAATGCAAGCATCACAAAGAAGTTTCTGAGAATGCTACTGTCTAGCTTTTATATGAAGCTATTTCCTTTACTACCATAGGCCTCAAAGCGGTCCATATCTCCACTTGCAGATTCTACACAAAGAGAGTTTCCAAACTGCTCTGTCAAAGGGAATGTTCAACTCTGTGACTTGAATGCAATCATCACAAAGTAGTTTCTGAGAATGCTTCTGTTTTAGTTCTGTGCGGTTTATCCCGTTTCCAACGAAATCCTCAGAGAGGCCCAAATATCCACTTGCAGATTCTACAAATAGTGTGTTTCGAAACTGCTCCATCCAAAGGAATGTTCAGCTCTGTGAGTTAAACTCAGTCGTCACCAAGAGTTTTCTGTGAATGCTTCTGTTTTAGTTCTGTGCGGTTTATCCCGTTTCCAACGAAATCCTCAGAGAGGACCAAATATCGACTTGCAGTTTCTACAAAAAGAGTGTTTCAAAGCTGCACTATCAAAGAAAGGTTCAGCACTGTGAGTTGAATGCAAACATCACGAATAGGGCTCTGAGAATTCTTCTGTTTAGTTCTGTGCGGTTTATCCCGTTTCCAACGAAATCCTCAGAGAGGACCAAATATCCACTTGCAGTTTCTACAAGAAGAGTGTTTCAAAGCTGAACTATCAAAGAAAGGTTCAGCACTGTGAGTTGAATGCAAACATCACGAAGAGGGTTCTGAGAATGCTTCTGTCTTCTTTCTATAGGAAGTTATTTCCTTTACTACGGTAGGCCTCAAAGAAGTGCAATTATCCCCTTGCAGTTTCTACAAAAAGAGTGTTTCAAACCTGAACTATCAAAGAAAGGTTCCACACTGTGAGTTGAATGCAGACATCACGAAGAAGGTTCTGAGAATGCTTCTGTTTAGTCAGCTGAAATTATCCCGTATCCAACGAATTCCTCAGAGAGGTCCAAATATGCACTTGCAGATTCTGCAGAAAGTGTGTTTCTAAACTGCTACATCGCAAGGAATGTTCAGCTCTGTGAGTTCCACTCAATCATCCCAAAGAATTTTCTGAGAAAGCTTCTGTCTAGATGTCATGTGAAGATATACCCGTTTCGAACGAAGGACACAGAGTGGTCCAAATATCCACTTGTAGATCCTGCAAAAAGAGTGTTTCAAACGTGAACTTTGAAAGGCAAGTTCAACTCTGGGATTTGAATGCAAACATCACAAAGAAGATTCTGAGACTGCTTCTGTATAGTTTTTATGTGAAGATGATTCCGTTTCCAACGAAACCTTCAAAGAGGTCCACATGTCCCCTTGCGGATGCCACAGAAAGAGAGTTTCAAAACTGCGCTCTCAAAAGGAGTGTTCAACTCCGTGAGTTGAATGCAGTCATCACAGAGAAGCTTCTGAGAATGCTTCTATCTAGTATTTAAGTGAAGATATTTCCTTTTCCACCACAAACCACAAAGCCCTCCAAACGTCCACTTGCAGATTCTAGAAAAAGAGTGTTTCATAGCTGCTCTTTCCAAAGGAAAGTTCAACTCTGGGAGTTGAATACAAACATCACCAAAAAGTTCCTGAGAATGCATCTGTCTAGTTTTTCTATGAAGCTATTCCCTTTACTACCATAGGCCTCAAAGCGCTCCAAATCTCCACTTGCACATTCCACAACAAGAGTGTTTCCAAACTGCTCTATCAATAGGAATGTTCAACTCTGTGAGGTGAATGCAATCATCACAAAGCAGTTTCTGAGAATGCTTCCGTTTAGTTAGGTGCAGTTATCCCGTTTCCAACGAAATCCTCAGAGAGGTCCAAATATCCACTTGTAGATTCTACAAAAGGTGTGTCTCAAACCTGCTCCATCCAAAGAAATGTTCAGCTCTGTGAGTTAAACTCAATCATCACAAAGTATTTTCTGAGAATGCTTCTGTCTAGATTTTATGCGAAGATATACCCGTTTCGAACGAAGGCCACAGAGTGGTCCAAATATCCACTTGCAGATCCTACAAAAAGAGTGTTTCAAACCTGAACTATCAAAGGAAGGTTCAACTCTGGGATTTGAATGCAAACATCACCAAGAAGTTTCTGAGAATGCTTCTGTTTAGTTTTTATGTGAAGATATTCCCGTTTCCAAAGACATCTTCGGAGAGGTCCACATATCCACTTGCAGATTCCACAAAAAGAGAGTTTCAACACTGCTCTATCCATAGGAGGGTTCAACTCTGTGAGTTGAATGCAATCATCACAGAGAAGTTTCTGAGAAGGCTTCTCTCCAGTTTTTATGTGACCATAATTCGTTTTCCACCACAGGCCTGAAAGCGCTCCAAATGTCCACTTGTAGACACTACGAAAAGCATGTTTCAGAACTACTCTATGAAAAGCAATGTGAAACTCTGGGAGTTGAACACAAACATCACAGAGAAGTTTCTGAGAATGCTTCTGTTTAGCTTTTCTGTGAAGATTCTCCCGTTTCCAACGAAATCTTCAAAGAGGTCCAAATATCCACTTGCAGATTCCACAGAAAGAGTGATTGGAAACTGCTCTTTGAAAAGGAACCTTCAACTCTGTGAGTTGAATGCAATCATCACAAAGAAGTTTCTGACAATGCTTCTATCTAGCTTTTACGGGAAGATAATTCCTTTTCCACCACAGGCCTCAAAGCCCTCCAAATGTCCACTTGCAGATTCTGGAAAAAGAGTGTTTCAAGGCTTCTCTCTCGAAAGGAAAGTTCAACTCTGTGAGTTGAATGCAAGCATCACAAAGAAGTTTCTGAGAATGCTACTGTCTAGCTTTTATATGAAGCTATTTCCTTTACTACCATAGGCCTCAAAGCGGTCCATATCTCCACTTGCAGATTCTACACAAAGAGAGTTTCCAAACTGCTCTGTCAAAGGGAATGTTCAACTCTGTGACTTGAATGCAATCATCACAAAGTAGTTTCTGAGAATGCTTCTGTTTAGTTCTGTGCGGTTTATCCCGTTTCCAACGAAATCCTCAGAGAGGCCCACATATCCACTTGCACATTCTACAAATAGTGTGTTTCGAAACTGCTCCATCCAAAGGAATGTTCAGCTCTGTGAGTTAAACTCAGTCGTCACCAAGAGTTTTCTGTGAATGCTTCTGTTTAGTTCTGTGCGGTTTATCCCGTTTCCAACGAAATCCTCAGAGAGGACGAAATATCCACTTGCTGTTTCTACAAAAAGAGTGTTTCAAAGCTGAACTATCAAAGAAAGGTTCAGCACTGTGAGTTGAATGCAAACATCACGAAGAAGGTTCTGAGAATGCTTCTGTCTTCTTTTTATAGGAAGTTATTTCTTTTGCTACGGTAGGCCTCAAAGAAGTGCAATTATCCCCTTGCAGTTTCTACAAAAAGAGTGTTTCAAACCTGAACTATCAAAGAAAGGTTCCACACTGTGAGTTGAATGCAGACATCACGAAGAAGGTTCTGAGAATGCTTCTGTTTAGTCAGCTGAAATTATCCCGTTTCCAACGAATTCCTCAGAGAGGTCTAAATATGCACTTGCAGATTCTGCAGAAAGTGTGTTTCTAAACTGCTACATCGCAAGGAATGTTCAGCTCTGTGAGTTCAACTCAATCATCCCAAAGAATTTTCTGAGAAAGCTTCTGTCTAGATGTCGTGTGAAGATATACCCGTCTCGAACGAAGGACACAGAGTGGTCCAAATATCCACTTGTAGATCCTGCAAAAAGAGTGTTTCAAACGTGAACTTTGAAAGGAAAGTTCAACTCTGGGATTTGAATGCAAACATCACAAAGAAGATTCTGAGACTGCTTCTGTATAGTTTTTATGTGAAGATGATTCCGTTTCCAACGAAATCTTCAAAGAGGTCTACATGTCCCCTTGCAGATGCCACAGAAAGAGAGTTTCAAAAGTGCGCTCTCAAAAGGAGTGTTCAACTCCGTGAGTTGAATGCAGTCATCACAGAGAAGCTTCTGAGAATGCTTCTCTCTAGTATTTAGGTGAAGATATTTCCTTTTCCACCACAAACCACAAAGCCCTCCAAACGTCCACTTGCAGATTCTAGAAAAAGAGTGTTTCATAGCTGCTCTTTCCAAAGGAAAGTTCAACTCTGGGAGTTGAATACAAACATCACCAAAAAGTTCCTGAAAATGCATCTGTCTAGTTTTTCTATGAAGCTATTCCCTTTACTACCATAGGCCTCAAAGCGCTCCAAATCTCCACTTGCACATTCCACAACAAGAGTGTTTCCAAACTGCTCTATCAATAGGAATGTTCAACTCTGTGAGGTGAATGCAATCATCACAAAGCAGTTTCTGAGAATGCTTCCGTTTAGTTCGGTGCAGTTATCCCGTTTCCAACGAAATCCTCAGAGAGGTCCAAATATCCACTTGTGGATTCTACAAAAAGTGTGTCTCAAGCCTGCTCCATCCAAAGGAATGTTCAGCTCTGTGAGTTAAACTCAATCATCACAAAGTATTTTCTGAGAATGCTTCTGTCTAGATTTTATGCGAAGATATACCCGTTTCGAACGAAGGCCACAGAGTGGTCCAAATATCCACTTGCAGATCCTACAAAAAGAGTGTTTCAAACCTGAACTATCAAAGGAAGGTTCAACTCTGGGATTTGAATGCAAACATCACCAAGAAGTTTCTGAGAATGCTTCTGTTTAGTTTTTATGTGAAGATATTCCCGTTTCCAAAGACATCTTCGGAGAGGTCCACATATCCACTTGCAGATTCCACAAAAAGAGAGTTTCAACACTGCTCTATCCATAGGAGGGTTCAACTCTGTGAGTTGAATGCAATCATCACAGAGAAGTTTCCTGAGAAGGCTTCTCTCCAGTTTTTATGTGACCATAATTCGTTTTCCACCACAGGCCTGAAAGCGCTCCAAATGTCCACTTGCAGACACTACGAAAAGCATGTTTCAGAACTACTCTATGAAAAGCAACGTGAAACTCTGGGAGTTGAACACAAACATCACAGAGAAGTTTCTGAGAATGCTTCTGTTTTAGTTCTGTGCGTTTTATCCCGTTTCCAACGAAATCCTCAGAGAGGCCCAAATATCCACTTGCAGATTCCACAGAAAGAGTGATTGGAAACTGCTGTTTGAAAAGGAACCTTCAACTCTGTGAGTTGAATGCAATCATCACAAAGAAGTTTCTGACAATGCTTCTGTTTTAGTTCTGTGCGGTTTATCCCGTTTCCAACGAAATCCTCAGAGAGGACCAAACATCCACTTGCAGTTTCTACAAAAAGAGTGTTTCAAAGCTGCACTATCAAAGAAAGGTTCAGCACTGTGAGTTGAATGCAAACATCACGAAGAGGGCTCTGAGAATGCTTCTGTTTAGTTCTGTGCGGTTTATCCCGTTTCCAACGAAATCCTCAGAGAGGACCAAATATCCACTTGCAGTTTCTACAAGAAGAGTGTTTCAAAGCTGAACTATCAAAGAAAGGTTCAGCACTGTGAGTTGAATGCAAACGTCACGAAGAGGGTTCTGAGAATGCTTCTGTCTTCTTTCTATAGGAAGTTATTTCCTTTACTACGGTAGGCCTCAAAGAAGTGCAATTATCCCCTTGCAGTTTCTACAAAAAGAGTGTTTCAAACCTGAACTATCAAAGAAAGGTTCCACACTGTGAGTTGAATGCAGACATCACGAAGAAGGTTCTGAGAATGCTTCTGTTTAGTCAGCTGAAATTATCCCGTTTCCAACGAATTCCTCAGAGAGGTCCAAATATGCACTTGCAGATTCTGCAGAAAGTGTGTTTCTAAACTGCCACATCGCAAGGAATGTTCAGCTCTGTGAGTTCCACTCAATCATCCCAAAGAATTTTCTGAGAAAGCTTCTGTCTAGATGTCGTGTGAAGATATACCCGTTTCGAACGAAGGACACAGAGTGGTCCAAATATCCACTTGTAGATCCTGCAAAAAGAGTGTTTCAAACGTGAACTTTGAAAGGAAAGTTCAACTCTGGGATTTGAATGCAAACATCACAAAGAAGATTCTGAGACTGCTTCTGTATAGTTTTTATGTGAAGATGATTCCGTTTCCAACGAAATCTTCAAAGAGGTCTACATGTCCCCTTGCAGATGCCACAGAAAGAGAGTTTCAAAACTGCGCTCTCAAAAGGAGTGTTCAACTCCGTGAGTTGAATGCAGTCATCACAGAGAAGCTTCTGAGAATGCTTCTATCTAGTATTTAGGTGAAGATATTTCCTTTTCCACCACAAACCACAAAGCCCTCCAAACGTCCACTTCCAGATTCTAGAAAAAGAGTGTTTCATAGCTGCTCTTTCCAAAGGAAAGTTCAACTCTGGGAGTTGAATACAAACATCACCAAAAAGTTCCTGAGAATGCATCTGTCAATTTTTTCTATGAAGCTATTCCCTTTACTACCATAGGCCTCAAAGCGCTCCAAATCTCCACTTGCACATTCCACAACAAGAGTGTTTCCAAACTGCTCTATCAATAGGAATGTTCAACTCTGTGAGGTGAATGCAATCATCACAAAGCAGTTTCTGAGAATGCTTCCGTTTAGTTAGGTGCAGTTATCCCGTTTCCAACGAAATCCTCAGAGAGGTCCAAATATCCACTTGTAGATTCTACAAAAAGTGTGTCTCAAACCTGCTCCATCCAAAGGAATGGTCAGCTCTGTGATTTAAACTCAATCATCACAAAGTATTTTCTGAGAATGCTTCTGTCTAGATTTTATGCGAAGATATACCCGTTTCGAACGAAGGCCACAGAGTGGTCCAAATAGCCACTTGCAGATCCTACAAAAAGAGTGTTTCAAACCTGAACTATCAAAGGAAGGTTCAACGCTGGGATTTGAATGCAAACATCACCAAGAAGTTTCTGAGAATGCTTCTGTTTAGTTTTTATGTGAAGATATTCCCGTTTCCAAAGACATCTTCGGAGAGGTCCACATATCCACTTGCAGATTCCACAAAAAGAGAGTTTCAACACTGTTCTATCCATAGGAGGGTTCAACTCTGTGAGTTGAATGCAATCATCACAGAGAAGTTTCTGAGAAGGCTTCTCTCCAGTTTTTATGTGACCATAATTCGTTTTCCACCACAGGCCTGAAAGCGCTCCAAATGTCCACTTGCAGACACTACGAAAAGCATGTTTCAGAACTACTCTATGAAAAGCAACGTGAAACTCTGGGAGTTGAACACAAACATCACAGAGAAGTTTCTGAGAATGCTTCTGTTTTAGTTCTGTGCGTTTTATCCCGTTTCCAACGAAATCCTCAGAGAGGCCCAAATATCCACTTGCAGATTCCACAGAAAGAGTGATTGGAAACTGCTGTTTGAAAAGGAACCTTCAACTCTGTGAGTTGAATGCAATCATCACAAAGAAGTTTCTGACAATGCTTCTGTTTTAGTTCTGTGCGGTTTATCCCGTTTCCAACGAAATCCTCAGAGAGGACCAAACATCCACTTGCAGTTTCTACAAAAAGAGTGTTTCAAAGCTGCACTATCAAAGAAAGGTTCAGCACTGTGAGTTGAATGCAAACATCACGAAGAGGGCTCTGAGAATGCTTCTGTTTAGTTCTGTGCGGTTTATCCCGTTTCCAACGAAATCCTCAGAGAGGACCAAATATCCACTTGCAGTTTCTACAAGAAGAGTGTTTCAAAGCTGAACTATCAAAGAAAGGTTCAGCACTGTGAGTTGAATGCAAACATCACGAAGAGGGTTCTGAGAATGCTTCTGTCTTCTTTCTATAGGAAGTTATTTCCTTTACTACGGTAGGCCTCAAAGAAGTGCAATTATCCCCTTGCAGTTTCTACAAAAAGAGTGTTTCAAACCTGAACTATCAAAGAAAGGTTCCACACTGTGAGTTGAATGCAGACATCACGAAGAAGGTTCTGAGAATGCTTCTGTTTAGTCAGCTGAAATTATCCCGTTTCCAACGAATTCCTCAGAGAGGTCCAAATATGCACTTGCAGATTCTGCAGAAAGTGTGTTTCTAAACTGCTACATCGCAAGGGAATGTTCAGCTCTGTGAGTTCCACTCAATCATCCCAAAGAATTTTCTGAGAAAGCTTCTGTCTAGATGTCGTGTGAAGATATACCCGTTTCGAACGAAGGACACAGAGTGGTCCAAATATCCACTTGTAGATCCTGCAAAAAGAGTGTTTCAAACGTGAACTTTGAAAGGAAAGTTCAACTCTGGGATTTGAATGCAAACATCACAAAGAAGATTCTGAGACTGCTTCTGTATAGTTTTTATGTGAAGATGATTCCGTTTCCAACGAAATCTTCAAAGAGGTCTACATGTCCCCTTGCAGATGCCACAGAAAGAGAGTTTCAAAACTGCGCTCTCAAAAGGAGTGTTCAACTCCGTGAGTTGAATGCAGTCATCACAGAGAAGCTTCTGAGAATGCTTCTATCTAGTATTTAGGTGAAGATATTTCCTTTTCCACCACAAACCACAAAGCCCTCCAAACGTCCACTTGCAGATTCTAGAAAAAGAGTGTTTCATAGCTGCTCTTTCCAAAGGAAAGTTCAACTCTGGGAGTTGAATACAAACATCACCAAAAAGTTCCTGAGAATGCATCTGTCTAGTTTTTCTATGAAGCTATTCCCTTTACTACCATAGGCCTCAAAGCGCTCCAAATCTCCACTTGCACATTCCACAACAAGAGTGTTTCCAAACTGCTCTATCAATAGGAATGTTCAACTCTGTGAGGTGAATGCAATCATCACAAAGCAGTTTCTGAGAATGCTTCCGTTTAGTTAGGTGCAGTTATCCCGTTTCCAACGAAATCCTCAGAGAGGTCCAAATATCCACTTGTAGATTCTACAAAAAGTGTGTCTCAAACCTGCTCCATCCAAAGGAATGGTCAGCTCTGTGATTTAAACTCAATCATCACAAAGTATTTTCTGAGAATGCTTCTGTCTAGATTTTATGCGAAGATATACCCGTTTCGAACGAAGGCCACAGAGTGGTCCAAATAGCCACTTGCAGATCCTACAAAAAGAGTGTTTCAAACCTGAACTATCAAAGGAAGGTTCAACTCTGGGATTTGAATGCAAACATCACCAAGAAGTTTCTGAGAATGCTTCTGTTTAGTTTTTATGTGAAGATATTCCCGTTTCCAAAGACATCTTCGGAGAGGTCCACATATCCACTTGCAGATTCCACAAAAAGAGAGTTTCAACACTGCTCTATCCATAGGAGGGTTCAACTCTGTGAGTTGAATGCAATCATCACAGAAAAGTTTCTGAGAAGGCTTCTCTCCAGTTTTTATGTGACCATAATTCGTTTTCCACCACAGGCCTGAAAGCGCTCCAAATGTCCACTTGCAGACACTACGAAAAGCATGTTTCAGAACTACTCTATGAAAAGCAACGTGAAACTCTGGGAGTTGAACACAAACATCACAGAGAAGTTTCTGAGAATGCTTCTGTTTTAGTTCTGTGCGTTTTATCCCGTTTCCAACGAAATCCTCAGAGAGGCCCAAATATCCACTTGCAGATTCCACAGAAAGAGTGATTGGAAACTGCTGTTTGAAAAGGAACCTTCAACTCTGTGAGTTGAATGCAATCATCACAAAGAAGTTTCTGACAATGCTTCTGTTTTAGTTCTGTGCGGTTTATCCCGTTTCCAACGAAATCCTCAGAGAGGACCAAACATCCACTTGCAGTTTCTACAAAAAGAGTGTTTCAAAGCTGCACTATCAAAGAAAGGTTCAGCACTGTGAGTTGAATGCAAACATCACGAAGAGGGCTCTGAGAATTCTTCTGTTTAGTTCTGTGCGGTTTATCCCGTTTCCAACGAAATCCTCAGAGAGGACCAAATATCCACTTGCAGTTTCTACAAGAAGAGTGTTTCAAAGCTGAACTATCAAAGAAAGGTTCAGCACTGTGAGTTGAATGCAAACATCACGAAGAGGGTTCTGAGAATGCTTCTGTCTTCTTTCTATAGGAAGATACTTCCTTTACTACGGTAGGCCTCAAAGAAGTGCAATTATCCCCTTGCAGTTTCTACAAAAAGAGTGTTTCAAACCTGAACTATCAAAGAAAGGTTCCACACTGTGAGTTGAATGCAGACATCAGGAAGAAGGTTCTGAGAATGCTTCTGTTTAGTCAGCTGAAATTATCCCGTTTCCAACGAATTCCTCAGAGAGGTCCAAATATGCACTTGCAGATTCTGCAGAAAGTGTGTTTCTAAACTGCTACATCGCAAGGAATGTTCAGCTCTGTGAATTCCACTCAATCATCCCAAAGAATTTTCTGAGAAAGCTTCTGTCTAGATGTCATGTGAAGATATACCCGTTTCGAACGAAGGACACAGAGTGGTCCAAATATCCACTTGTAGATCCTGCAAAAAGAGTGTTTCAAACGTGAACTTTGAAAGGAAAGTTCAACTCTGGGATTTGAATGCAAACATCACAAAGAAGATTCTGAGACTGCTTCTGTATAGTTTTTATGTGAAGATGATTCCGTTTCCAACGAAATCTTCAAAGAGGTCTACATGTCAACTTGCAGATGCCACAGAAAGAGAGTTTCAAAACTGCGCTCTCAAAAGGAGTGTTCAACTCCGTGAGTTGAATGCAGTCATCACAGAGAAGCTTCTGAGAATGCTTCTATCTAGTATTTAGGTGAAGATATTTCCTTTTCCACCACAAACCACAAAGCCCTCCAAACGTCCACTTGCAGATTCTAGAAAAAGAGTGTTTCATAGCTGCTCTTTCCAAAGGAAAGTTCAACTCTGGGAGTTGAATACAAACATCACCAAAAAGTTCCTGAGAATGCATCTGTCTAGTTTTTCTATGAAGCTATTCCCTTTACTACCATAGGCCTCAAAGCGCGCCAAATCTCCACTTGCACATTCCACAACAAGAGTGTTTCCAAACTGCTCTATCAATAGGAATGTTCAACTCTGTGAGGTGAATGCAATCATCACAAAGCAGTTTCTGAGAATGCTTCCGTTTAGTTAGGTGCAGTTATCCCGTTTCCAACGAAATCCTCAGAGAGGTCCAAATATCCACTTGTAGATTCTACAAAAAGTGTGTCTCAAACCTGCTCCATCCAAAGGAATGGTCAGCTCTGTGATTTAAACTCAATCATCACAAAGTATTTTCTGAGAATGCTTCTGTCTAGATTTTATGCGAAGATATACCCGTTTCGAACGAAGGCCACAGAGTGGTCCAAATAGCCACTTGCAGATCCTACAGAAAGAGTGTTTCAAACCTGAACTATCAAAGGAAGGTTCAACTCTGGGATTTGAATGCAAACATCACCAAGAAGTTTCTGAGAATGCTTCTGTTTAGTTTTTATGTGAAGATATTCCCGTTTCCAAAGACATCTTCGGAGAGGTCCACATATCCACTTGCAGATTCCACAAAAAGAGAGTTTCAACACTGCTCTATCCATAGGAGGGTTCAACTCTGTGAGTTGAATGCAATCATCACAGAGAAGTTTCTGAGAAGGCTTCTCTCCAGTTTTTATGTGACCATAATTCGTTTTCCACCACAGGCCTGAAAGCGCTCCAAATGTCCACTTGCAGACACTACGAAAAGCATGTTTCAGAACTACTCTATGAAAAGCAACGTGAAACTCTGGGAGTTGAACACAAACATCACAGAGAAGTTTCTGAGAATGCTTCTGTTTTAGTTCTGTGCGTTTTATCCCATTTCCAACGAAATCCTCAGAGAGGCCCAAATATCCACTTGCAGATTCCACAGAAAGAGTGATTGGAAACTGCTGTTTGAAAAGGAACCTTCAACTCTGTGAGTTGAATGCAATCATCACAAAGAAGTTTCTGACAATGCTTCTGTTTTAGTTCTGTGCGGTTTATCCCGTTTCCAACGAAATCCTCAGAGAGGACCAAACATCCACTTGCAGTTTCTACAAAAAGAGTGTTTCAAAGCTGCACTATCAAAGAAAGGTTCAGCACTGTGAGTTGAATGCAAACATCACGAAGAGGGCTCTGAGAATTCTTCTGTCTTCTTTTTATAGTAAGTTATCTCCTTTACTACGGTAGGCCTCAAAGAAGTGCAATGATCCCCTTGCAGTTTCTACAAAAAGAGTGTTTCAAACCTGAACTATCAAAGAAAGGTTCCACACTGTGAGTTGAATGCAGACATCACGAAGAAGGTTCTGAGAATGCTTCTGTTTAGTCAGCTGAAATTATCCCGTTTCCAACGAATTCCTCAGAGAGGTCCACATATGCACTTGCAGATTCTGCAGAAAGTGTGTTTCTAAACTGTTACATCGCAAGGAGTGTTCAGCTCTGTTTGCTCAACTCAATCATCCCAAAGAATTTTCTGAGAAAGCTTCTGTCTAGATGTCATGTGAAGATATACCCGTTTCGAACGAAGGACACAGAGTGGTCAAAATATCCACTTGTAGATCCTGCAAAAAGAGTGTTTCAAACGTGAACTTGGAAAGGAAAGTTCAACTCTGGGATTTGAATGCAAACATCACAAAGAAGATTCTGAGACTGCTTCTGTATAGTTTTGATGTGAAGATGATTCCGTTTCCAACGAAATCTTCAAAGAGGTCTACATGTCCCCTTGCAGATGCCACAGAAAGAGAGTTTCAAAACTGCGCTCTCAAAAGGAGTGTTCAACTCCGTGAGTTGAATGCAGTCATCACAGAGAAGCTTCTGAGAATGCTTCTATCTAGCATTTAGGTGAAGATATTTCCTTTTCCACCACAAACCACAAAGCCCTCCAAACGTCCACTTGCAGATTCTAGAAAAAGAGTGTTTCATAGCTGCTCTTTCCAAAGGAAAGTTCAACTCTGGGAGTTGAATACAAACATCACCAAAAAGTTCCTGTGAATGCATCTGTCTAGTTTTTCTATGAAGCTATTCCCTTTACTACCATAGGCCTCAAAGCGCTCCAAATCTCCACTTGCACATTCCACAACAAGAGTGTTTCCAAACTGCTCTATCAATAGGAATGTTCAACTCTGTGAGGTGAATGCAATCATCACAAAGCAGTTTCTGAGAATGCTTCCGTTTAGTTAGGTGCAGTTATCCCGTTTCCAACGAAATCCTCAGAGAGGTCCAAATATCCACTTGTAGATTCTACAAAAAGTGTGTCTCAAACCTGCTCCATCCAAAGGAATGTTCAGCTCTGTGAGTTCAACTCAATCATCACAAAGTATTTTCTCAGAATGCTTCTGTCTAGATTTTATGCGAAGATGTACCCGTTTCGAACGAAGGCCACATAGTGGTCCAAATATCCACTTGCAGATCCTACAAAAAGAGTGTTTCAAACCTGAACTCTCAAAGGAAGGTTCAACTCTGGGATTTGAATGCAAACATCACCAAGAAGTTTCTGAGAATGCTTCTGTTTAGTTTTTATGTGAAGATATTCCCGTTTCCAAAGACATCTTCGGAGAGGTCCACATATCCGCTTGCAGATTCCACAAAAAGAGAGTTTCAACACTGCTCTATCCATAGGAGGGTTCAACTCTGTGAGTTGAATGCAATCATCACAGAGAAGTTTCTGAGAAGGCTTCTCTCCAGTTTTTATGTGACCATAATTCGTTTTCCACCACAGGCCTGAAAGCGCTCCAAATGTCCACTTGCAGACACTACGAAAAGCATGTTTCAGAAATACTCTATGAGAAGCAATGTGAAACTCTGGGAGTTGAACACAAACATCACAGAGAAGTTTTTGAGAATGCTTCTGTTTAGCTTTTCTGTGAAGATTCTCCCGTTTCCAACGAAATCTTCAAAGAGGTCCAAATATCCACTTGCAGATTCCACAGAAAGAGTGATTGGAAACTGCTCTTTGAAAAGGAACCTTCAACTCTGTGACTTGAATGCAATCATCACAAAGAAGTTTCTGACAATGCTTCTATCTAGCTTTTACGGGAAGATAATTCCTTTTCCACCACAGGCCTCAAAGCCCTCCAAATGTCCACTTGCAGATTCTGGAAAAAGAGTGTTTCAAAGCTTCTCTCTCGAAAGGAAAGTTCAACTCTGTGAGTTGAATGCAAGCATCACAAAGAAGTTTCTGAGAATGCTACTGTCTAGCTTTTATATGAAGCTATTTCCTTTACTACCATAGGCCTCAAAGCGGTCCATATCTCCACTTGCAGATTCTACAGAAAGAGAGTTTCCAAACTGCTCTGTCAAAGGGAATGTTCAACTGCTGTGACTTGAATGCAATCATCACAAAGTAGTTTCTGAGAATGCTTCTGTTTAGTTCTGTGCGGTTTATCCCGTTTCCAACGAAATCCTCAGAGAGGCCCAAATATCCACTTGCACATTCTACAAATAGTGTGTTTCGAAACTGCTCCATCCAAAGGAATGTTCAGCTCTGTGAGTTAAACTCAGTCGTCACCAAGAGTTTTCTGTGAATGCTTCTGTTTTAGTTCTGTGCGGTTTATCCCGTTTCCAACGAAATCCTCAGAGAGGTCCAAATATCTACTTGCAGTTTCTACAGAAAGACCGTTTCAAACCTGAACTATCAAAGAAAGGTTCAACACTGTGAGTTGAATGCAAACATCACGAAGAAGGTTCTGAGAATGCTTCTGTTTAGTTCTGTGCGGTTTACCCCGTTTCCAACGAAATCCTCAGAGAGGACCAAATATCCACTTGCAGTTTCTACAAGAAGAGTGTTTGAAAGCTGAACTATCAAAGAAAGGTTCAGCACTATGAGTTGAATGCAAACATCACGAAGAGGGTTCTGAGAATGCTTCTGTCTTCTTTCTATAGGAAGTTATTTCCTTTACTACGGTAGGCCTCAAAGAAGTGCAATTATCCCCTTGCAGTTTCTACAAAAAGAGTGTTTCAAACCTGAACTATCAAAGAAAGGTTCCACACTGTGAGTTGAATGCAGACATCACGAAGAAGGTTCTGAGAATGCTTCTGTTTAGTCAGCTGAAATTATCCCGTTTCCAACGAATTCCTCAGAGAGGTCCAAATATGCACTTGCAGATTCTGCAGAAAGTGTGTTTCTAAACTGCTACATCGCAAGGAATGTTCAGCTCTGTGAGTTCCACTCAATCATTCCAAAGAATTTTCTGAGAAAGCTTCTGTCTAGATGTCGTGTGAAGATATACCCGTTTCGAACGAAGGACACAGAGTGGTCCAAATATCCACTTGTAGATCCTGCAAAAAGAGTGTTTCAAACGTGAACTTTGAAAGGAAAGTTCAACTCTGGGATTTGAATGCAAACATCACAAAGAAGATTCTGAGACTGCTTCTGTATAGTTTTTATGTGAAGATGATTCCGTTTCCAACGAAATCTTCAAAGAGGTCTACATGTCCCCTTGCAGATGCCACAGAAAGAGAGTTTCAAAACTGCGCTCTCAAAAGGAGTGTTCAACTCCGTGAGTTGAATGCAGTCATCACAGAGAAGCTTCTGAGAAAGCTTCTATCTAGTATTTAGGTGAAGATATTTCCTTTTCCACCACAAACCACAAAGCCCTCCAAACGTCCACTTGCAGATTCTAGAAAAAGAGTGTTTCATAGCTGCTCTTTCCAAAGGAAAGTTCAACTCTGGGAGTTGAATACAAACATCACCAAAAAGTTCCTGAGAATGCATCTGTCTAGTTTTTCTATGAAGCTATTCCCTTTACTACCATAGGCCTCAAAGCGCTCCAAATCTCCACTTGCACATTCCACAACAAGAGTGTTTCCAAACTGCTCTATCAATAGGAATGTTCAACTCTGTGACGTGAATGCAATCATCACAAAGCAGTTTCTGAGAATGCTTCCGTTTAGTTAGGTGCAGTTATCCCGTTTCCAACGAAATCCTCAGAGAGGTCCAAATATCCACTTGTAGATTCTACAAAAAGTGTGTCTCAAACCTGCTCCATCCAAAGGAATGGTCAGCTCTGTGATTTAAACTCAATCATCACAAAGTATTTTCTGAGAATGCTTCTGTCTAGATTTTATGCGAAGATATACCAGTTTCGAACGAAGGCCACAGAGTGGTCCAAATAGCCACTTGCAGATCCTACAAAAAGAGTGTTTCAAACCTGAACTATCAAAGGAAGGTTCAACTCTGGGATTTGAATGCAAACATCACCAAGAAGTTTCTGAGAATGCTTCTGTTTAGTTTTTATGTGAAGATATTCCCGTTTCCAAAGTACATCTTCGGAGAGGTCCACATATCCACTTGCAGATTCCACAAAAAGAGAGTTTCAACAATGCTCTATCCATAGGAGGGTTCAAATCTGTGAGTTGAATGCAATCATCACAGAGAAGTTTCTGAGAAGGCTTCTCTCCAGTTTTTATGTGACCATAATTCGGTTTTCCACCACAGGCCTGAAAGCGCTCCAAATGTCCACTTGCAGACACTACGAAAAGCATGTTTCAGAACTACTCTATGAAAAGCAATGTGAAACTCTGGGAGTTGAACACAAACATCACAGAGAAGTTTCTGAGAATGCTTCTGTTTAGCTTTTCTGTGAAGATTCTCCCGTTTCCAACGAAATCTTCAAAGAGGTCCAAATATCCACTTGCAGATTCCACAGAAAGAGTGTTTGGAAACTGCTGTTTGTAAAGGAACCTTCATCTCTGTGAGTTGAATGCAATCATCACAAAGAAGTTTCTGACAATGCTTCTATCTAGCTTTTACGGGAAGATAATTCCTTTTCCACCACAGGCCTCAAAGCCCTCCAAATGTCCACTTGCAGATTCTGGAAAAAGAGTGTTTCAAGGCTTCTCTCTCGAAAGGAAAGTTCAACTCTGTGAGTTGAATGCAAGCATCACAACGAAGTTTCTGAGAATGCTACTGTCTAGCTTTTATATGAAGCTATTTCCTTTACTACCATAGGCCTCAAAGCGGTCCATATCTCCACTTGCAGATTCTACACAAAGAGAGTTTCCAAACTGCTCTGTCAAAGGGAATGTTCAACTCTGTGACTTGAATGCAATCATCACAAAGTAGTTTCTGAGAATGCTTCTGTTTAGTTCTGTGCGGTTTATTCCGTTTCCAACGAAATCCTCAGAGAGGCCCAAATATCCACTTGCACATTCTACAAATAGTGTGTTTCGAAACTGCTCCATCCAAAGGAATGTTCAGCTCTGTGAGTTAAACTCAGTCGTCACCAAGAGTTTTCTGTGAATGCTTCTGTTTTAGTTCTGTGCGGGTTATCCCGTTTCCAACGAAATCCTCAGAGAGGTCCAAATATCTACTTGCAGTTTCTACAGAAAGACCGTTTCAAACCTGAACTATCAAAGAAAGGTTCAACACTGTGAGTTGAATGCAAACATCACGAAGAAGGTTCTGAGAATGCTTCTGTTTAGTTCTGTGCGTTTTATCCCGTTTCCAACGAAATCCTCAGAGAGGACCAAATATTCACTTGCAGTTTCTACAAAAAGAGTGTTTCAAAGCTGAACTATCAAAGAAAGGTTCAGCACTGTGAGTTGAATGCAAACATCACGAAGAGGGTTCTGAGAATGCTTCTGTCTTCTTTTTATAGGAAGTTATTTCCTTTACTACGGTACTCTTCAAAGAGTGCAATTATCCCCTTGCAGTTTCTACAAAAAGAGTTTTTAAAACCTGAACTATCAAAGAAAAGTTCCACACTTTGTGTTGAATGCAGACATCACGAAGAAGGTTCTGAGAATGCTTCTGTTTAGTCAGCTGAAATTATCCCGTTTCCAACGAATTCCTCACAGAGGTCCAAATATGCACTTGCAGATTCTGCAGAAAGTGTGTTTCTAAACTGCTACATCGCAAGGAATGCTCAGCTCTGTGAGTTCAACTCAATCATCCCAAAGAATTTTCTGAGAAAGCTTCTGTCTAGATGTCATGTGAAGATATACCCGTTTCGAACGAAGGACACAGTAGTGGTCCAAATATCCACTTGTAGATCCTGCAAAAAGAGTGTTTCAAACGTGAACTTTGAAAGGAAAGTTCAACTCGGGGATTTGAATGCAAACATCACAAAGAAGATTCTGAGACTGCTTCTGTATAGTTTTTATGTGAAGATGATTCCGTTTCCAACGAAATCTTCAAAGAGGTCCACATGTTCCCTTGCGGATGCCACAGAAAGAGAGTTTCAAAACTGCGCTCTCAAAAGGAGTGTTCAACTCCGTGAGTTGAATGCAGTCATCACAGAGAAGCTTCTGAGAATCGCTTCTATCTAGTATTTAGGTGAAGATATTTCCTTTTCCACCACAAACCACAAAGCCCTCCAAACGTCCACTTGCAGATTCTAGAAAAAGAGTGTTTCATAGCTGCTCTTTCCAAAGGAAAGTTCAACTCTGGGAGTTGAATACAAACATCACGAAAAAGTTCCTGAGAATGCATCTGTCTAGTTTTTCTATGAAGCTATTCCCTTTACTACCATAGGCCTCAAAGCGCTCCAAATCTCCACTTGCACATTCCACAACAAGAGTGTTTCCAAACTGCTCTATCAATAGGAATGTTCAACTCTGTGAGGTGAATGCAATCATCACAAAGCAGTTTCTGAGAATGCTTCCGTTTAGTTAGGTGCAGTTATCCCGTTTCCAACGAAATCCTCAGAGAGGTCCAAATATCCACTTGTAGATTCTACAAAAAGTGTGTCTCAAACCTGCTCCATCCAAAGGAATGTTCAGCTCTGTGAGTTCAACTCAATCATCACAAAGTATTTTCTGAGAATGCTTCTGTCTAGATTTTATGCGAAGATGTACCCGTTTCGAACGAAGGCCACAGAGTGGTCCAAATATCCACTTGCAGATCCTACAAAAAGAGTGTTTCAAACCTGAACTATCAAAGGAAGGTTCAACTCTGGGATTTGAATGCAAACATCACCAAGAAGTTTCTGAGAATGCTTCTGTTTAGTTTTTATGTGAAGATATTCCCGTTTCCAAAGACATCTTCGGAGAGGTCCACATATCCACCTGCAGATTCCACAAAAACAGAGTTTCAACACTGCTCTATCCATAGTAGGGTTCAACTCTGTGAGTTGAATGCAATCATCACAGAGAAGTTTCTGAGAAGGCTTCTCTCCAGTTTTTATGTGACCATAATTCGTTTTCCACCACAGGCCTGAAAGCGCTCCAAATGTCCACTTGTAGACAGTACGAAAAGCATGTTTCAGAACGACTCTATGAAAAGCAATGTGAAACTCTGGGAGTTGAACACAAACATCACAGAGAAGTTTCTGAGAATGCTTCTGTTTAGCTTTTCTGTGACGATTCTCCCGTTTCCAACGAAATCTTCAAAGAGGTCCAAATATCCACTTGCAGATTCCACGGAAAGAGTGATTTGAAACTGCTCTTTGAAAAGGAACCTTCAACTCTGTGAGTTGAATGCAATCATCACAAAGAAGTTTCTGACAATGCTTCTATCTAGCTTTTACGGGAAGATAATTCCTTTTCCACCACAGGCCTCAAAGCCCTCCAAATGTCCACTTGCAGATTCTGGAAAAAGAGTGTTTCAAAGCTTCTCTCTCGAAAGGAATGTTCAACTCTGTGAGTTGAATGCAAGCATCACAAAGAAGTTTCCGAGAATGCTACTGTCTAGCTTTTATATGAAGCTATTTCCTTTACTACCATAGGCCTCAAAGCGGTCCATATCTCCACTTGCAGATTCTACACAAAGAGAGTTTCCAAACTGCTCTGTCAAAGGGAATGTTCAACTCTGTGACTTGAATGCAATCATCACAAAGTAGTTTCTGAGAATGCTTCTGTTTAGTTCTGTGCGGTTTATCGCGTTTCCAATGAAATCCTCAGAGAGGCCCAAATATCCACTTGCACATTCTACAAATAGTGTGTTTCGAAACTGCTCCATCCAAAGGAATGTTCAGCTCTGTGAGTTAAACTCAGTCGTCACCAAGAGTTTTCTGTGAATGCTTCTGTTTTAGTTCTGTGCGGTTTATCCCGTTTCCAACGAAATCCTCAGAGAGGTCCAAATATCTACTTGCAGTTTCTACAGAAAGACCGTTTCCAACCTGAACTATCAAAGAAAGGTTCAACACTGTGAGTTGAATGCAAACATCACGAAGAAGGTTCTGAGAATGCTTCTGTTTTAGTTCTGTGCGGTTTATCCCGTTTCCAGCGAAATCCTCAGAGAGGACCAAATATCCACTTGCAGTTTCTACAAAAAGAGTGTTTCAAAGCTGCACTATCAAAGAAAGGTTCAGCACTGTGAGTTGAATGCAAACATCACGAAGAGGGCTCTGAGAATTCTTCTGGTTAGTTCTGTGCGGTTTATCCCGTTTCCAACGAAATCCTCAGAGAGGACCAAATATCCACTTGCAGTTTCTACAAGAAGAGTGTTTCAAAGCTGAACTATCAAAGAAAGGTTCAGCACTGTGAGTTGAATGCAAACATCACGAAGAGGGTTCTGAGAATGCTTCTGTCTTCTTTCTATAGGAAGTTATTTCCTTTACTACGGTAGGCCTCAAAGAAGTGCAATTATCCCCTTGCAGTTTCTACAAAAAGAGTGTTTCAAACCTGAACTATCAAAGAAAGGTTCCACACTGTGAGTTGAATGCAGACATCACGAAGAAGGTTCTGAGAATGCTTCTGTTTAGTCAGCTGAAATTATCCCGTTTCCAACGAATTCCTCAGAGAGGTCCAAATATGCACTTGCAGATTCTGCAGAAAGTGTGTTTCTAAACTGCTACATCGCAAGGAATGTTCAGCTCTGTGAGTTCCACTCAATCATCCCAAAGAATTTTCTGAGAAGGCTTCTGTCTAGATGTCGTGTGAAGATATACCCGTTTCGAACGAAGGACACAGAGTGGTCCAAATATCCACTTGTAGATCCTGCAAAAAGAGTGTTTCAAACGTGAACTTTGAAAGGAAAGTTCAACTCTGGGATTTGAATGCAAACATCACAAAGAAGATTCTGAGACTGCTTCTGTATAGTTTTTATGTGAAGATGATTCCGTTTCCAACGAAATCTTCAAAGAGGTCTACATGTCCCCTTGCAGATGCCACAGAAAGAGAGTTTCAAAACTGCGCTCTCAAAAGGAGTGTTCAACTCCGTGAGTTGAATGCAGTCATCACAGAGAAGCTTCTGAGAATGCTTCTATCTAGTATTTAGGTGAAGATATTTCCTTTTCCACCACAAACCACAAAGCCCTCCAAACGTCCACTTGCAGATTCTAGAAAAAGAGTGTTTCATAGCTGCTCTTTCCAAAGGAAAGTTCAACTCTGGGAGTTGAATACAAACATCACCAAAAAGTTCCTGAGAATGCATCTGTCTAGTTTTTCTATGAAGCTATTCCCTTTACTACCATAGGCCTCAAAGCGCTCCAAATCTCCACTTGCACATTCCACAACAAGAGTGTTTCCAAACTGCTCTATCAATAGGAATGTTCAACTCTGTGAGGTGAATGCAATCATCACAAAGCAGTTTCTGAGAATGCTTCCGTTTAGTTAGGTGCAGTTATCCCGTTTCCAACGAAATCCTCAGAGAGGTCCAAATATCCACTTGTAGATTCTACAAAAAGTGTGTCTCAAACCTGCTCCATCCAAAGGAATGGTCAGCTCTGTGATTTAAACTCAATCATCACAAAGTATTTTCTGAGAATGCTTCTGTCTAGATTTTATGCGAAGATATACCCGTTTCGAACGAAGGCCACAGAGTGGTCCAAATAGCCACTTGCAGATCCTACAAAAAGAGTGTTTCAAACCTGAACTATCAAAGGAAGGTTCAACTCTGGGATTTGAATGCAAACATCACCAAGAAGTTTCTGAGAATGCTTCTGTTTAGTTTTTATGTGAAGATATTCCCGTTTCCAAAGACATCTTCGGAGAGGTCCACATATCCACTTGCAGATTCCACAAAAAGAGAGTTTCAACACTGCTCTATCCATAGGAGGGTTCAACTCTGTGAGTTGAATGTAATCATCACAGAGAAGTTTCTGAGAAGGCTTCTCTCCAGTTTTTATGTGACCATAATTCGTTTTCCACCACAGGCCTGAAAGCGCTCCAAATGTCCACTTGCAGACACTACGAAAAGCATGTTTCAAAACTACTCTATGAAAAGCAACGTGAAACTCTGGGAGTTGAACACAAACATCACAGAGAAGTTTCTGAGAATGCTTCTGTTTTAGTTCTGTGCGTTTTATCCCGTTTCCAACGAAATCCTCAGAGAGGCCCAAATATCCACTTGCAGATTCCACAGAAAGAGTGATTGGAAACTGCTGTTTGAAAAGGAACCTTCAACTCTGTGAGTTGAATGCAATCATCACAAAGAAGTTTCTGACAATGCTTCTGTTTTAGTTCTGTGCGGTTTATCCCGTTTCCAACGAAATCCTCAGAGAGGACCAAACATCCACTTGCAGTTTCTACAAAAAGAGTGTTTCAAAGCTGCACTATCAAAGAAAGGTTCAGCACTGTGAGTTGAATGCAAACATCACGAAGAGGGCTCTGAGAATTCTTCTGTTTAGTTCTGTGCGGTTTATCCCGTTTCCAACGAAATCCTCAGAGAGGACCAAATATCCACTTGCAGTTTCTACAAGAAGAGTGTTTCAAAGCTGAACTATCAAAGAAAGCTTCAGCACTGTGAGTTGAATGCAAACATCACGAAGAGGGTTCTGAGAATGCTTCTGTCTTCTTTCTATAGGAAGTTATTTCCTTTACTACGGTAGGCCTCAAAGAAGTGCAATTATCCCCTTGCAGTTTCTACAAAAAGAGTGTTTCAAACCTGAACTATCAAAGAAAGGTTCCACACTGTGAGTTGAATGCAGACATCACGAAGAAGGTTCTGAGAATGCTTCTGTTTAGTCAGCTGAAATTATCCCGTTTCCAACGAATTCCTCAGAGAGGTCCAAATATGCACTTGCAGATTCTGCAGAAAGTGTGTTTCTAAACTGCTACATCGCAAGGAATGTTCAGCTCTGTGAGTTCCACTCAATCATCCCAAAGAATTTTCTGAGAAAGCTTCTGTCTAGATGTCGTGTGAAGATATACCCGTTTCGAACGAAGGACACAGAGTGGTCCAAATATCCACTTGTAGATCCTGCAAAAAGAGTGTTTCAAACGTGAACTTTGAAAGGAAAGTTCAACTCTGGGATTTGAATGCAAACATCACAAAGAAGATTCTGAGACTGCTTCTGTATAGTTTTTATGTGAAGATGATTCCGTTTCCAACGAAATCTTCAAAGAGGTCTACATGTCCCCTTGCAGATGCCACAGAAAGAGAGTTTCAAAACTGCGCTCTCAAAAGGAGTGTTCAACTCCGTGAGTTGAATGCAGTCATCACAGAGAAGCTTCTGAGAATGCTTCTATCTAGTATTTAGGTGAAGATATTTCCTTTTCCACCACAAACCACAAAGCCCTCCAAACGTCCACTTGCAGATTCTAGAAAAAGAGTGTTTCATAGCTGCTCTTTCCAAAGGAAAGTTCAACTCTGGGAGTTGAATACAAACATCACCAAAAAGTTCCTGAGAATGCATCTGTCTAGTTTTTCTATGAAGCTATTCCCTTTACTACCATAGGCCTCAAAGCGCTCCAAATCTCCACTTGCACATTCCACAACAAGAGTGTTTCCAAACTGCTCTATCAATAGGAATGTTCAACTCTGTGAGGTGAATGCAATCATCACAAAGCAGTTTCTGAGAATGCTTCCGTTTAGTTAGGTGCAGTTATCCCGTTTCCAATGAAATCCTCAGAGAGGTCCAAATATCCACTTGTAGATTCTACAAAAAGTGTGTCTCAAACCTGCTCCATCCAAAGGAATGTTCAGCTCTGTGAGTTCAACTCAATCATCACAAAGTATTTTCTGAGAATGCTTCTGTCTAGATTTTATGCGAAGATATACCCGTTTCGAACGAAGGCCACAGAGTGGTCTAAATAGCCACTTGCAGATCTTACAAAAAGAGTGTTTCAAACCTGAACTATCAAAGGAAGGTTCACCTCTGGGATTTGAATGCAAACATCACCAAGAAGTTTCTGAGAATGCTTCTGTTTAGTTTTTATGTGAAGATATTCCCGTTTCCAAAGACATCTTCGGAGAGGTCCACATATCCACTTGCAGATTCCACAAAAAGAGAGTTTCAACACTGCTCTATCCATAGGAGGGTTCAACTCTGTGAGTTGAATGCAATCATCACAGAGAAGTTTCTGAGAAGGCTTCTCTCCAGTTTTTATGTGACCATAATTCGTTTTCCACCACAGGCCTGAAAGCGCTCCAAATGTCCACTTGCAGACACTATGAAAAGCATGTTTCAGAACTACTCTATGAAAAGCAACGTGAAACTCTGGGAGTTGAACACAAACATCACAGAGAAGTTTCTGAGAATGCTTCTGTTTTAGTTCTGTGCGTTTTATCCCGTTTCCAACGAAATCCTCAGAGAGGCCCAAATATCCACTTGCAGATTCCACAGAAAGAGTGATTGGAAACTGCTGTTTGAAAAGGAACCTTCAACTCTGTGAGTTGAATGCAATCATCACAAAGAAGTTTCTGACAATGCTTCTGTTTTAGTTCTGTGCGGTTTATCCCGTTTCCAACGAAATCCTCAGAGAGGACCAAACATCCACTTGCAGTTTCTACAAAAAGAGTGTTTCAAAGCTGCACTATCAAAGAAAGGTTCAGCACTGTGAGTTGAATGCAAACATCACGAAGAGGGCTCTGAGAATTCTTCTGTTTAGTTCTGTGCGGTTTACCCCTTTTCCAACGAAATCCTCAGAGAGGACCAAGTATCCACTTGCAGTTTCTACAAAAAGAGTGTTTCAAAGCTGAACTATCAAAGAAAGTTTCAGCACTGTGAGTTGAATGCAAACATCACGAAGAGGGTTCTGAGAATGCTTCTGTCTTCTTTTTATAGGAAGTTATTTCCTTTACTACGGTAGGCCTCAAAGAAGTGCAATTATCCCCTTGCAGTTTCTACAAAAAGAGTGTTTCAAACCTGAACTATCAAAGAAAGGTTCCACACTGTGAGTTGAATGCAGACATCACGAAGAAGGTTCTGAGAATGCTTCTGTTTAGTCAGCTGAAATTATCCCGTTTCCAATGAATTCCTCAGAGAGGTCCACATATGCACTTGCAGATTCTGCAGAAAGTGTGTTTCTAAACTGCTACATCGCAAGGAGTGTTCAGCTCTGTTTCCTCAACTCAATCATCCCAAAGAATTTTCTGAGAAAGCTTCTGTCTAGATGTCATGTGAAGATATACCCGTTTCGAAAGAAGGACACAGAGTGGTCCAAATATCCACTTGTAGATCCTGCAAAAAGAGTGTTTCAAACGTGAACTTTGAAAGGAAAGTTCAACTCTGGGATTTGAATGCAAACATCACAAAGAAGATTCTGAGACTGCTTCTGTATAGTTTTTATGTGAAGATGATTCCGTTTCCAACGAAATCTTCAAAGAGGTCTACATGTCCCCTTGCAGATGCCACAGAAAGAGAGTTTCAAAACTGCGCTCTCAAAAGGAGTGTTCAACTCCGTGAGTTGAATGCAGTCATCACAGAGAAGCTTCTGAGAATGCTTCTATCTAGTATTTAGGTGAAGATATTTCCTTTTCCACCACAAACCACAAAGCCCTCCAAACGTCCACTTGCAGATTCTAGAAAAAGAGTGTTTCATAGCTGCTCTTTCCAAAGGAAAGTTCAACTCTGGGAGTTGAATACAAACATCACCAAAAGGTTCCTGAGAATGCATCTGTCTAGTTTTTCTATGAAGCTATTCCCTTTACTACCATAGGCCTCAAAGCGCTCCAAATCTCCATTTGCACATTCCACAACAAGAGTGTTTCCAAACTGCTCTATCAATAGGAATGTTCAACTCTGTGAGGTGAATGCAATCATCACAAAGCAGTTTCTGAGAATGCTTCCGTTTAGTTAGGTGCAGTTATCCCGTTTCCAACGAAATCCTCAGAGAGGTCCAAATATCCACTTGTAGATTCTACAAAAAGTGTGTCTCAAACCTGCTCCATCCAAAGGAATGTTCAGCTCTGTGATTTAAACTCAATCATCACAAAGTATTTTCTGAGAATGTTTCTGTCTAGATTTTATGCGAAGATATACCCGTTTCGAACGAAGGCCACAGAGTGGTCCAAATATCCACTTGCAGATCCTACAAAAAGAGTGTTTCAAACCTGAACTATCAAAGGAAGGTTCAACTCTGGGATTTGAATGCAAACATCACCAAGAAGTTTCTGAGAATGCTTCTGTTTAGTTTTTATGTGAAGATATTCCCGTTTCCAAAGACATCTTCGGAGAGGTCCACATATCCACTTGCAGATTCCACAAAAAGAGAGTTTCAACAATGCTCTATCCATAGGAGGGTTCAAATCTGTGAGTTGAATGCAATCATCACAGAGAAGTTTCTGAGAAGGCTTCTCTCCAGTTTTTATGTGACCATAATTCGTTTTCCACCACAGGCCTGAAAGCGCTCCAAATGTCCACTTGCAGACACTACGAAAAGCATGTTTCAGAACTACTCTATGAAAAGCAATGTGAAACTCTGGGAGTTGAACACAAACATCACAGAGAAGTTTCTGAGAATGCTTCTGTTTAGCTTTTCTGTGAAGATTCTCCCGTTTCCAACGAAATCTTCAAAGAGGTCCAAATATCCACTTGCAGATTCCACAGAAAGAGTGATTGGAAACTGCTCTTTGAAAAGGAACCTTCAACTCTGTGACTTGAATGCAATCATCACAAAGAAGTTTCTGACAATGCTTCTATCTAGGCTTTTACGGGAAGATAATTCCTTTTCCACCACAGGCCTCAAAGCCCTCCAAATGTCCACTTGCAGATTCTGGAAAAAGAGTGTTTCAAAGCTTCTCTCTCGAAAGGAAAGTTCAACTCTGTGAGTTGAATGCAAGCATCACAAAGAAGTTTCTGAGAAGGCTACTGTCTAGCTTTTATATGAAGCTATTTCCTTTACTACCATAGGCCTCAAAGCGGTCCATATCTCCACTTGCAGATTCTACACAAAGAGAGTTTCCAAACTGCTCTGTCAAAGGGAATGTTCAACTCTGTGACTTGAATGCAATCATCACAAAGTAGTTTCTGAGAATGCTTCTGTTTTAGTTCTGTGCGTTTTATCCCGTTTCCAACGAAATCCTCAGAGAGGCCCAAATATCCACTTGCAGATTCTACAAATAGTGTGTTTTGAAACTGCTCCATACAAAGGAATGTTCAGCTCTGTGACTTAAACGCAGTCATCACCAAGAGTTTTCTGTGAATGCTTCTGTTTTAGTTCTGTGCGGTTTATCCCGTTTCCAACGAAATCCTCAGAGAGGACCAAATATCCACTTGCAGTTTCTACAAAAAGAGTGTTTCAAAGTTGCACTATCAAAGAAAGGTTCAGCACTGTGAGTTGAATGCAAACACCACGAAGAGGGCTCTGAGAATTCTTCTGTTTAGTTCTGTGCGGTTTATCCCGTTTCCAACGAAATCCTCAGAGAGGACCAAATATCCACTTGCAGTTTCTACAAGAAGAGTGTTTCAAAGCTGAACTATCAAAGAAAGGTTCAGCACTGTGAGTTGAATGCAAACATCACGAAGAGGGTTCTGAGAATGCTTCTGTCTTCTTTCTATAGGAAGTTATTTCCTTTACTACGGTAGGCCTCAAAGAAGTGCAATTATCCCCTTGCAGTTTCTACAAAAAGAGTGTTTCAAACCTGAACTATCAAAGAAAGGTTCCACACTGTGAGTTGAATGCAGACATCACGAAGAAGGTTCTGAGAATGCTTCTGTTTAGTCAGCTGAAATTATCCCGTTTCCAACGAATTCCTCAGAGAGGTCCACATATGCACTTGCAGATTCTGCAGAAAGTGTGTTTCTAAACTGCTACATCGCAAGGAATGTTCAGCTCTGTGAGTTCCACTCAATCATCCCAAAGGATTTTCTGAGAAAGCTTCTGTCTAGATGCCATGTGAAGATATACCCGTTTCGAACGAAGGACACAGAGTGGTCCAAATATCCACTTGTAGATCCTGCAAAAAGAGTGTTTCAAACGTGAACTTTGAAAGGGAAGTTCAACTCTGGGATTTGAATGCAAACATCACAAAGAAGATTCTGAGACTGCTTCTGTATAGTTTTTATGTGAAGATGATTCCGTTTCCAACGAAATCTTCAAAGAGGTCTACATGTCCCCTTGCAGATGCCACAGAAAGAGAGTTTCAAAACTGCGCTCTCAAAAGGAGTGTTCAACTCCGTGAGTTGAATGCAGTCATCACAGAGAAGCTTCTGAGAATGCTTCTATCTAGTATTTAGGTGAAGATATTTCCTTTTCCACCACAAACCACAAAGCCCTCCAAACGTCCACTTGCAGATTCTAGAAAAAGAGTGTTTCATAGCTGCTCTTTCCAAAGGAAAGTTCAACTCTGGGAGTTGAATACAAACATCACCAAAAAGTTCCTGAGAATGCATCCTGTCTAGTTTTTCTATGAAGCTATTCCCTTTACTACCATAGGCCTCAAAGCGCTCCAAATCTCCACTTGCACATTCCACAACAAGAGTGTTTCCAAACTGCTCTATCAATAGGAATGTTCAACTCTGTGAGGTGAATGCAATCATCACAAAGCAGTTTCTGAGAATGCTTCCGTTTAGTTAGGTGCAGTTATCCCGTTTCCAACGAAATCCTCAGAGAGGTCCAAATATCCACTTGTAGATTCTACAAAAAGTGTGTCTCAATCCTGCTCCATCCAAAGGAATGTTCAGCTCTGTGAGTTCAACTCAATCATCACAAAGTATTTTCTGAGAATGCTTCTGTCTAGATTTTATGCGAAGATATACCCGTTTCGAACGAAGGCCACAGAGTGGTCCAAATAGCCACTTGCAGATCCTACAAAAAGAGTGTTTCAAACCTGAACTATCAAAGGAAGGTTCAACTCTGGGATTTGAATGCAAACATCACCAAGAAGTTTCTGAGAATGCTTCTGTTTAGTTTTTATGTGAAGATATTCCCGTTTCCAAAGACATCTTCGGAGAGGTCCACATATCCACTTGCAGATTCCACAAAAAGAGAGTTTCAACACTGCTCTATCCATAGGAGGGTTCAAATCTGTGAGTTGAATGCAATCATCACAGAGAAGTTTCTGAGAAGGCTTCTCTCCAGTTTTTATGTGACCATAATTCGTTTTCCACCACAGGCCTGAAAGCGCTCCAAATGTCCACTTGTAGACACTACGAAAAGCATGTTTCAGAACTACTCTACGAAAAGCAATGTGAAACTCTGGGAGTTGAACACAAACATCACAGAGAAGTTTCTGAGAATGCTTCTGTTTAGCTTTTCTGTGAAGATTCTCCCGTTTCCAACGAAATCTTCAAAGAGGTCCAAATATCCACTTGCAGATTCCACAGAAAGAGTGATTGGAAACTGCTCTTTGAAAAGGAACCTTCAACTCTGTGAGTTGAATGCAATCATCACAAAGAAGTTTCTGACAATGCTTCTGTCTAGCTTTTACGGGAAGATAATTCCTTTTCCACCACAGGCCTCAATGCCCTCCAAATGTCCACTTGCAGTTTCTGGAAAAGAGTGTTTCAAAGCTTCTCTCTCGAAAGGAAAGTTCAACTCTGTGAGTTGAATGCAAGCATCACAAAGAAGTTTCTGAGAATGCTACTGTCTAGCTTTTATATGAAGCTATTTCCTTTACTACCATAGGCCTCAAAGCGGTCCATATCTCCACTTGCAGATTCTACACAAAGAGAGTTTCCAAACTGCTCTATCAAAGGGAATGTTCAACTCTGTGACTTGAATGCAATCATCACAAAGTAGTTTCTGAGAATGCTTCTGTTTAGTTCTGTGCGGTTTATCCCGTTTCCAACGAAATCCTCAGAGAGGCCCAAATATCCACTTGCACATTCTACAAATAGTGTGTTTCGAAACTGCTCCATCCAAAGGAATGTTCAGCTCTGTGAGTTAAACTCAGTCGTCACCAAGAGTTTTCTGTGAATGCTTCTGTTTTAGTTCTGTGCGGGTTATCCCGTTTCCAACGAAATCCTCAGAGAGGTCCAAATATCTACTTGCAGTTTCTACAGAAAGACCGTTTCAAACCTGAACTATCAAAGAAAGGTTCAACACTGTGAGTTGAATGCAAACATCACGAAGAAGGTTCTGAGAATGCTTCTGTTTAGTTCTGTGCGGTTTATCCCGTTTCCAACGAAATCCTCAGAGAGGACCAAATATCCACTTGCAGTTTCTACAAGAAGAGTGTTTCAAAGCTGAACTATCAAAGAAAGGTTCAGCACTGTGAGTTGAATGCAAACATCACGAAGAGGGTTCTGAGAATGCTTCTGTCTTCTTTTTATAGGAAGTTATTTCCTTTACGACGGTAGGCCTCAAAGAAGTGCAATTATCCCCTTGCAGCCTCTACAAAAAGAGTGTTTCAAACCTGAACTATCAAAGAAAGGTTCCACACTGTGAGTTGAATGCAGACATCACGAAGAAGGATCTGAGAATGCTTCTGTTTAGTCAGCTGAAATTATCCCGTTTCCAACGAATTCCTCAGAGAGGTCCACATATGCACTTGCAGATTCTGCAGAAAGTGTGTTTCTAAACTGCTACATCGCAAGGAGTGTTCAGCTCTGTTTGCTCAACTCAATCATCCCAAAGAATTTTCTGAGAAAGCTTCTGTCTAGATGTCATGTGAAGATATACCCGTTTCGAACGAAGGACACAGAGTGGTCCAAATATCCACTTGTAGATCCTGCAAAAAGAGTGTTTCAAACGTGAACTTTGAAAGGAAAGTTCAACTCGGGGATTTGAATGCAAACATCACAAAGAAGATTCTGAGACTGCTTCTGTATAGTTTTTATGTGAAGATGATTCCGTTTCCAACCAAATCTTCAAAGAGGTCTACATGTCCCCTTGCAGATGCCACAGAAAGAGAGTTTCAAAACTGCGCTCTCAAAAGGAGTGTTCAACTCCGTGAGTTGAATGCAGTCATCACAGAGAAGCTTCTGAGAATGCTTCTATCTAGTATTTAGGTGAAGATATTTCCTTTTCCACCACAAACCACAAAGCCCTCCAAACGTCCACTTGCAGATTCTAGAAAAAGAGTGTTTCATAGCTGCTCTTTCCAAAGGAAAGTTCAACTCTGGGAGTTGAATACAAACATCACCAAAAAGTTCCTGAGAATGCATCTGTCTAGTTTTTCTATGAAGCTATTCCCTTTACTACCATAGGCCTCAAAGCGCTCCAAATCTCCACTTGCACATTCCACAACAAGAGTGTTTCCAAACTGCTCTATCAATAGGAATGTTCAACTCTGTGAGGTGAATGCAATCATCACAAAGCAGTTTCTGAGAATGCTTCCGTTTAGTTAGGTGCAGTTATCCCGTTTCCAACGAAATCCTCAGAGAGGTCCAAATATCCACTTGTAGATTCTACAAAAAGTGTGTCTCAAACCTGCTCCATCCAAAGGAATGTTCAGCTCTGTGAGTTCAACTCAATCATCACAAAGTATTTTCTGAGAATGCTTCTGTCTAGATTTTATGCGAAGATGTACCCGTTTCGAACGAAGGACACAGCGTGGTCCAAATATCCACTTGCAGATCCTACAAAAAGAGTGTTTCAAACCTGAACTCTCAAAGGAAGGTTCAACTCTGGGATTTGAATGCAAACATCACCAAGAAGTTTCTGAGAATGCTTCTGTTTAGTTTTTATGTGAAGATATTCCCGTTTCCAAAGACATCTTCGGAGAGGTCCACATATCCACTTGCAGATTCCACAAAAAGAGAGTTTCAACACTGCTCTATCCATAGGAGGGTTCAACTCTGTGAGTTGAATGCAATCATCACAGAGAAGTTTCTGAGAAGGCTTCTCTCCAGTTTTTATGTGACCATAATTCGTTTTCCACCACAGGCCTGAAAGCGCTCCAAATGTCCACTTGCAGACACTACGAAAAGCATGTTTCAGAACTACTCTATGAGAAGCAACGTGAAACTCTGGGAGTTGAACACAAACATCACAGAGAAGTTTCTGAGAATGCTTCTGTTTAGCTTTTCTGTGAAGATTCTCCCGTTTCCAACGAAATCTTCAAAGAGGTCGAAATATCCACTTGCAGATTCCACAGAAAGAGTGATTGGAAACTGCTGTTTGAAAAGGAACCTTCAACTCTGTGAGTTGAATGCAATCATCACAAAGAAGTTTCTGACAATGCTTCTATCTAGCTTTTACGGGAAGATAATTCCTTTTCCACCACAGGCCTCAAAGCTCCCCAAATGTCCACTTGCACATTCTGGAAAAAGAGTGTTTCAAAGCTTCTCTCTCGAAAGGAAAGTTCAACTCTGTGAGTTGAATGCAAGCATCACAAAGAAGTTTCTGAGAATGCTACTGTCTAGGTTTTATATGAAGCTATTTCCTTTACTACCATAGGCCTCAAAGCGGTCCATATCTCCACTTGCAGATTCTACACAAAGAGAGTTTCCAAACTGCTCTGTCAAAGGGAATGTTCAACTCTGTGACTTGAATGCAATCATCACAAAGTAGTTTCTGAGAATGCTTCTGTTTTAGTTCTGTGCGTTTTATCCCGTTTCCAACGAAATCCTCAGAGAGGCCCAAATATCCACTTGCAGATTCTACAAATAGTGTGTTTCGAAACTGCTCCATCCAAAGGAATGTTCAGCTCTGTGAGTTAAACTCAGTCGTCACCAAGAGTTTTCTGTGAATGCTTCTGTTTTAGTTCTGTGCGGTTTATCCCGTTTCCAACGAAATCCTCAGAGAGGACCAAATATCCACTTGCAGTTTCTACAAAAAGAGTGTTTCAAAGCTGCACTATCAAAGAAAGGTTCAGCACTGTGAGTTGAATGCAAACATCACGAAGAGGGCTCTGAGAATTCTTCTGTTTAGTTCTGTGCGGTTTATCCCGTTTCCAACGAAATCCTCAGAGAGGACCAAATATCCACTTGCAGTTTCTACAAGAAGAGTGTTTCAAAGCTGAACTATCAAAGAAAGGTTCAGCACTGTGAGTTGAATGCAAACATCACGAAGAGGGTTCTGAGAATGCTTCTGTCTTCTTTCTATAGGAAGTTATTTCCTTTACTACGGTAGGCCTCAAAGAAGTGCAATTATCCCCTTGCAGTTTCTACAAAAAGAGTGTTTCAAACCTGAACTATCAAAGAAAGGTTCCACAGTGTGAGTTGAATGCAGACATCACGAAGAAGGTTCTGAGAATGCTTCTGTTTAGTCAGCTGAAATTATACCGTTTCCTACGAATTCCTCAGAGAGGTCCAAATATGCACTTGCAGATTCTGCAGAAAGTGTGTTTCTAAACTGCTACATCGCAAGGAATGTTCAGCTCTGTGAGTTCAACTCAATCATCCCAAAGAATTTTCTGAGAAAGCTTCTGTCTAGATGTCATGTGAAGATATACCCGTTTCGAACGAAGGACACAGAGTGGTCCAAATATCCACTTGTAGATCCTGCAAAAAGAGTGTTTCAAACGTGAACTTTGAAAGGAAAGTTCAACTCGGGGATTTGAATGCAAACATCACAAAGAAGATTCTGAGACTGCTTCTGTATAGTTTTTATGTGAAGATGATTCCGTTTCCAACGAAATCTTCAAAGAGGTCTACATGTCCCCTTGCAGATGCCACAGAAAGAGAGTTTCAAAACTGCGCTCTCAAAAGGAGTGTTCAACTCCGTGAGTTGAATGCAGTCATCTCAGAGAAGCTTCTGAGAATGCTTCTATCTAGTATTTAGGTGAAGATATTTCTTTTTCCACCACAAACCACAAAGCCCTCCAAACGTCCACTTGCAGATTCTAGAAAAAGAGTGTTTCATAGCTGCTCTTTCCAAAGGAAAGTTCAACTCTGGGAGTTGAATACAAACATCACCAAAAAGTTCCTGAGAATGCATCTGTCTAGTTTTTCTATGAAGCTATTCCCTTTACTATCATAGGCCTCAAAGCGCTCCAAATCTCCACTTGCACATTCCACAAGAAGAGGGTTTCCAAACTGCTCTATCAATAGGAATGTTCAACTCTGTGAGGTGAATGCAATCATGACAAAGCAATTTCTGGGAATGCTTCCGTTTAGTTAGGTGCAGTTATCCCGTTTCCAACGAAATCCTCAGAGAGGTCCAAATATCCACTTGTAGATTCTACAAAAAGTGTGTCTCAAACCTGCTCCATCCAAAGGAATGGTCAGCTCTGTGATTTAAACTCAATCATCACAAAGTATTTTCTGAGAATGCTTTTCTGTCTAGATTTTATGCGAAGATATACCCGTTTCGAACGAAGGCCACAGAGTGGTCCAAATAGCCACTTGCAGATCCTACAGAAAGAGTGTTTCAAACCTGAACTATCAAAGGAAGGTTCAACTCTGGGATTTGAATGCAAACATCACCAAGAAGTTTCTGAGAATGCTTCTGTTTAGTTTTTATGTGAAGATATTCCCGTTTCCAAAGACATCTTCGGAGAGGTCCACATATCCACTTGCAGATTCCACAAAAAGAGAGTTTCAACACTGCTCTATCCATAGGAGGGTTCAACTCTGTGAGTTGAATGCAATCATCACAGAGAAGTTTCTGAGAAGGCTTCTCTCCAGTTTTTATGTGACCATAATTCGTTTTCCACCACAGGCCTGAAAGCGCTCCAAATGTCCACTTGCAGACACTACGAAAAGCATGTTTCAGAACTACTCTATGAAAAGCAACGTGAAACTCTGGGAGTTGAACACAAACATCACAGAGAAGTTTCTGAGAATGCTTCTGTTTTAGTTCTGTGCGTTTTATCCCGTTTCCAACGAAATCCTCAGAGAGGCCCAAATATCCACTTGCAGATTCCACAGAAAGAGTGATTGGAAACTGCTGTTTGAAAAGGAACCTTCAACTCTGTGAGTTGAATGCAATCATCACAAAGAAGTTTCTGACAATGCTTCTGTTTTAGTTCTGTGCGGTTTATCCCGTTTCCAACGAAATCCTCAGAGTGGACCAAATATCCACTTGCAGTTTCTACAAAAAGAGTGTTTCAAAGCTGCACTATCAAAGAAAGTTTCAGCACTGTGAGTTGAATGCAAACATCACGAAGAGGGCTCTGAGAATTCTTCTGTTTAGTTCTGTGCGGTTTATCCCGTTTCCAACGAAATCCTCAGAGAGGACCAAATATCCACTTGCAGTTTCTACAAGAAGAGTGTTTCAAAGCTGAACTATCAAAGAAAGGTTCAGCACTGTGAGTTGAATGCAAACATCACGAAGAGGGTTCTGAGAATGCTTCTGTCTTCTTTCTATAGGAAGTTATTTCCTTTACTACGGTAGGCCTCAAAGAAGTGCAATTATCCCCTTGCAGTTTCTACAAAAAGAGTGTTTCAAACCTGAACTATCAAAGAAAGGTTCCACACTGTGAGTTGAATGCAGACATCACGAAGAAGTTCTGAGAATGCTTCTGTTTAGTCAGCTGAAATTATCCCGTTTCCAACGAATTCCTCAGAGAGGTCCAAATATGCACTTGCAGATTCTGCAGAAAGTGTGTTTCTAAACTGCTACATCGCAAGGAATGTTCAGCTCTGTGAGTTCCACTCAATCATCCCAAAGAATTTTCTGAGAAAGCTTCTGTCTAGATGTCATGTGAAGATATACCCGTTTCGAACGAAGGACACAGAGTGGTCCAAATATCCACTTGTAGATCCTGCAAAAAGAGTGTTTCAAACGTGAACTTTGAAAGGAAAGTTCAACTCTGGGATTTGAATGCAAACATCACAAAGAAGATTCTGAGACTGCTTCTGTATAGTTTTTATGTGAAGATGATTCCGTTTCCAACGAAATCTTCAAAGAGGTCTACATGTCCCCTTGCAGATGCCACAGAAAGAGAGTTTCAAAACTGCGCTCTCAAAAGGAGTGTTCAACTCCGTGAGTTGAATGCAGTCATCACAGAGAAGCTTCTGAGAATGCTTCTATCTAGTATTTAGGTGAAGATATTTCCTTTTCCACCACAAACCACAAAGCCCTCCAAACGTCCACTTGCAGATTCTAGAAAAAGAGTGTTTCATAGCTGCTCTTTCCAAAGGAAAGTTCAACTCTGGGAGTTGAATACAAACATCACCAAAAAGTTCCTGAGAATGCATCTGTCTAGTTTTTCTATGAAGCTATTCCCTTTACTACGATAGGCCTCAAAGCGCTCCAAATCTCCACTTGCACATTCCACAACAAGAGTGTTTCCAAACTGCTCTATCAATAGGAATGTTCAACTCTGTGAGGTGAATGCAATCATCACAAAGCAGTTTCTGAGAATGCTTCTGTTTAGCTTTTCTGTGAAGGTTATCCCGTTTCCAAAGAAATCCTCAGAGAGGTCCAAATATCCACTTGTAGATTCTACAAAAAGTGTGTCTCAAACCTGCTCCATCCAAAGGAATGTTCAGCTCTGTGAGTTCAACTCAATCATCACAAAGTATTTTCTGAGAATGCTTCTGTCTAGATTTTATGCGAAGATGTACCCGTTTCGAACGAAGGCCACAGAGTGGTCCAAATATCCACTTGCAGATCCTACAAAAAGAGTGTTTCAAACCTGAACTCTCAAAGGAAGGTTCAACTCTGGGATTTGAATGCAAACATCACCAAGAAGTTTCTGAGAATGCTTCTGTTTAGTTTTTATGTGAAGATATTCCCGTTTCCAAAGACATCTTCGGAGAGGTCCACATATCCGCTTGCAGATTCCACAAAAAGAGAGTTTCAACACTGCTCTATCCATAGGAGGGTTCAACTCTGTGAGTTGAATGCAATCATCACAGAGAAGTTTCTGAGAAGGCTTCTCTCCAGTTTTTATGTGACCATAATTCGTTTTCCACCACAGGCCTGAAAGCGCTCCAAATGTCCACTTGCAGACACTACGAAAAGCATGTTTCAGAACTACTCTATGAGAAGCAATGTGAAACTCTGGGAGTTGAACACAAACATCACAGAGAAGTTTCTGAGAATGCTTCTGTTTAGCTTTTCTGTGAAGATTCTCCCGTTTCCAACGAAATCTTCAAAGAGGTCCAAATATCCACTTGCAGATTCCACAGAAAGAGTGATTGGAAACTGCTCTTTGAAAAGGAACCTTCAACTCTGTGACTTGAATGCAATCATCACAAAGAAGTTTCTGACAATGCTTCTATCTAGCTTTTACGGGAAGATAATTCCTTTTCCACCACAGGCCTCAAAGCCCTCCAAATGTCCACTTGCAGATTCTGGAAAAAGAGTGTTTCAAAGCTTCTCTCTCGAAAGGAAAGTTCAACTCTGTGAGTTGAATGCAAGCATCACAAAGAAGTTTCTGAGAATGCTACTGTCTAGCTTTTATATGAAGCTATTTCCTTTACTACCATAGGCCTCAAAGCGGTCCATATCTCCACTTGCAGATTCTACACAAAGAGAGTTTCCAAACTGCTCTGTCAAAGGGAATGTTCAACTCTGTGACTTGAATGCAATCATAACAAAGTAGTTTCTGAGAATGCTTCTGTTTTAGTTCTGTGCGGTTTATCCCGTTTCCAACGAAATCCTCAGAGAGGCCCACATATCCACTTGCACATTCTACAAATAGTGTGTTTTGAAACTGCTCCTTCCAAAGGAATGTTCAGCTCTGTGAGTTAAACTCAGTCGTCACCAAGAGTTTTCTGTGAATGCTTCTGTTTTAGTTCTGTGCGGGTTATCCCGTTTCCAACGAAATCCTCAGAGAGGTCCAAATATCTACTTGCAGTTTCTACAGAAAGACCGTTTCAAACCTGAACTATCAAAGAAAGGTTCAACACTGTGAGTTGAATGCAAACATCACGAAGAAGGTTCTGAGAATGCTTCTGTTTAGTTCTGTGCGTTTTATCCTGTTTCCAACGAAATCCTCAGAGAGGACCAAATATTCACTTGCAGTTTCTACAAAAAGAGTGTTTCAAAGCTGAACTATCAAAGAAAGGTTCAGCACTGTGAGTTGAATGCAAACATCACGAAGAGGGTTCTGAGAATGCTTCTGTCTTCTTTTTATAGGAAGTTATTTCCTTTACTACGGTACTCCTCAAAGAGTGCAATTATCCCCTTGCAGTTTCTACAAAAAGAGTTTTTAAAACCTGAACTATCAAAGAAAGGTTCCACACTTTGTGTTGAATGCAGACATCACGAAGAAGGTTCTGAGAATGCTTCTGTTTAGTCAGCTGAAATTATCCCGTTTCCAACGAATTCCTCACAGAGGTCCAAATATGCACTTGCAGATTCTGCAGAAAGTGTGTTTCTAAACTGCTACATCGCAAGGAATGCTCAGCTCTGTGAGTTCAACTCAATCATCCCAAAGAATTTTCTGAGAAAGCTTCTGTCTAGATGTCATGTGAAGATATACCCGTTTCTAACGAAGGACACAGAGTGGTCCAAATATCCACTTGTAGATCCTGCAAAAAGAGTGTTTCAAACGTGAACTTTGAAAGGAAAGTTCAACTCGGGGATTTGAATGCAAACATCACAAAGAAGATTCTGAGACTGCTTCTGTATAGTTTTTATGTGAAGATGATTCCGTTTCCAACGAAATCTTCAAAGAGGTCTACATGTCCCCTTGCAGATGCCACAGAAAGAGAGTTTCAAAACTGCGCTCTCAAAAGGAGTGTTCAACTCCGTGAGTTGAATGCAGTCATCACAGAGAAGCTTCTGAGAATGCTTCTATCTAGTATTTAGGTGAAGATATTTCCTTTTCCACCACAAACCACAAAGCCCTCCAAACGTCCACTTGCAGATTCTAGAAAAAGAGTGTTTCATAGCTGCTCTTTCCAAAGGAAAGTTCAACTCTGGGAGTTGAATACAAACATCACCAAAAGGTTCCTGAGAATGCATCTGTCTAGTTTTTCTATGAAGCTATTCCCTTTACTACCATAGGCCTCAAAGCGCTCCAAATCTCCACTTGCACATTCCACAACAAGAGTGTTTCCAAACTGCTCTATCAATAGGAATGTTCAACTCTGTGAGGTGAATGCAATCATCACAAAGCAGTTTCTGAGAATGCTTCCGTTTAGTTAGGTGCAGTTATCCCGTTTCCAACGAAATCCTCAGAGAGGTCCAAATATCCACTTGTAGATTCTACAAAAAGTGTGTCTCAAACCTGCTCCATCCAAAGGAATGGTCAGCTCTGTGATTTAAACTCAATCATCACAAAGTATTTTCTGAGAATGCTTCTGTCTAGATTTTATGTGAAGATGTACCCGTTTCGAACGAAGGCCACAGAGTGGTCCAAATATCCACTTGCAGATCCTACAAAAAGAGTGTTTCAAACCTGAACTATCAAAGGAAGGTTCAACTCTGGGATTTGAATGCAAACATCACCAAGAAGTTTCTGAGAATGCTTCTGTTTAGTTTTTATGTGAAGATATTCCCGTTTCCAAAGACATCTTCGGAGAGGTCCACATATCCACTTGCAGATTCCACAAAAAGAGAGTTTCAACACTGCTCTATCCATAGGAGGGTTCAACTCTGTGAGTTGAATGCAATCATCACAGAGAAGTTTCTGAGAAGGCTTCTCTCCAGTTTTTATGTGACCATAATTCGTTTTCCACCACAGGCCTGAAAGCGCTCCAAATGTCCACTTGTAGACACTACGAAAAGCATGTTTCAGAACTACTCTATGAAAAGCAATGTGAAACTCTGGGAGTTGAACACAAACATCACAGAGAAGTTTCTGAGAATGCTTTCTGTTTTAGTTCTGTGCGTTTTATCCCGTTTCCAACGAAATCCTCAGAGAGGCCCAAATATCCACTTGCAGATTCCACAGAAAGAGTGATTGGAAACTGCTGTTTGAAAAGGAACCTTCAACTCTGTGAGTTGAATGCAATCATCACAAAGAAGTTTCTGACAATGCTTCTGTTTTAGTTCTGTGCGGTTTATCCCGTTTCCAACGAAATCCTCAGAGAGGACCAAACATCCACTTGCAGTTTCTACAAAAAGAGTGTTTCAAAGCTGCACTATCAAAGAAAGGTTCAGCACTGTGAGTTGAATGCAAACATCACGAAGAGGGCTCTGAGAATTCTTCTGTTTAGTTCTGTGCGGTTTATCCCGTTTCCAACGAAATCCTCAGAGAGGACCAAATATCCACTTGCAGTTTCTACAAGAAGAGTGTTTCAAAGCTGAACTATCAAAGAAAGGTTCAGCACTGTGAGTTGAATGCAAACATCACGAAGAGGGTTCTGAGAATGCTTCTGTCTTCTTTCTATAGGAAGTTATTTCCTTTACTACGGTAGGCCTCAAAAGAAGTGCAATTATCCCCTTGCAGTTTCTACAAAAAGAGTGTTTCAAACCTGAACTATCAAAGAAAGGTTCCACACTGTGAGTTGAATGCAGACATCACGAAGAAGGTTCTGAGAATGCTTCTGTTTAGTCAGCTGAAATTATCCCGTTTCCAACGAATTCCTCAGAGAGGTCCAAATATGCACTTGCAGATTCTGCAGAAAGTGTGTTTCTAAACTGCTACATCGCAAGGAATGTTCAGCTCTGTGAGTTCCACTCAATCATCCCAAAGAATTTTCTGAGAAAGCTTCTGTCTAGATGTCATGTGAAGATATACCCGTTTCGAACGAAGGACACAGAGTGGTCCAAATATCCACTTGTAGATCCTGCAAAAAGAGTGTTTCAAACGTGAACTTTGAAAGGAAAGTTCAACTCTGGGATTTGAATGCAAACATCACAAAGAAGATTCTGAGACTGCTTCTGTATAGTTTTTATGTGAAGATGATTCCGTTTCCAACGAAATCTTCAAAGAGGTCTACATGTCCCCTTGCAGATGCCACAGAAAGAGAGTTTCAAAACTGCGCTCTCAAAAGGAGTGTTCAACTCCGTGAGTTGAATGCAGTCATCACAGAGAAGCTTCTGAGAATGCTTCTATCTAGTATTTAGGTGAAGATATTTCCTTTTCCACCACAAACCACAAAGCCCTCCAAACGTCCACTTGCAGATTCTAGAAAAAGAGTGTTTCATAGCTGCTCTTTCCAAAGGAAAGTTCAACTCTTGGGAGTTGAATACAAACATCACCAAAAAGTTCCTGAGAATGCATCTGTCTAGTTTTTCTATGAAGCTATTCCCTTTACTACCACAGGCCTCAAAGCGCTCCAAATCTCCACTTGCACATTCCACAACAAGAGTGTTTCCAAACTGCTCTATCAATAGGAATGTTCAACTCTGTGAGGTGAATGCAATCATCACAAAGCAGTTTCTGAGAATGCTTCCGTTTAGTTAGGTGCAGTTTTCCCGTTTCCAACGAAATCCTCAGAGAGGTCCAAATATCCACTTGTAGATTCTACAAAAAGTGTGTCTCAAACCTGCTCCATCCAAAGGAATGGTCAGCTCTGTGATTTAAACTCAATCATCACAAAGTATTTTCTGAGAATGCTTCTGTCTAGATTTTATGCGAAGATATACCCGTTTCGAACGAAGGCCACAGAGTGGTCCAAATAGCCACTTGCAGATCCTACAGAAAGAGTGTTTCAAACCTGAACTATCAAAGGAAGGTTCAACTCTGGGATTTGAATGCAAACATCACCAAGAAGTTTCTGAGAATGCTTCTGTTTAGTTTTTATGTGAAGATATTCCCGTTTCCAAAGACATCTTCGGAGAGGTCCACATATCCACTTGCAGATTCCACAAAAAGAGAGTTTCAACACTGCTCTATCCATAGGAGGGTTCAACTCTGTGAGTTGAATGCAATCATCACAGAGAAGTTTCTGAGAAGGCTTCTCTCCAGTTTTTATGTGACCATAATTCGTTTTCCACCACAGGCCTGAAAGCGCTCCAAATGTCCACTTGCAGACACTACGAAAAGCATGTTTCAGAACTACTCTATGAAAAGCAACGTGAAACTCTGGGAGTTGAACACAAACATCACAGGAGAAGTTTCTGAGAATGCTTCTGTTTCAGTTCTGTGCGTTTTATCCCGTTTCCAACGAAATCCTCAGAGAGGCCCAAATATCCACTTGCAGATTCCACAGAAAGAGTGATTGGAAACTGCTGTTTGAAAAGGAACCTTCAACTCTGTGAGTTGAATGCAATCATCACAAAGAAGTTTCTGACAATGCTTCTGTTTTAGTTCTGTGCAGTTTATCCCGTTTCCAACGAAATCCTCAGAGAGGACCAAATATCCACTTGCAGTTTCTACAAAAAGAGTGTTTCAAAGCTGCACTATCAAAGAAAGGTTCAGCACTGTGAGTTGAATGCAAACATCACGAAGAGGGCTCTGAGAATGCTTCTGTTTAGTTCTGTGCGGTTTATCTCGTTTCCAACGAAATCCTCAGAGAGGACCAAATATCCACTTGCAGTTTCTACAAGAAGAGTGTTTCAAAGCTGAACTATCAAAGAAAGGTTCAGCACTGTGAGTTGAATGCAAACATCACGAAGAGGGTTCTGAGAATGCTTCTGTCTTCTTTCTATAGGAAGTTATTTCCTTTACTACGGTAGGCCTCAAAGAAGTGCAATTATCCCCTTGCAGTTTCTACAAAAAGAGTGTTTCAAACCTGAACTATCAAAGAAAGGTTCCACACTGTGAGTTGAATGCAGACATCACGAAGAAGGTTCTGAGAATGCTTCTGTTTAGTCAGCTGAAATTATCCCGTTTCCAACGAATTCCTCAGAGAGGTCCAAATATGCACTTGCAGATTCTGCAGAAAGTGTGTTTCTAAACTGCTACATCGCAAGGAATGTACAGCTCTGTGAGTTCCACTCAATCATCCCAAAGAATTTTCTGAGAAAGCTTCTGTCTAGATGTCATGTGAAGATATACCCGTTTCGAACGAAGGACACAGAGTGGTCCAAATATCCACTTGTAGATCCTGCAAAAAGAGTGTTTCAAACGTGAACTTTGAAAGGCAAGTTCAACTCTGGGATTTGAATGCAAACATCACAAAGAAGATTCTGAGACTGCTTCTGTATAGTTTTGATGTGAAGATGATTCCGTTTCCAACGAAATCTTCAAAGAGGTCTACATGTCCCCTTGCAGATGCCACAGAAAGAGAGTTCCAAAACTGCGCTCTCAAAAGGAGTGTTCAACTCCGTGAGTTGAATGCAGTCATCACAGAGAAGCTTCTGAGAATGCTTCTTTCTAGTATTTAGGTGAAGATATTTCCTTTTCCACCACAAACCACAAAGCCCTCCAAACGTCCACTTGCAGATTCTAGAAAAAGAGTGTTTCATAGCTGCTCTTTCCAAAGGAAAGTTCAACTCTGGGAGTTGAATACAAACATCACCAAAAAGTTCCTGAGAATGCATCTGTCTAGTTTTTCTATGAAGCTATTCCCTTTACTACCATAGGCCTCAAAGCGCTCCAAATCTCCACTTGCACATTCCACAAGAAGAGTGTTTCCAAACTGCTCTATCAATAGGAATGTTCAACTCTGTGAGGTGAATGCAATCATCACAAAGCAGTTTCTGAGAATGCTTCCGTTTACTTAGGTGCAGTTCTCCCGTTTCCAACGAAATCCTCAGAGAGGTCCAAATATCCACTTGTAGATTCTACAAAAAGTGTGTCTCAAACCTGCTCCATCCAAAGGAATGTTCAGCTCTGTGATTTAAACTCAATCATCACAAAGTATTTTCTGAGAATGCTTCTGTCTAGATTTTATGCGAAGATATACCCGTTTCGAACGAAGGCCACAGAGTGGTCCAAATAGCCACTTGCAGATCCTACAAAAAGAGTGTTTCAAACCTGAACTATCAAAGGAAGGTTCAACTCTGGGATTTGAATGCAAACATCACCAAGAAGTTTCTGAGAATGCTTCTGTTTAGTTTTTATGTGAAGATATTCCCGTTTCCAAAGACATCTTCGGAGAGGTCCACATATCCACTTGCAGATTCCACAAAAAGAGAGTTTCAACACTGCTCTATCCATAGGAGGGTTCAACTCTGTGAGTTGAATGCAATCATCACAGAGAAGTTTCTGAGAAGGCTTCTCTCCAGTTTTTATGTGACCATAATTCGTTTTCCACCACAGGCCTGAAAGCGCTCCAAATGTCCACTTGCAGACACTACGAAAAGCATGTTTCAGAACTACTCTATGAAAAGCAACGTGAAACTCTGGGAGTTGAACACAAACATCACAGAGAAGTTTCTGAGAATGCTTCTGTTTAGCTTTTCTGTGAAGATTATCCCGTTTCCAACGAAATCTTCAAAATAGGTCCAAATATCCACTTGCAGATTCCACAGAAAGAGTGATTGGAAACTGCTGTTTGAAAAGGAACCTTCAACTCTGTGAGTTGAATGCAATCATCACAAAGAAGTTTCTGACAATGCTTCTATCTAGCTTTTACGGGAAGATAATTCCTTTTCCACCACAGGCCTCAAAGCCCTCCAAATGTCCACTTGCAGATTCTGGAAAAAGAGTGTTTCAAAGCTTCTCTCTCGAAAGGAAAGTTCAACTCTGTGAGTTGAATGCAAGCATCACAAAGAAGTTTCTGAGAATGCTACTGTCTAGCTTTTATATGAAGCTATTTCCTTTACTACCATAGGCCTCAAAGCGGTCCATATCTCCACTTGCAGATTCTACACAAAGAGAGTTTCCAAACTGCTCTGTCAAAGGGAATGTTCAACTCTGTGACTTGAATGCAATCATCACAAAGTAGTTTCTGAGAATGCTTCTGTTTTAGTTCTGTGCGGTTTATCCCGTTTCCAACGAAATCCTCAGAGAGGCCCACATATCCACTTGCACATTCTACAAATAGTGTGTTTTGAAACTGCTCCATCCAAAGGAATGTTCAGCTCTGTGAGTTAAACTCAGTCGTCACCAAGAGTTTTCTGTGAATGCTTCTGTTTTAGTTCTGTGCGGGTTATCCCGTTTCCAACGAAATCCTCAGAGAGGTCCAAATATCTACTTGCAGTTTCTACAGAAAGACCGTTTCAAACCTGAACTATCAAAGAAAGGTTCCACACTGTGAGTTGAATGCAAACATCACGAAGAAGGTTCTGAGAATGCTTCTGTTTAGTTCTGTGCAGTTTATCCCGTTTCCAACGAAATCCTCAGAGAGGACCAAATATCCACTTGCAGTTTCCACAAAAAGAGTGTTTCAAAGCTGAACTATCAAAGAAAGGTTCAGCACTGTGAGTTGAATGCAAACATCACGAAGAGGGTTCTGAGAATGCTTCTGTCTTCTTTTTATAGGAAGTTATTTCCTTTACTACGGTACTCCTCAAAGAGTGCAATTATCCCCTTGCAGTTTCTACAGAAAGAGTGTTTCAAACCTGAACTATCAAAGAAAGGTTCCACACTGTGAGTTGAATGCAGACATCACGAAGAAGGTTCTGAGAATGCTTCTGTTTAGTCAGCTGAAATTATCCCGTTTCCAACGAATTCCTCACAGAGGTCCAAATATGCACTTGCAGATTCTGCAGAAAGTGTGTTTCTAAACTGCTACATCGCAAGGAATGCTCAGCTCTGTGAGTTCAACTCAATCATCCCAAAGAATTTTCTGAGAAAGCTTCTGTCTAGATGTCATGTGAAGATATACCCGTTTCGAACGAAGGACACAGAGTGGTCCAAATATCCACTTGAAGATCCTGCAAAAAGAGTGTTTCAAACGTGAACTTTGAAAGGAAAGTTCAACTCGGGGATTTGAATGCAAACATCACAAAGAAGATTCTGAGACTGCTTCTGTGTAGTTTTTATGTGAAGATGATTCCGTTTCCAACGAAATCTTCAAAGAGGTCTACATGTCCCCTTGCAGATGCCACAGAAAGAGAGTTTCAAAACTGCGCTCTCAAAAGGAGTGTTCAACTCCGTGAGTTGAATGCAGTCATCACAGAGAAGCTTCTGAGGATGCTTCTATCTAGTATTTAGGTGAAGATATTTCCTTTTCCACCACAAACCACAAAGCCCTCCAAACGTCCACTTGCAGATTCTAGAAAAAGAGTGTTTCATAGCTGCTCTTTCCAAAGGAAAGTTCAACTCTGGGAGTTGAATACAAACATCACCAAAAAGTTCCTGAGAATGCATCTGTCTAGTTTTTCTATGAAGCTATTCCCTTTACTACCATAGACCTCAAAGCGCTCCAAATCTCCACTTGCACATTCCACAACAAGAGTGTTTCCAAACTGCTCTATCAATAGGAATGTTCAACTCTGTGAGGTGAATGCAATCATCACAAAGCAGTTTCTGAGAATGCTTCCGTTTAGTTAGGTGCAGTTATCCCGTTTCCAACGAAATCCTCAGAGAGGTCCAAATATCCACTTGTAGATTCTACAAAAAGTGTGTCTCAAACCTGCTCCATCCAAAGGAATGTTCAGCTCTGTGAGTTAAACTCAATCATCACAAAGTATTTTCTGAGAATGCTTCTGTCTAGATTTTATGCGAAGATATACCCGTTTCGAACGAAGGCCACAGAGTGGTCCAAATAGCCACTTGCAGATCCTACAGAAAGAGTGTTTCAAACCTGAACTATCAAAGGAAGGTTCAACTCTGGGATTTGAATGCAAACATCACCAAGAAGTTTCTGAGAATGCTTCTGTTTAGTTTTTATGTGAAGATATTCCCGTTTCCAAAGACATCTTCGGAGAGGTCCACATATCCACTTGCAGATTCCACAAAAAGAGAGTTTCAACACTGCTCTATCCATAGGAGGGTTCAACTCTGTGAGTTGAATGCAATCATCACAGAGAAGTTTCTGAGAAGGCTTCTCTCCAGTTTTTATGTGACCATAATTCGTTTTCCACCACAGGCCTGAAAGCGCTCCAAATGTCCACTTGCAGACACTACGAAAAGCATGTTTCAGAACTACTCTATGAAAAGCAACGTGAAACTCTGGGAGTTGAACACAAACATCACAGAGAAGTTTCTGAGAATGCTTCTGTTTAGCTTTTCTGTGAAGATTCTCCCGTTTCCAACGAAATCTTCAAAGAGGTCGAAATATCCACTTGCAGATTCCACAGAAAGAGTGATTGGAAACTGCTGTTTGAAAAGGAACCTTCAACTCTGTGAGTTGAATGCAATCATCACAAAGAAGTTTCTGACAATGCTTCTATCTAGCTTTTACGGGAAGATAATTCCTTTTCCACCACAGGCCTCAAAGCTCCCCAAATGTCCACTTGCACATTCTGGAAAAAGAGTGTTTCAAAGCTTCTCTCTCGAAAGGAAAGTTCAACTCTGTGAGTTGAATGCAAGCATCACAAAGAAGTTTCTGAGAATGCTACTGTCTAGCTTTTATATGAAGCTATTTCCTTTACTACCATAGGCCTCAAAGCGGTCCATATCTCCACTTGCAGATTCTACACAAAGAGAGTTTCCAAACTGCTCTGTCAAAGGGAATGTTCAACTCTGTGACTTGAATGCAATCATCACAAAGTAGTTTCTGAGAATGCTTCTGTTTTAGTTCTGTGCGTTTTATCCCGTTTCCAACGAAATCCTCAGAGAGGCCCAAATATCCACTTGCAGATTCTACAAATAGTGTGTTTCGAAACTGCTCCATCCAAAGGAATGTTCAGCTCTGTGAGTTAAACTCAGTCGTCACCAAGAGTTTTCTGTGAATGCTTCTGTTTTAGTTCTGTGCGGTTTATCCCGTTTCCAACGAAATCCTCAGAGAGGACCAAATATCCACTTGCAGTTTCTACAAAAAGAGTGTTTCAAAGCTGCACTATCAAAGAAAGGTTCAGCACTGTGAGTTGAATGCAAACATCACGAAGAGGGCTCTGAGAATTCTTCTGTTTAGTTCTGTGCGGTTTATCCCGTTTCCAACGAAATCCTCAGAGAGGACCAAATATCCACCTGCAGTTTCTACAAGAAGAGTGTTTCAAAGCTGAACTATCAAAGAAAGGTTCAGCACTGTGAGTTGAATGCAAACATCACGAAGAGGGTTCTGAGAATGCTTCTGTCTTCTTTCTATAGGAAGTTATTTCCTTTACTACGGTAGGCCTCAAAGAAGTGCAATTATCCCCTTGCAGTTTCTACAAAAAGAGTGTTTCAAACCTGAACTATCAAAGAAAGGTTCCACACTGTGAGTTGAATGCAGACATCACGAAGAAGGTTCTGAGAATGCTTCTGTTTAGTCAGCTGAAATTATCCCGTTTCCAACGAATTCCTCAGAGAGGTCCAAATATGCACTTGCAGATTCTGCAGAAAGTGTGTTTCTAAACTGCTCCATCGCAAGGAATGTTCAGCTCTGTGAGTTCCACTCAATCATCCCAAAGAATTTTCTGAGAAAGCTTCTGTCTAGATGTCGTGTGAAGATATACCCGTTTCGAACGAAGGACACAGAGTGGTCCAAATATCCACTTGTAGATCCTGCAAAAAGAGTGTTTCAAACGTGAACTTTGAAAGGAAAGTTCAACTCTGGGATTTGAATGCAAACATCACAAAGAAGATTCTGAGACTGCTTCTGTATAGTTTTTATGTGAAGATGATTCCGTTTCCAACGAAATCTTCAAAGAGGTCCACATGTCCCCTTGCGGAGGCCACAGAAAGAGAGTTTCAAAACTGCGCTCTCAAAAGGAGTGTTCAACTCCGTGAGTTGAATGCAGTCATCACAGAGAAGCTTCTGAGAATGCTTCTATCTAGTATTTAGGTGAAGATATTTCCTTTTCCACCACAAACCACAAAGCCCTCCAAACGTCCACTTGCAGATTCTAGAAAAAGAGTGTTTCATAGCTGCTCTTTCCAAAGGAAAGTTCAACTTCTGGGAGTTGAATACAAACATCACCAAAAGGTTCCTGAGAATGCATCTGTCTAGTTTTTCTATGAAGCTATTCCCTTTACTACCATAGGCCTCAAAGCGCTCCAAATCTCCACTTGCACATTCCACAACAAGAGTGTTTCCAAACTGCTCTATCAATAGGAATGTTCAACTCTGTGAGGTGAATGCAATCATCACAAAGCAGTTTCTGAGAATGCTTCCGTTTAGTTAGGTGCAGTTATCCCGTTTCCAACGAAATCCTCAGAGAGGTCCAAATATCCACTTGTAGATTCTACAAAAAGTGTGTCTCAAACCTGCTCCATCCAAAGGAATGGTCAGCTCTGTGATTTAAACTCAATCATCACAAAGTATTTTCTGAGAATGCTTCTGTCTAGATTTTATGCGAAGATATACCCGTTTCGAACGAAGGCCACAGAGTGGTCCAAATAGCCACTTGCAGATCCTACAGAAAGAGTGTTTCAAACCTGAACTATCAAAGGAAGGTTCAACTCTGGGATTTGAATGCAAACATCACCAAGAAGTTTCTGAGAATGCTCTGTTTAGTTTTTATGTGAAGATATTCCCGTTTCCAAAGACATCTTCGGAGAGGTCCACATATCCACTTGCAGATTCCACAAAAAGAGAGTTTCAACACTGCTCTATCCATAGGAGGGTTCAACTCTGTGAGTTGAATGCAATCATCACAGAGAAGTTTCTGAGAAGGCTTTCTCTCCAGTTTTTATGTGACCATAATTCGTTTTCCACCACAGGCCTGAAAGCGCTCCAAATGTCCACTTGCAGACACTACGAAAAGCATGTTTCAGAACTACTCTATGAAAAGCAACGTGAAACTCTGGGAGTTGAACACAAACATCACAGAGAAGTTTCTGAGAATGCTTCTGTTTAGCTTTTCTGTGAAGATTCTCCCGTTTCCAACGAAATCTTCAAAGAGGTCGAAATATCCACTTGCAGATTCCACAGAAAGAGTGATTGGAAACTGCTGTTTGAAAAGGAACCTTCAACTCTGTGAGTTGAATGCAATCATCACAAAGAAGTTTCTGACAATGCTCTATCTAGCTTTTACGGGAAGATAATTCCTTTTCCACCACAGGCCTCAAAGCTCCCCAAATGTCCACTTGCACATTCTGGAAAAAGAGTGTTTCAAAGCTTCTCTCTCGAAAGGAAAGTTCAACTCTGTGAGTTGAATGCAAGCATCACAAAGTAGTTTCTGAGAATGCTACTGTCTAGCTTTTATATGAAGCTATTTCCTTTACTACCATAGGCCTCAAAGCGGTCCATATCTCCACTTGCAGATTCTACACAAAGAGAGTTTCCAAACTGCTCTGTCAAAGGGAATGTTCAACTCTGTGACTTGAATGCAATCATCACAAAGTAGTTTCTGAGAATGCTTCTGTTTTAGTTCTGTGCGGTTTATCCCGTTTCCAACGAAATCCTCAGAGAGGCCCATATATCCACTTGCAGATTCTACAAATAGTGTGTTTTGAAACTGCTCCATCCAAAGGAATGTTCAGCTCTGTGAGTTAAACTCAGTCGTCACCAAGAGTTTTCTGTGAATGCTTCTGTTTAGTTCTGGGCGTTTTATCCCTTTTCCAACGAAATCCTCAGAGAGGACCAAATATCCATTTGCAGTTTCTACAAAAAGAGTGTTTCAAAGCTGAACTATCAAAGAAAGGTTCAGCACTGTGAGTTGAATGCAAACATCACGAAGAGGGTTCTGAGAATGCTTCTGTCTTCTTTTTATAGGAAGTTATCTCCTTTACTACGGTAGGCCTCAAAGAAGTGCAATGATCCCCTTGCAGTTTCTACAAAAAGAGTGTTTCAAACCTGAACTATCAAAGAAAGGTTCCACACTGTGAGTTGAATGCAGACATCACGAAGAAGGTTCTGAGAATGCTTCTGTTTAGTCAGCTGAAATTATCCCGTTTCCAACGAATTCCTCAGAGAGGTCCACATATGCACTTGCAGATTCTGCAGAAAGTGTGTTTCTAAACTGCTACATCGCAAGGAGTGTTCAGCTCTGTTTGCTCAACTCAATCATCCCAAAGAATTTTCTGAGAAAGCTTCTGTCTAGATGTCATGTGAAGATATACCCGTTTCGAACGAAGGACACAGAGTGGTCCAAATATCCACTTGTAGATCCTGCAAAAAGAGTGTTTCAAACATGAACTTTGAAAGGAAAGTTCAACTCTGGGATTTGAATGCAAACATCACAAAGAAGATTCTGAGACTGCTTCTGTATAGTTTTGATGTGAAGATGATTCCGTTTCCAACGAAATCTTCAAAGAGGTCTACATGTCCCCTTGCAGATGCCACAGAAAGAGAGTTTCAAAACTGCGCTCTCAAAAGGAGTGTTCAACTCCGTGAGTTGAATGCAGTCATCACAGAGAAGCTTCTGAGAATGCTTCTCTCTAGTATTTAGGTGAAGATATTTCCTTTTCCACCACAAACCACAAAGCCCTCCAAACGTCCACTTGCAGATTCTAGAAAAAGAGTGTTTCATAGCTGCTCTTTCCAAAGGAAAGTTCAACTCTGGGAGTTGAATACAAACATCACCAAAAAGTTCCTGAGAATGCATCTGTCTAGTTTTTCTATGAAGCTATTCCCTTTACTACCATAGGCCTCAAAGCGCTCCAAATCTCCACTTGCACATTCCACAACAAGAGTGTTTCCAAACTGCTCTATCAATAGGAATGTTCAACTCTGTGAGGTGAATGCAATCATCACAAAGCAGTTTCTGAGAATGCTTCCGTTTAGTTAGGTGCAGTTATCCCGTTTCCAACGAAATCCTCAGAGAGGTCCAAATATCCACTTGTAGATTCTACAAAAAGTGTGTCTCAAACCTGCTCCATCCAAAGGAATGTTCAGCTCTGTGAGTTCAACTCAATCATCACAAAGTATTTTCTGAGAATGCTTCTGGCTAGATGTCATGTGAAGATATATCCGTTTCGAACGAAGGGCACAGAGTGGTCCAAATATCCACTTGTAGATCCTGCAAAAAGAGTGTTTCAAACCTGAACTATCAAAGGAAGGTTCAACTCTGGGATTTGAATGCAAACATCACCAAGAAGTTTCTGAGAATGCTTCTGTATAGTTTTTATGTGAAGATGATTCCGTTTCCAACGAAATCTTCCAAGAGGTCTACGTGTCCCCTTGCAGATGCCACAGAAAGAATGTTTCAAAACTGCGCTCTCAAAAGGACTGTTCAACTCCGTGAGTTGAATGCAGTCATCACAGAGAAGCTTCTGAGAATGCTTCTATCTAGTATTTAGGTGAAGATATTTCCTTTTCCACCACAAACCACGAAGCCCTCCAAACGTCCACTTGCAGATTCTAGAAAAAGAGTGTTTCATAGCTGCTCTTTCCAAAGGAAAGTTCAACTCTGGGAGTTGAATACAAACGTCACCAAAAAGTTCCTGACAATGCATCTGTCTAGTTTTTCTATGAAGCTATTCCCTTTACTACCATAGGCCTCAAAGCGCTCCAAATCTCCACTTGCACATTCCACAACAAGAGTGTTTCCAAACTGCTCTATCAATAGGAATGTTCAACTCTGTGAGGTGAATGCAATCATCACAAAGCAGTTTCTGAGAATGCTTCCGTTTAGTTAGGTGCAGTTATCCCGTTTCCAATGAAATCCTCAGAGAGGTGCAAATATCCACTTGTAGATTCTACAAAAAGTGTGTCTCAAACCTGCTCCATCCAAAGGAATGTTCAGCTCTGTGATTTAAACTCAATCATCACAAAGTATTTTCCTGAGAATGCTTCTGTCTAGATTTTATGCGAAGATATACCCGTTTCGAACGAAGGCCACAGAGTGGTCCAAATATCCACTTGCAGATCCTACAAAAAGAGTGTTTCAAACCTGAACTATCAAAGGAAGGTTCAACTCTGGGATTTGAATGCAAACATCACCAAGAAGTTTCTGAGAATGCTTCTGTTTAGTTTTTATGTGAAGATATTCCCGTTTCCAAAGACATCTTCGGAGAGGTCCACATATCCACTTGCAGATTCCACAAAAAGAGAGTTTCAACACTGCTCTATCCATAGGAGGGTTCAACTCTGTGAGTTGAATGCAATCATCACAGAGAAGTTTCTGAGAAGGCTTCTCTCCAGTTTTTATGTGACCATAATTCGTTTTCCACCAAAGGCCTGAAAGCGCTCCAAATGTCCACTTGCAGACACTACGAAAAGCATGTTTCAGAACTACTCTATGAAAAGCAATGTGAAACTCTGGGAGTTGAACACAAACATCACAGAGAAGTTTCTGAGAATGCTTCTGTTTAGCTTTTCTGTGAAGATTCTCCCGTTTCCAACGAAATCTTCAAAGAGGTCCAAATATCCACTTGCAGATTCCACAGAAAGAGTGATTGGAAACTGCTGTTTGAAAAGGAACCTTCAACACTGTGAGTTGAATGCAATCATCACAAAGAAGTTTCTGACAATGCTTCTATCTAGCTTTTACGGGAAGATAATTCCTTTTCCACCACAGGCCTCAAAGCCCTCCAAATGTCCACTTGCAGATTCTGGAAAAAGAGTGTTTCAAAGCTTCTCTCTCAAAAGGAAAGTTCAACTCTGTGAGTTGAATGCAAGCATCAGAAAGAAGTTTCTGAGAATGCTACTGTCTAGCTTTTATATGAAGCTATTTCCTTTACTACCATAGGCCTCAAAGCGGTCCATATCTCCACTTGCAGATTCTACACAAAGACAGTTTCCAAACTGCTCTGTCAAAGGGAATGTTCAACTCTGTGACTTGAATGCAATCATCACAAAGTAGTTTCTGAGAATGCTTCAGTTTAGTTCTGTGAGGTTTATCCCGTTTCCAACGAAATCCTCAGAGAGGCCCCAATATCCACTTGCACATTCTACAAATAGTGTGTTTCGAAACTGCTCCATCCAAAGGAATGTTCAGCTCTGTGTGTTAAACTCAGTCGTCACCAAGAGTTTTCTGTGAATGCTTCTGTTTTAGTTCTGTGCTGTTTATCCCGTTTCCAACGAAATCCTCAGAGAGGTCCAAATATCTACTTGCAGTTTCTACAGAAAGACCGTTTCAAACCTGAACTATCAAAGAAAGGTTCAACACTGTGAGTTGAATGCAAACATCACGAAGAAGGTTTTGAGAATGCTTCTGTTTAGTTCTGTGCGGTTTATCCCGTTTCCAACGAAATCCTCAGAGAGGACCAAATATCCACTTGCAGTTTCTACAAAAAGAGTGTTTCAAAGCTGAACTATCAAAGAAAGGTTCAGCACCGTGAGTTGAATGCAAACATCACGAAGAGGGTTCTGCGAATGCTTCTGTCTTCTTTTTATAGGAAGTTATTTCCTTTACTACGGTAGGCCTCAAGGAAGTGCAATTATCCCCTTGCAGTTACTACAAAAAGAGTGTTTCAAACCTGAACTATCAAAGAAAGGTTCCACACTGTGAGTTGAATGCAGACATCCCGAAGAAGGTTCTGAGAATGCTTCTGTTTAGTCAGCTGAAATTATCCCGTTTCTAATGAATTCCTCAGAGAGGTCCACATATGTACTTGCAGATTCTGCAGAAAGTGTGTTTCTAAACTGCTACATCACAAGGAGTGTTCAGCTCTGTTTGCTCAACTCAATCATCCCAAAGAATTTTCTGAGAAAGCTTCTGTCTAGATGTCGTGTGAAGATATACCCGTTTCGAACGAAGGACACAGAGTGGTCCAAATATCCACTTGTAGATCCTGCAAAAAGAGTGTTTCAAACGTGAACTTTGAAAGGAAAGTTCAACTCTGGGATTTGAATGCAAACATCACAAAGAAGATTCTGAGACTGCTTCTGTATAGTTTTTATGTGAAGATGATTCCGTTTCCAACGAAATCTTCAAAGAGGTCTACATGTCCCCTTGCAGATGCCACAGAAAGAGAGTTTCAAAACTACGCTCTCAAAAGGAGTGTTCAACTCCGTGAGTTGAATGCAGTCATCACAGAGAAGCTTCTGAGAATGCTTCTATCTAGTATTTAGGTGAAGATATTTCCTTTTCCACCACAAACCACAAAGCCCTCCAAACGTCCACTTGCAGATTCTAGAAAAAGAGTGTTTCATAGCTGCTCTTTCCAAAGGAAAGTTCAACTCTGGGAGTTGAATACAAACATCACCAAAAAGTTCCTGAGAATGCATCTGTCTAGTTTTTCTATGAAGCTATTCCCTTTACTACCATAGACCTCAAAGCGCTCCAAATCTCCACTTGCACATTCCACAACAAGAGTGTTTCCAAACTGCTCTATCAATAGGAATGTTCAACTCTGTGAGGTGAATGCAATCATCACAAAGCAGTTTCTGAGAATGCTTCCGTTTAGTTAGGTGCAGTTATCCCGTTTCCAACGAAATCCTCAGAGAGGTCCAAATATCCACTTGTAGATTCTACAAAAAGTGTGTCTCAAACCTGCTCCATCCAAAGGAATGTTCAGCTCTGTGATTTAAACTCAATCATCACAAAGTATTTTCTGAGAATGCTTCTGTCTAGACTTTATGTGAAGATATACCCGTTTCGAACGAAGGCCACAGAGTGGTCCAAATAGCCACTTGCAGATCCTACAAAAAGAGTGTTTCAAACCTGAACTATCAAAGGAAGGTTCAACTCTGGGATTTGAATGCAAACATCACCAAGAAGTTTCTGAGAATGCTTCTGTTTAGTTTTTATGTGAAGATATTCCCGTTTCCAAAGACATCTTCGGAGAGGTCCACATATCCACTTGCAGATTCCACAAAAAGAGAGTTTCAACACTGCTCTATCCATAGGAGGGTTCAACTCTGTGAGTTGAATGCAATCATCACAGAGAAGTTTCTGAGAAGGCTTCTCTCCAGTTTTTATGTGACCATAATTCGTTTTCCACCACAGGCCTGAAAGCGCTCCAAATGTCCACTTGTAGACACTACGAAAAGCATGTTTCAGAACTACTCTATGAAAAGCAATGTGAAACTCTGGGAGTTGAACACAAACATCACACAGAAGTTTCTGAGAATGCTTCTGTTTAGCTTTTCTGTGAAGATTCTCCCGTTTCCAACGAAATCTTCAAAGAGGTCCAAATATCCACTTGCAGATTCCACAGAAAGAGTGATTGGAAACTGCTCTTTGAAAAGGAACCTTCAACCCTGTGAGTTGAATGCAATCATCACAAAGAAGTTTCTGACAATGCTTCTCTCCAGTTTTTATGTGACCATAATTCGTTTTCCACCACAGGCCTGAAAGCGCTCCAAATGTCCACTTGCAGACACTACGAAAAGCATGTTTCAGAACTACTCTATGAGAAGCAATGTGAAACTCTGGGAGTTGAACACAAACATCACAGAGAAGTTTCTGAGAATGCTTCTGTTTAGCTTTTCTGTGAAGATTCTCCCGTTTCCAACGAAATCTTCAAAGAGGTCCAAATATCCACTTGCAGATTCCACAGAAAGAGTGATTGGAAACTGCTCTTTGAAAAGGAACCTTCAACTCTGTGAGTTGAATGCAATCATCACAAAGAAGTTTCTGACAATGCTTCTATCTAGCTTTTACGGGAAGTTAATTCCTTTTCCACCACAGGCCTCAAAGCCCTCCAAATGTCCACTTGCAGATTCTGGAAAAAGAGTGTTTCAAAGCTTCTCTCTCGAAAGGAAAGTTCAACTCTGTGAGTTGAATGCAAGCATCACAAAGAAGTTTCTGAGAATGCTACTGTCTAGCTTTTATATGAAGCTATTTCCTTTACTACCATAGGCCTCAAAGCGGTCCATATCTCCACTTGCAGATTCTACACAAAGAGAGTTTCCAAACTGCTCTGTCAAAGGGAATGTTCAACTCTGTGACTTGAATGCAATCATCACAAAGTAGTTTCTGAGAATGCTTCTGTTTAGTTCTGTGCGGTTTATCCCGTTTCCAACGAAATCCTCAGAGAGGCCTAAATATCCACTTGCACATTCTACAAATAGTGTGTTTCGAAACTGCTCCATCCAAAGGAATGTTCAGCTCTGTGAGTTAAACTCAGTCGTCACCAAGAGTTTTCTGTGAATGCTTCTGTTTTAGTTCTGTGCGGGTTATCCCGTTTCCAACGAAATCCTCAGAGAGGTCCAAATATCTACTTGCAGTTTCTACAGAAAGACCGTTTCAAACCTGAACTATCAAAGAAAGGTTCAACACTGTGAGTTGAATGCAAACATCACGAAGAAGGTTCTGAGAATGCTTCTGTTTAGTTCTGTGCAGTTTATCCCGTTTCCAACGAAATGCTCAGAGAGGACCAAATATCCACTTGCAGTTTCTACAAAAAGAGTGTTTCAAAGCTGAACTATCAAAGAAAGGTTCAGCACTGTGAGTTGAATGCAAACATCACGAAGAGGGTTCTGAGAATGCTTCTGTCTTCTTTTTATAGGAAGTTATTTCCTTTACTACGGTACTCCTCAAAGAGTGCAATTATCCCCTTGCAGTTTCTACAAAAAGAGTGTTTCAAACCTGAACTATCAAAGAAAGGTTCCACACTGTGAGTTGAATGCAGACATCACGAAGAAGGTTCTGAGAATGCTTCTGTTTAGTCAGCTGAAATTATCCCGTTTCCAACGAATTCCTCACAGAGGTCCAAATATGCACTTGCAGATTCTGCAGAAAGTGTGTTTCTAAACTGCTACATCGCAAGGAATGCTCAGCTCTGTGAGTTCAACTCAATCATCCCAAAGAATTTTCTGAGAAAGCTTCTGTCTAGATGTCATGTGAAGATATACCCGTTTCGAACGAAGGACACAGAGTGGTCCAAATATCCACTTGTAGATCCTGCAAAAAGAGTGTTTCAAACGTGAACTTTGAAAGGAAAGTTCAACTCGGGGATTTGAATGCAAACATCACAAAGAAGATTCTGAGACTGCTTCTGTGTAGTTTTTATGTGAAGATGATTCCGTTTCCAACGAAATCTTCAAAGAGGTCTACATGTCCCCTTGCAGATGCCACAGAAAGAGAGTTTCAAAACTGCGCTCTCAAAAGGAGTGTTCAACTCCGTGAGTTGAATGCAGTCATCACAGAGAAGCTTCTGAGGATGCTTCTATCTAGTATTTAGGTGAAGATATTTCCTTTTCCACCACAAACCACAAAGCCCTCCAAACGTCCACTTGCAGATTCTAGAAAAACAGTGTTTCATAGCTGCTCTTTCCAAAGGAAAGTTCAACTCTGGGAGTTGAATACAAACATCACCAAAAAGTTCCTGAGAATGCATCTGTCTAGTTTTTCTATGAAGCTATTCCCTTTACTACCATAGGCCTCAAAGCGCTCCAAATCTCCACTTGCACATTCCACAACAAGAGTGTTTCCAAACTGCTCTATCAATAGGAATGTTCAACTCTGTGAGGTGAATGCAATCATCACAAAGCAGTTTCTGAGAATGCTTCCGTTTAGTTAGGTGCAGTTATCCCGTTTCCAACGAAATCCTCAGAGAGGTCCAAATATCCACTTGTAGATTCTACAAAAGGTGTGTCTCAAACCTGCTCCATCCAAAGGAATGTTCAGCTCTGTGAGTTAAACTCAATCATCACAAAGTATTTTCTGAGAATGCTTCTGTCTAGATTTTATGCGAAGATATACCCGTTTCGAACGAAGGCCACAGAGTGGTCCAAATAGCCACTTGCAGATCCTACAAAAAGAGTGTTTCAAACCTGAACTATCAAAGGAAGGTTCAACTCTGGGATTTGAATGCAAACATCACCAAGAAGTTTCTGAGAATGCTTCTGTTTAGTTTTTATGTGAAGATATTCCCGTTTCCAAAGACATCTTCGGAGAGGTCCACATATCCACTTGCAGATTCCACAAAAAGAGAGTTTCAACACTGCTCTATCCATAGGGAGGGTTCAACTCTGTGAGTTGAATGCAATCATCACAGAGAAGTTTCTGAGAAGGCTTCTCTCCAGTTTTTATGTGACCATAATTCGTTTTCCACCACAGGCCTGAAAGCGCTCCAAATGTCCACTTGCAGACACTACGAAAAGCATGTTTCAGAACTACTCTATGAAAAGCAACGGTGAAACTCTGGGAGTTGAACACAAACATCACAGAGAAGTTTCTGAGAATGCTTCTGTTTTAGTTCTGTGCGTTTTATCCCGTTTCCAACGAAATCCTCAGAGAGGCCCAAATATCCACTTGCAGATTCCACAGAAAGAGTGATTGGAAACTGCTGTTTGAAAAGGAACCTTCAACTCTGTGAGTTGAATGCAATCATCACAAAGAAGTTTCTGACAATGCTTCTGTTTTGGTTCTGTGCGGTTTATCCCGTTTCCAACGAAATCCTCAGAGAGGACCAAACATCCACTTGCAGTTTCTACAAAAAGAGTGTTTCAAAGCTGCACTATCAAAGAAAGGTTCAGCACTGTGAGTTGAATGCAAACATCACGAAGAGGGCTCTGAGAATTCTTCTGTTTAGTTCTGTGCGGTTTATCCCGTTTCCAACGAAATCCTCAGAGAGGACCAAATATCCACTTGCAGTTTCTACAAGAAGAGTGTTTCAAAGCTGAACTATCAAAGAAAGGTTCAGCACTGTGAGTTGAATGCAAACATCACGAAGAGGGTTCTGAGAATGCTTCTGTCTTCTTTTTATAGGAAGTTATTTCCTTTACTACGGTACCCTCAAAGAGTGCAATTATCCCCTTGCAGTTTCTACGAAAAGAGTTTTTAAATCCTGAACTATCAAAGAATGGTTCCACACTTTGAGTTGAATGCAGACATCACGAAGAAGGTTCTGAGAATGCTTCTGTTTAGTCAGCTGAAATTATCCTGTTTCCAACGAATTCCTCAGAGAGGTCCAAATATGCACTTGCAGATTCTGCAGAAAGTGTGTTTCTAAACTGCTACATCGCAAGGAATACTCAGCTCTGTGAGTTCAACTCAATCATCCCAAAGAATTTTCTGAGAAAGCTTCTGTCTAGATGTCATGTGAAGATATACCCGTTTCGAACGAAGGACACAGAGTGGTCCAAATATCCACTTGTAGATCCTGCAAAAAGAGTGTTTCAAACGTGAACTTTGAAAGGAAAGTTCAACTCGGGGATTTGAATGCAAACATCACAAAGAAGATTCTGAGACTGCTTCTGTATAGTTTTTATGTGAAGATGATTCCGTTTCCAACGAAATCTTCAAAGAGGTCTACATGTCCCCTTGCAGATGCCACAGAAAGAGAGTTTCAAAACTGCGCTCTCAAAAGGAGTGTTCAACTCCGTGAGTTGAATGCAGTCATCACAGAGAAGCTTCTGAGAATGCTTCTATCTAGTATTTAGGTGAAGATATTTCCTTTTCCACCACAAACCACAAAGCCCTCCAAACGTCCACTTGCAGATTCTAGAAAAAGAGTGTTTCATAGCTGCTGTTTCCAAAGGAAAGTTCAACTCTGGGAGTTGAATACAAACATCACCAAAAAGTTCCTGAGAATGCATCTGTCTAGTTTTTCTATGAAGCTATTCCCTTTACTACCATAGGCCTCAAAGCGCTCCAAATCTCCACTTGCACATTCCACAACAGGAGTGTTTCCAAACTGCTCTATCAATAGGAATGTTCAACTCTGTGAGGTGAATGCAATCATCACAAACCAGTTTCTGAGAATGCTTCCGTTTAGTTAGGTGCAGTTATCCCGTTTCCAACGAAATCCTCAGAGAGGTCCAAATATCCACTTGTAGATTCTACAAAAAGTGTGTCTCAAACCTGCTCCATCCAAAGGAATGGTCAGCTCTGTGATTTAAACTCAATCATCACAAAGTATTTTCTGAGAATGCTTCTGTCTAGATTTTATGCGAAGATATACCCGTTTCGAACGAAGGCCACAGAGTGGTCCAAATAGCCACTTGCAGATCCTACAGAAAGAGTGTTTCAAACCTGAACTATCAAAGGAAGGTTCAACTCTGGGATTTGAATGCAAACATCACCAAGAAGTTTCTGAGAATGCTTCTGTTTTAGTTCTGTGCGTTTTATCCCGTTTCCAACGAAATCCTCAGAGAGGCCCAAATATCCACTTGCAGATTCCACAGAAAGAGTGATTGGAAACTGCTGTTTGAAAAGGAACCTTCAACTCTGTGAGTTGAATGCAATCATCACAAAGAAGTTTCTGACAATGCTTCTATCTAGCTTTTACGGGAAGATAATTCCTTTTCCACCACAGGCCTCAAAGCCCTCCAAATGTCCACTTGCACATTCTGGAAAAAGAGTGTTTCAAAGCTTCTCTCTCGAAAGGAAAGTTCAACTCTGTGAGTTGAATGCAAGCATCACAAAGAAGTTTCTGAGAATGCTACTGTCTAGCTTTTATATGAAGCTATTTCCTTTACTACCATAGGCCTCAAAGCGGTCCATATCTCCACTTGCAGATTCTACACAAAGAGAGTTTCCAAACTGCTCTGTCAAAGGGAATGTTCAACTCTGTGACTTGAATGCAATCATCACAAAGTAGTTTCTGAGAATGCTTCTGTTTAGTTCTGTGCGGTTTATCCCGTTTCCAATGAAATCCTCAGAGAGGCCCAAATATCCACTTGCACATTCTACAAATAGTGTGTTTTGAAACTGCTCCATCCAAAGGAATGTTCAGCTCTGTGAGTTAAACTCAGTCGTCACCAAGAGTTTTCTGTGAATGCTTCTGTTTTAGTTCTGTGCGGTTTATCCCGTTTCCAACGAAATCCTCAGAGAGGTCCAAATATCTACTTGCAGTTTCTACAGAAAGACCGTTTCCAACCTGAACTATCAAAGAAAGGTTCAACACTGTGAGTTGAATGCAAACATCACGAAGAAGGTTCTGAGAATGCTTCTGTTTACTTCTGTGCGGTTTATCCCGTTTCCAACGAAATCCTCAGAGAGGACCAAATATCCACTTGCAGTTTCTACAAGAAGAGTGTTTCAAAGCTGAACTATCAAAGAAAGGTTCAGCACTGTGAGTTGAATGCAAACATCACGAAGAGGGTTCTGAGAATGCTTCTGTCTTCTTTCTATAGGAAGTTATTTCCTTTACTACGGTAGGCCTCAAAGAAGTGCAATTATCCCCTTGCAGTTTCTACAAAAAGAGTGTTTCAAACCTGAACTATCAAAGAAAGGTTCCACACTGTGAGTTGAATGCAGACATCACGAAGAAGGTTCTGAGAATGCTTCTGTTTAGTCAGCTGAAATTATCCCGTTTCCAACGAATTCCTCAGAGAGGTCCAAATATGCACTTGCAGATTCTGCAGAAAGTGTGTTTCTAAACTGCTACATCGCAAGGAATGTTCAGCTCTGTGAGTTCCACTCAATCATCCCAAAGAATTTTCTGAGAAAGCTTCTGTCTAGATGTCCTGTGAAGATATACCCGTTTCGAACGAAGGACACAGAGTGGTCCAAATATCCACTTGTAGATCCTGCAAAAAGAGTGTTTCAAACGTGAACTTTGAAAGGAAAGTTCAACTCTGGGATTTGAATGCAAACATCACAAAGAAGATTCTGAGACTGCTTCTGTATAGTTTTGATGTGAAGATGATTCCGTTTCCAACGAAATCTTCAAAGAGGTCTACATGTCCCCTTGCAGATACCACAGAAACAGAGTTTCAAAACTGCGCTCTCAAAAGGAGTGTTCAACTCCGTGAGTTGAATGCAGTCATCACAGAGAAGCTTCTGAGTATGCTTCTATCTAGTATTGAGGTGAAGATATTTCCTTTTCCACCACAAACCACAAAGCCCTCCAAACGTCCACTTGCAGATTCTAGAAAAAGAGTGTTTCATAGCTGCTCTTTCCAAAGGAAAGTTCAACTCTGGGAGTTGAATACAAACATCACCAAAAAGTTCCTGAGAATGCATCTGTCTAGTTTTTCTATGAAGCTATTCCCTTTACTACCATAGGCCTCAAAGCGCTCCAAATCTCCACTTGCACATTCCACAACAAGAGTGTTTCCAAACTGCTCTATCAATAGGAATGGTCAACTCTGTGAGGTGAATGCAATCATCACAAAGCAGTTTCTGAGAATGCTTCCGTTTAGTTCGGTGCAGTTATCCCGTTTCCAACGAAATCCTCAGAGAGGTCCAAATATCCACTTGTGGATTCTACAAAAAGTGTGTCTCAAGTCTGCTCCATCCAAAGGAATGTTCAGCTCTGTGAGTTAAACTCAATCATCACAAAGTATTTTCTGAGAATGCTTCTGTCTAGATTTTATGCGAAGATGTACCCGTTTCGAACGAAGGCCACAGAGTGGTCCAAATATCCACTTGCAGATCCTACAAAAAGAGTGTTTCAAACCTGAACTATCAAAGGAAGGTTCAACTCTGGGATTTGAATGCAAACATCACCAAGAAGTTTCTGAGAATGCTTCTGTTTAGTTTCTATGTGAAGATATTCCCGTTTCCAAAGACATCTTCGGAGAGGTCCACATATCCACTTGCAGATTCCACAAAAAGAGAGTTTCAACACTGCTCTATCCATAGGAGGGTTCAACTCTGTGAGTTGAATGCAATCATCGCAGAGAAGTTTCTGAGAAGGCTTCTCTCCAGTTTTTATGTGACCATAATTCGTTTTCCACCACAGGCCTGAAAGCGCTCCAAATGTCCACTTGCAGACACTACGAAAAGCATGTTTCAGAACTACTCTATGAAAAGCAACGTGAAACTCTGGGAGTTGAACACAAACATCACAGAGAAGTTTCTGAGAATGCTTCTGTTTTAGTTCTGTGCGTTTTATCCCGTTTCCAACGAAATCCTCAGAGAGGCCCAAATATCGACTTGCAGATTCCACAGAAAGAGTGATTGGAAACTGCTGTTTGAAAAGGAACCTTCAACTCTGTGAGTTGAATGCAATCATCACAAAGAAGTTTCTGACAATGCTTCTGTTTTAGTTCTGTGCGGTTTATCCCGTTTCCAACGAAATCCTCAGAGAGGACCAAACATCCACTTGCAGTTTCTACAAAAAGAGTGTTTCAAAGCTGCACTATCAAAGAAAGGTTCAGCACTGTGAGTTGAATGCAAACATCACGAAGAGGGCTCTGAGAATTCTTCTGTTTAGTTCTGTGCGGTTTATCCCGTTTCCAACGAAATCCTCAGAGAGGACCAAATATCCACTTGCAGTTTCTACAAGAAGAGTGTTTCAAAGCTGAACTATCAAAGAAAGGTTCAGCACTGTGAGTTGAATGCAAACATCACGAAGAGGGTTCTGAGAATGCTTCTGTCTTCTTTCTATAGGAAGTTATTTCCTTTACTACGGTAGGCCTCAAAGAAGTGCAATTATCCCCTTGCAGTTTCTACAAAAAGAGTGTTTCAAACCTGAACTATCAAAGAAAGGTTCCACACTGTGAGTTGAATGCAGACATCACGAAGAAGTTCTGAGAATGCTTCTGTTTAGTCAGCTGAAATTATCCCGTTTCCAACGAATTCCTCAGAGAGGTCCAAATATGCACTTGCAGATTCTGCAGAAAGTGTGTTTCTAAACTGCTACATTGCAAGGAATGTTCAGCTCTGTGAGTTCCACTCAATCATCCCAAAGAATTTTCTGGGAAAGCTTCTGTCTAGATGTCATGTGAAGATATACCCGTTTCGAACGAAGGACACAGAGTGGTCCAAATATCCACTTGTAGATCCTGCAAAAAGAGTGTTTCAAACGTGAACTTTGAAAGGAAAGTTCAACTCTGGGATTTGAATGCAAACATCACAAAGAAGATTCTGAGACTGCTTCTGTATAGTTTTGATGTGAAGATGATTCCGTTTCCAACGAAATCTTCAAAGAGGTCTACATGTCCCCTTGCAGATGCCACAGAAAGAGAGTTTCAAAACTGCGCTCTCAAAAGGAGTGTTCAACTCCGTGAGTTGAATGCAGTCATCACAGAGAAGCTTCTGAGAATGCTTCTATCTAGTATTTAGGTGAAGATATTTCCTTTTCCACCACAAACCACAAAGCCTTCCAAACGTCCACTTGCAGATTCTAGAAAAAGAGTGTTTCATAGCTGCTCTTTCCAAAGGAAAGTTCAACTCTGGGAGTTGAATACAAACATCACCAAAAAGTTCCTGAGAATGCATCTGTCTAGTTTTTCTATGAAGCTATTCCCTTTACTACCATAGGCCTCAAAGCGCTCCAAATCTCCACTTGCACATTCCACAACAAGAGTGTTTCCAAACTGCTCTATCAATAGGAATGTTCAACTCTGTGAGGTGAATGCAATCATTACAAAGCAGTTTCTGAGAATGCTTACGTTTAGTTAGGTGTATTTATCCCGTTTCCAACGAAATCCTCAGAGAGGTCCAAATATCCACTTGTAGATTCTACAAAAAGTGTGTCTCAAACCTGCTCCATCCAAAGGAATGTTCAGCTCTGTGAGTTCAACTCAATCATCACAAAGTATTTTCTGAGAATGCTTCTGTCTAGATTTTATGCGAAGATGTACCCGTTTCGAACGAAGGCCACAGAGTGGTCCAAATATCCACTTGCAGATCCTACAAAAAGAGTGTTTCAAACCTGAACTCTCAAAGGAAGGTTCAACTCTGGGATTTGAATGCAAACATCACCAAGAAGTTTCTGAGAATGCTTCTGTTTAGTTTTTATGTGAAGATATTCCCGTTTCCAAAGACATCTTCGGAGAGGTCCACATATCCACTTGCAGATTCCACAAAAAGAGAGTTTCAACAATGCTCTATCCATAGGAGGGTTCAAATCTGTGAGTTGAATGCAATCATCACAGAGAAGTTTCTGAGAAGGCTTCTCTCCAGTTTTTATGGGACCATAATTCGTTTTCCACCACAGGCCTGAAAGCGCTCCAAATGTCCACTTGCAGACACTACGAAAAGCATGTTTCAGAACTACTCTATGAAAAGCAATGTGAAACTCTGGGAGTTGAACACAAACATCACAGAGAAGTTTCTGAGAATGCTTCTGTTTAGCTTTTCTGTGAAGATTCTCCCGTTTCCAACGAAATCTTCAAAGAGGTCCAAATATCCACTTGCAGATTCCACAGAAAGAGTGTTTGGAAACTGCTGTTTGTAAAGGAACCTTCATCTCTGTGAGTTGAATGCAATCATCACAAAGAAGTTTCTGACAATGCTTCTATCTAGCTTTTACGGGAAGTTAATTCCTTTTCCACCACAGGCCTCAAATCCCTCCAAATGTCCACTTGCAGATTCTGGAAAAAGAGTGTTTCAAAGCTTCTCTCTCGAAAGGAAAGTTCAACTCTGTGAGTTGAATGCAAGCATCACAAAGAAGTTTCTGAGAATGCTACTGTCTAGCTTTTATATGAAGCTATTTCCTTTACTACCATAGGCCTCAAAGCGGTCCATATCTCCACTTGCAGATTCTACACAAAGAGAGTTTCCAAACTGCTCTGTCAAAGGGAATGTTCAACTCTGTGACTTGAATGCAATCATCACAAAGTAGTTTCTGAGAATGCTTCTGTTTTAGTTCTGTGCGGTTTATCCCGTTTCCAACGAAATCCTCAGAGAGGCCCAAATATCCACTTGCAGATTCTACAAATAGTGTGTTTCGAAACTGCTCCATCCAAAGGAATGTTCAGCTCTGTGAGTTAAACTCAGTCGTCACCAAGAGTTTTCTGTGAATGCTTCTGTTTTAGTTCTGTGCGGTTTATCCCGTTTCCAACGAAATCCTCAGAGAGGACCAAATATCCACTTGCAGTTTCTACAAAAAGAGTGTTTCAAAGCTGCACTATCAAAGAAAGGTTCAGCACTGTGAGTTGAATGCAAACATCACGAAGAGGGCTCTGAGAATGCTTCTGTTTAGTTCTGTGCGGTTTATCCCGTTTCCAACGAAATCCTCAGAGAGGACCAAATATCCACTTGCAGTTTCTACAAGAAGAGTGTTTCAAAGCTGAACTATCAAAGAAAGGTTCAGCACTGTGAGTTGAATGCAAACATCACGAAGAGGGTTCTGAGAATGCTTCTGTCTTCTTTCTATAGGAAGTTATTTCCTTTACGACCGTAGGCCTCAAAGAAGTGCAATTATCCCCTTGCAGTTTCTACAAAAAGAGTGTTTCAAACCTGAACTATCAAAGAAAGGTTCCACACTGTGAGTTGAATGCAGACATCACGAAGAAGGTTCTGAGAATGCTTCTGTTTAGTCAGCTGAAATTATCCCGTTTCCAACGAATTCCTCAGAGAGGTCCACATATGCACTTGCAGATTCTGCAGAAAGTGTGTTTCTAAACTGCTACATCGCAAGGAATGTTCAGCTCTGTGAGTTCCACTCAATCATCCCAAAGAATTTTCTGAGAAAGCTTCTGTCTAGATGTCGTGTGAAGATATACCCGTTTCGAACGAAGGACACAGAGTGGTCCAAATATCCACTTGTAGATCCGGCAAAAAGAGTGTTTCAAACGTGAACTTTGAAAGGAAAGTTCAACTCTGGGATTTGAATGCAAACATCACAAAGAAGATTCTGAGACTGCTTCTGTATAGTTTTTATGAGAAGATGATTCCGTTTCCAACGAAATCTTCAAAGAGGTCTACATGTCCCCTTGCAGATGCCACAGAAAGAGAGTTTCAAAACTGCGCTCTCAAAAGGAGTGTTCAACTCCGTGAGTTGAATGCAGTCATCACAGAGAAGCTTCTGAGAATGCTTCTGTCTAGTATTTAGGTGAAGATATTTCCTTTTCCACCACAAACCACAAAGCCCTCCAAACGTCCGCTTGCAGATTCTAGAAAAAGAGTGTTTCATAGCTGCTCTTTCCAAAGGAAAGTTCAACTCTGGGAGTTGAATACAAACATCACCAAAAAGTTCCTGAGAATGCATCTGTCTAGTTTTTCTATGAAGCTATTCCCTTTACTACCATAGGCCTCAAAGCGCTCCAAATCTCCACTTGCACATTCCACAACAAGAGTGTTTCCAAACTGCTCTATCAATAGGAATGTTCAACTCTGTGAGGTGAATGCAATCATCACAAAGCAGTTTCTGAGAATGCTTCCGTTTAGTTAGGTGCAGTTATCCCGTTTCCAACGAAATCCTCACAGAGGTCCAAATATCCACTTGTAGATTCTACAAAAAGTGTGTCTCAAACCTGCTCCATCCAAAGGAATGTTCAGCTCTGTGAGTTAAACTCAATCATCACAAAGTATTTTCTGAGAATGCTTCTGTCTAGATTTTATGCGAAGATGTACCCGTTTCGAACGAAGGCCACAGAGTGGTCCAAATATCCACTTGCAGATCCTACAAAAAGAGTGTTTCAAACCTGAACTATCAAAGGAAGGTTCAACTCTGGGATTTGAATGCAAACATCACCAAGAAGTTTCTGAGAATGCTTCTGTTTAGTTTTTATGTGAAGATATTCCCGTTTCCAAAGACATCTTCGGAGAGGTCCACATATCCACTTGCAGATTCCACAAAAAGAGAGTTTCAACACTGCTCTATCCATAGGAGGGTTCAACTCAGTGAGTTGAATGCAATCATCACAGAGAAGTTTCTGAGAAGGCTTCTCTCCAGTTTTTATGTGACCATAATTCGTTTTCCACCACAGGCCTGAAAGCGCTCCAAATGTCCACTTGCAGACACTACGAAAAGCATGTTTCAGAACTACTCTATGAAAAGCAATGTGAAACTCTGGGAGTTGAACACAAACATCACAGAGAAGTTTCTGAGAATGCTTCTGTTTAGCTTTTCTGTGAAGATTATCCCGTTTCCAAGGAAATCTTCAAAATAGGTCCAAATATCCACTTGCAGATTCCACAGAAAGAGTGATTGGAAACTGCTGTTTGAAAAGGAACCTTCAACTCTGTGAGTTGAATGCAATCATCACAAAGAAGTTTCTGACAATGCTTCTATCTAGCTTTTACGGGAAGATAATTCCTTTTCCACCACAGGCCTCAAAGCCCTCCAAATGTCCACTTGCAGATTCCGGAAAAAGAGTGTTTCAAAGCTTCTCTCTCGAAAGGAAAGTTCAACTCTGTGAGTTGAATGCAAGCATCACAAAGAAGTTTCTGAGAATGCTACTGTCTAGCTTTTATATGAAGCTATTTCCTTTACTACCATAGGCCTCAAAGCGGTCCATATCTCCACTTGCAGATTCTACACAAAGAGAGTTTCCAAACTGCTCTGTCAAAGGGAATGTTCAACTCTGTGACTTGAATGCAATCATCACAAAGTAGTTTCTGAGAATGCTTCTGTTTAGTTCTGTGCGGTTTATCCCGTTTCCAACGAAATCCTCAGAGAGGCCCAAATATCCACTTGCACATTCTACAAATAGTGTGTTTCGAAACTGATCCATCCAAAGGAATGTTCAGCTCTGTGAGTTAAACTCAGTCGTCACCAAGAGTTTTCTGTGAATGCTTCTGTTTTAGTTCTGTGCGGGTTATCCCGTTTCCAACGAAATCCTCAGAGAGGTCCAAATATCTACTTGCAGTTTCTACAGAAAGACCGTTTCAAACCTGAACTATCAAAGAAAGGTTCAACACTGTGAGTTGAATGCAAACATCACGAAGAAGGTTCTGAGAATGCTTCTGTTTAGTTCTGTGCAGTTTATCCCGTTTCCAACGAAATCCTCAGAGAGGACCAAATATCCACTTGCAGTTTCTACAAAAAGAGTGTTTCAAAGCTGAACTATCAAAGAAAGGTTCAGCACTGTGAGTTGAATGCAAACATCACGAAGAGGGTTCTGAGAATGCTTCTGTCTTCTTTTTATAGGAAGTTATTTCCTTTACTACGGTACTCCTCAAAGAGTGCAATTATCCCCTTGCAGTTTCTACAAAAAGAGTGTTTCAAACCTGAACTATCAAAGAAAGGTTCCACACTGTGAGTTGAATGCAGACATCACGAAGAAGGTTCTGAGAATGCTTCTGTTTAGTCAGCTGAAATTATCCCGTTTCCAACGAATTCCTCACAGAGGTCCAAATATGCACTTGCAGATTCTGCAGAAAGTGTGTTTCTAAACTGCTACATCGCAAGGAATGCTCAGCTCTGTGAGTTCAACTCAATCATCCCAAAGAATTTTCTGAGAAAGCTTCTGTCTAGATGTCATGTGAAGATATACCCGTTTCGAACGAAGGACACAGAGTGGTCCAAATATCCACTTGTAGATCCTGCAAAGAGAGTGTTTCAAACGTGAACTTTGAAAGGAAAGTTCAACTCTGGGATTTGAATGCAAACATCACAAAGAAGATTCTGAGACTGCTTCTGTATAGTTTTTATGTGAAGATGATTCCGTTTCCAACGAAATCTTCAAAGAGGTCTACATGTCCCCTTGCAGATGCCACAGAAAGAGAGTTTCAAAACTGCGCTCTCAAAAGGAGTGTTCAACTCCGTGAGTTGAATGCAGTCATCACAGAGAAGCTTCTGAGAATGCTTCTGTCTAGTATTTAGGTGAAGATATTTCCTTTTCCACCACAAACCACAAAGCCCTCCAAACGTCCACTTGCAGATTCTAGAAAAAGAGTGTTTCATAGCTGCTCTTTCCAAAGGAAAGTTCAACTCTGGGAGTTGAATACAAACATCACCAAAAAGTTCCTGAGAATGCATCTGTCTAGTTTTTCTATGAAGCTATTCCCTTTACTACCATAGGCCTCAAAGCGCTCCAAATCTCCACTTGCACATTCCACAACAAGAGTGTTTCCAAACTGCTCTATCAATAGGAATGTTCAACTCTGTGAGGTGAATGCAATCATCACAAAGCAGTTTCTGAGAATGCTTCCGTTTAGTTAGGTGCAGTTATCCCGTTTCCAACGAAATCCTCAGAGAGGTCCAAATATCCACTTGTAGATTCTACAAAAAGTGTGTCTCAAACCTGCTCCATCCAAAGGAATGGTCAGCTCTGTGATTTAAACTCAATCATCACAAAGTATTTTCTGAGAATGCTTCTGTCTAGATTTTATGCGAAGATATACCCGTTTCGAACGAAGGCCACAGAGTGGTCCAAATAGCCACTTGCAGATCCTACAGAAAGAGTGTTTCAAACCTGAACTATCAAAGGAAGGTTCAACTCTGGGATTTGAATGCAAACATCACCAAGAAGTTTCTGAGAATGCTTCTGTTTAGTTTTTATGTGAAGATATTCCCGTTTCCAAAGACATCTTCGGAGAGGTCCACATATCCACTTGCAGATTCCACAAAAAGAGAGTTTCAACACTGCTCTATCCATAGGAGGGTTCAACTCTGTGAGTTGAATGCAATCATCACAGAGAAGTTTCTGAGAAGGCTTCTCTCCAGTTTTTATGTGACCATAATTCGTTTTCCACCACAGGCCTGAAAGCGCTCCAAATGTCCACTTGCAGACACTACGAAAAGCATGTTTCAGAACTACTCTATGAAAAGCAACGTGAAACTCTGGGAGTTGAACACAAACATCACAGAGAAGTTTCTGAGAATGCTTCTGTTTTAGTTCTGTGCGTTTTATCCCGTTTCCAACGAAATCCTCAGAGAGGCCCAAATATCCACTTGCAGATTCCACAGAAAGAGTGATTGGAAACTGCTGTTTGAAAAGGAACCTTCAACTCTGTGAGTTGAATGCAATCATCACAAAGAAGTTTCTGACAATGCTTTTCTGTTTTAGTTCTGTGCAGTTTATCCCGTTTCCAACGAAATCCTCAGAGAGGACCAAATATCCACTTGCAGTTTCTACAAAAAGAGTGTTTCAAAGCTGCACTATCAAAAAAGGTTCAGCACTGTGAGTTGAATGCAAACATCACGAAGAGGGCTCTGAGAATTCTTCTGTTTAGTTCTGTGCGGTTTATCCCGTTTCCAACGAAATCCTCAGAGAGGACCAAATATCCACTTGCAGTTTCTACAAGAAGAGTGTTTCAAAGCTGAACTATCAAAGAAAGGTTCAGCACTGTGAGTTGAATGCAAACATCACGAAGAGGGTTCTGAGAATGCTTCTGTCTTCTTTCTATAGGAAGTTATTTCCTTTACGACGGTAGGCCTCAAAGAAGTGCAATTATCCCCTTGCAGTTTCTACAAAAAGAGTGTTTCAAACCTGAACTATCAAAGAAAGGTTCCACACTGTGAGTTGAATGCAGACATCACGAAGAAGGTTCTGAGAATGCTTCTGTTTAGTCAGCTGAAATTATCCCGTTTCCAACGAATTCCTCAGAGAGGTCCAAATATGCACTTGCAGATTCTGCAGAAAGTGTGTTTCTAAACTGCTACATCGCAAGGAATGTTCAGCTCTGTGAGTTCCACTCAATCATCCCAAAGAATTTTCTGAGAAAGCTTCTGTCTAGATGTCATGTGAAGATATACCCGTTTCGAACGAAGGACACAGAGTGGTCCAAATATCCACTTGTAGATCCTGCAAAAAGAGTGTTTCAAACGTGAACTTTGAAAGGAAAGTTCAACTCTGGGATTTGAATGCAAACATCACAAAGAAGATTCTGAGACTGCTTCTGTATAGATTTTATGTGAAGATGATTCCGTTTCCAACGAAATCTTCAAAGAGGTCTACATGTCCCCTTGCAGATGCCACAGAAAGAGAGTTTCAAAACTGTGCTCTCAAAAGGAGTGTTCAACTCCGTGAGTTGAATGCAGTCATCACAGAGAAGCTTCTGAGAATGCTTCTATCTAGTATTTAGGTGAAGATATTTCCTTTTCCACCACAAAACCACAAAGCCCTCCAAACGTCCACTTGCAGATTCTAGAAAAAGAGTGTTTCATAGCTGCTCTTTCCAAAGGAAAGTTCAACTCTGGGAGTTGAATACAAACATCACCAAAAAGTTCCTGAGAATGCATCTGTCTAGTTTTTCTATGAAGCTATTCCCTTTACTACCATAGGCCTCAAAGCGTTCCAAATCTCCACTTGCACATTCCACAACAAGAGTGTTTCCAAACTGCTCTATCAATAGGAATGTTCAACTCTGTGAGGTGAATGCAATCATCACAAAGCAGTTTCTGGGAATGCTTCCGTTTAGTTAGGTGCAGTTATCCCGTTTCCAACGAAATCCTCAGAGAGGTCCAAATATCCACTTGTAGATTCTACAAAAAGTGTGTCTCAAACCTGCTCCATCCAAAGGAATGTTCAGCTCTGTGAGTTCAACTCAATCATCACAAAGTATTTTCTGAGAATGCTTCTGTCTAGATTTTATGCGAAGATGTACCCGTTTCGAACGAAGGCCACAGAGTGGTCCAAATATCCACTTGCAGATCCTACAAAAAGAGTGTTTCAAACCTGAACTATCAAAGGAAGGTTCAACTCTGGGATTTGAATGCAAACATCACCAAGAAGTTTCTGAGAATGCTTCTGTTTAGTTTTTATGTGAAGATATTCCCGTTTCCAAAGACATCTTCGGAGAGGTCCACATATCCACTTGCAGATTCCACAAAAAGAGAGTTTCAACACTGCTCTATCCATAGGAGGGTTCAACTCTGTGAGTTGAATGCAATCATCACAGAGAAGTTTCTGAGAAGGCTTCTCTCCAGTTTTTATGTGACCATAATTCGTTTTCCAACACAGGCCTGAAAGCGCTCCAAATGTCCACTTGCAGACACTACGAAAAGCATGTTTCAGAACTCCTCTATGAAAAGCAACGTGAAACTCTGGGAGTTGAACACAAACATCACAGAGAAGTTTCTGAGAATGCTTCTGTTTTAGTTCTGTGCGTTTTATCCCGTTTCCAACGAAATCCTCAGAGAGGCCCAAATATCCACTTGCAGATTCCACAGAAAGAGTGATTGGAAACTGCTGTTTGAAAAGGAACCTTCAACTCTGTGAATTGAATGCAATCATCACAAAGAAGTTTCTGACAATGCTTCTGTTTTAGTTCTGTGCGGTTTATCCCGTTTCCAACGAAATCCTCAGAGAGGACCAAACATCCACTTGCAGTTTCTACAAAAAGAGTGTTTCAAAGCTGCACTATCAAAGAAAGGTTCAGCACTGTGAGTTGAATGCAAACATCACGAAGAAGGCTCTGAGAATTCTTCTGTTTAGTTCTGTGCGGTTTATCCCGTTTCCAACGAAATCCTCAGAGAGGACCAAATATCCACTTGCAGTTTCTACAAGAAGAGTGTTTCAAAGCTGAACTATCAAAGAAAGGTTCAGCACTGTGAGTTGAATGCAAACATCACGAAGAGGGTTCTGAGAATGCTTCTGTCTTCTTTTTATAGGAAGTTATTTCCTTTACTACGGTAGGCCTCAAAGCAGTGCAATTATCCCCTTGCAGTTTCTACAAAAAGAGTGTTTCAAACCTGAACTATCAAAGAAAGCTTCCACACTGTGAGTTGAATGCAGACATCACGAAGAAGGTTCTGAGAATGCTTCTGTTTAGTCAGCTGAAATTATCCCGTTTCCAACGAATTCCTCAGAGAGGTCCAAATATGCACTTGCAGATTCTGCAGAAAGTGTGTTTCTAAACTGCTACATCGCAAGGAATGTTCAGCTCTGTGAGTTCCACTCAATCATCCCAAAGAATTTTCTGAGAAAGCTTCTGTCTAGATGTCATGTGAAGATATACCCGTTTCGAACGAAGGACACAGAGTGGTCCAAATATCCACTTGTAGATCCTGCAAAAAGAGTGTTTCAAACGTGAACTTTGAAAGGAAAGTTCAACTCTGGGATTTGAATGCAAACATCACAAAGAAGATTCTGAGACTGCTTCTGTATAGTTTTTTTGTGAAGATGATTCCGTTTCCAAGGAAATCCTCAAAGAGGTCTACATGTCCCCTTGCAGATGCCACAGAAAGAGAGTTTCAAAACTGTGCTCTCAAAAGGAGTGTTCAACTCCGTGAGTTGAATGCAGTCATCACAGAGAAGCTTCTGAGAATGCTTCTATCTAGTATTTAGGTGAAGATATTTCCTTTTCCACCACAAACCACAAAGCCCTCCAAACGTCCACTTGCAGATTCTAGAAAAACAGTGTTTCATAGCTGCTCTTTCCAAAGGAAAGTTCAACTCTGGGAGTTGAATACAAACATCACCAAAAAGTTCCTGAGAATGCATCTGTCTAGTTTTTCTATGAAGCTATTCCCTTTACTACCACAGGCCTCAAAGCGCTCCAAATCTCCACTTGCACATTCCACAACAAGAGTGTTTCCAAACTGCTCTATCAATAGGAATGTTCAACTCTGTGAGGTGAATGCAATCATCACAAAGCAGTTTCTGAGAATGCTTCCGTTTAGTTAGGTGCAGTTATCCCGTTTCCAACGAAATCCTCAGAGAGGTCCAAATATCCACTTGTAGATTCTACAAAAAGTGTGTCTCAAACCTGCTCCATCCAAAGGAATGGTCAGCTCTGTGATTTAAACTCAATCATCACAAAGTATTTTCTGAGAATGCTTCTGTCTAGATTTTATGCGAAGATATACCCGTTTCGAACGAAGGCCACAGAGTGGTCCAAATAGCCACTTGCAGATCCTACAGAAAGAGTGTTTCAAACCTGAACTATCAAAGGAAGGTTCAACTCTGGGATTTGAATGCAAACATCACCAAGAAGTTTCTGAGAATGCTCTGTTTAGTTTTTATGTGAAGATATTCCCGTTTCCAAAGACATCTTCGGAGAGGTCCACATATCCACTTGCAGATTCCACAAAAAGAGAGTTTCAACACTGCTCTATCCATAGGAGGGTTCAACTCTGTGAGTTGAATGCAATCATCACAGAGAAGTTTCTGAGAAGGCTTTCTCTCCAGTTTTTATGTGACCATAATTCGTTTTCCACCACAGGCCTGAAAGCGCTCCAAATGTCCACTTGCAGACACTACGAAAAGCATGTTTCAGAACTACTCTATGAAAAGCAACGTGAAACTCTGGGAGTTGAACACAAACATCACAGAGAAGTTTCTGAGAATGCTTCTGTTTAGCTTTTCTGTGAAGATTCTCCCGTTTCCAACGAAATGTTCAAAGAGGTCCAAATATCCACTTGCAGATTCCACAGAAAGAGTGATTGGAAACTGCTCTTTGAAAAGGAACCTTCAACTCTGTGACTTGAATGCAATCATCACAAAGAAGTTTCTGACAATGCTTCTATCTAGCTTTTACGGGAAGATAATTCCTTTTCCACCACAGGCCTCAAAGCCCTCCAAATGTCCACTTGCAGATTCTGGAAAAAGAGTGTTTCAAAGCTTCTCTCTCGAAAGGAAAGTTCAACTCTGTGAGTTGAATGCAAGCATCACAAAGAAGTTTCTGAGAATGCTGCTGTCTAGCTTTTATATGAAACTATTTCCTTTACTACCATAGGCCTCAAAGCGGTCCATAGCTCCACTTGCAGATTCTACACAAAGAGAGTTTCCAAACTGCTCTGTCAAAGGGAATGTTCAACTCTGTGACTTGAATGCAATCATCACAAAGTAGTTTCTGAGAATGCTTCTGTTTAGTTCTGTGCGGTTTATCCCGTTTCCAACGAAATCCTCAGAGAGGCCCAAATATCCACTTGCACATTCTACAAATAGTGTGTTTCGAAACGGCTCCATCCAAAGGAATGTTCAGCTCTGTGAGTTAAACTCAGTCGTCACCAAGAGTTTTCTGTGAATGCTTCTGTTTATTTCTGTGCGATTTATCCCGTTTCCAACGAAATCCTCAGAGAGGTCCTAGTATCTCCTTGCAGTTTCTACAGAAAGACCGTTTCAAACCTGAACTATCAAAGAAAGGTTCAACACTGTGAGTTGAATGCAAACATCACGAAGAAGGTTCTGAGAATGCTTCTGTCTTCTTTCTATAGGAAGTTATTTCCTTTACTACGGTAGGCCTCAAAGAAGTGCAATTATCCCCTTGCAGTTTCTACAAAAAGAGTGTTTCAAACCTGAACTATCAAAGAAAGGTTCCACACTGTGAGTTGAATGCAGACATCACGAAGAAGGTTCTGAGAATGCTTCTGTTTAGTCAGCTGAAATTATCCCGTTTCCAACGAATTCCTCAGAGAGGTCCAAATATGCACTTGCAGATTCTGCAGAAAGTGTGTTTCTAAACTGCTACATCGCAAGGAATGTTCAGCTCTGTGAGTTCCACTCAATCATCCCAAAGAATTTTCTGAGAAAGCTTCTGTCTAGATGTCGTGTGAAGATATACCCGTTTCGAACGAAGGACACAGAGTGGTCCAAATATCCACTTGTAGATCCTGCAAAAAGAGTGTTTCAAACGTGAACTTTGAAAGGAAAGTTCAACTCTGGGATTTGAATGCAAACATCACAAAGAAGATTCTGAGACTGCTTCTGTATAGTTTTTATGTGAAGATGATTCCGTTTCCAACGAAATCTTCAAAGAGGTCTACATGTCCCCTTGCAGATGCCACAGAAAGAGAGTTTCAAAACTGCGCTCTCAAAAGGAGTGTTCAACTCCGTGAGTTGAATGCAGTCATCACAGAGAAGCTTCTGAGAATGCTTCTATCTAGTATTTAGGTGAAGATATTTCCTTTTCCACCACAAACCACAAAGCCCTCCAAACGTCCACTTGCAGATTCTAGAAAAAGAGTGTTTCATAGCTGCTCTTTCCAAAGGAAAGTTCAACTCTGGGAGTTGAATACAAACATCACCAAAAAGTTCCTGAGAATGCATCTGTCTAGTTTTTCTATGAAGCTATTCCCTTTACTACCACAGGCCTCAAAGCGCTCCAAATCTCCACTTGCACATTCCACAACAAGAGTGTTTCCAAACTGCTCTATCAATAGGAATGTTCAACTCTGTGAGGTGAATGCAATCATCACAAAGCAGTTTCTGAGAATGCTTCCGTTTAGTTAGGTGCAGTTATCCCGTTTCCAACGAAATCCTCAGAGAGGTCCAAATATCCACTTGTAGATTCTACAAAAAGTGTGTCTCAAACCTGCTCCATCCAAAGGAATGGTCAGCTCTGTGATTTAAACTCAATCATCACAAAGTATTTTCTGAGAATGCTTCTGTCTAGATTTTATGCGAAGATATACCCGTTTCGAACGAAGGCCACAGAGTGGTCCAAATAGCCACTTGCAGATCCTACAGAAAGAGTGTTTCAAACCTGAACTATCAAAGGAAGGTTCAACTCTGGGATTTGAATGCAAACATCACCAAGAAGTTTCTGAGAATGCTTCTGTTTAGTTTTTATGTGAAGATATTCCCGTTTCCAAAGACATCTTCGGAGAGGTCCACATATCCACTTGCAGATTCCACAAAAAGAGAGTTTCAACACTGCTCTATCCATAGGAGGGTTCAACTCTGTGAGTTGAATGCAATCATCACAGAGAAGTTTCTGAGAAGGCTTCTCTCCAGTTTTTATGTGACCATAATTCGTTTTCCACCACAGGCCTGAAAGCGCTCCAAATGTCCACTTGCAGACACTACGAAAAGCATGTTTCAGAACTACTCTATGAAAAGCAACGTGAAACTCTGGGAGTTGAACACAAACATCACAGAGAAGTTTCTGAGAATGCTTCTGTTTTAGTTCTGTGCGTTTTATCCCGTTTCCAACGAAATCCTCAGAGAGGCCCAAATATCCACTTGCAGATTCCACAGAAAGAGTGATTGGAAACTGCTGTTTGAAAAGGAACCTTCAACTCTGTGAGTTGAATGCAATCATCACAAAGAAGTTTCTGACAATGCTTCTGTTTTAGTTCTGTGCGGTTTATCCCGTTTCCAACGAAATCCTCAGAGAGGACCAAACATCCACTTGCAGTTTCTACAAAAAGAGTGTTTCAAAGCTGCACTATCAAAGAAAGGTTCAGCACTGTGAGTTGAATGCAAACATCACGAAGAGGGCTCTGAGAATTCTTCTGTCTTCTTTCTATAGGAAGTTATTTCCTTTACTACGGTAGGCCTCAAAGAAGTGCAATTATCCCCTTGCAGTTTCTACAAAAAGAGTGTTTCAAACCTGAACTATCAAAGAAAGGTTCCACACTGTGAGTTGAATGCAGACATCACGAAGAAGTTCTGAGAATGCTTCTGTTTAGTCAGCTGAAATTATCCCGTTTCCAACGAATTCCTCAGAGAGGTCCAAATATGCACTTGCAGATTCTGCAGAAAGTGTGTTTCTAAACTGCTACATCGCAAGGAATGTTCAGCTCTGTGAGTTCCACTCAATCATCCCAAAGAATTTTCTGAGAAAGCTTCTGTCTAGATGTCATGTGAAGATATACCCGTTTCGAACGAAGGACACAGAGTGGTCCAAATATCCACTTGTAGATCCTGCAAAAAGAGTGTTTCAAACGTGAACTTTGAAAGGAAAGTTCAACTCTGGGATTTGAATGCAAACATCACAAAGAAGATTCTGAGACTGCTTCTGTATAGTTTTTATGTGAAGATGATTCCGTTTCCAACGAAATCTTCAAAGAGGTCTACATGTCCCCTTGCAGATGCCACAGAAAGAGAGTTTCAAAACTGCGCTCTCAAAAGGAGTGTTCAACTCCGTGAGTTGAATGCAGTCATCACAGAGAAGCTTCTGAGAATGCTTCTATCTAGTATTTAGGTGAAGATATTTCCTTTTCCACCACAAACCACAAAGCCCTCCAAACGTCCACTTGCAGATTCTAGAAAAAGAGTGTTTCATAGCTGCTCTTTCCAAAGGAAAGTTCAACTCTGGGAGTTGAATATAAACATCACCAAAAAGTTCCTGAGAATGCATCTGTCTAGTTTTTCTATGAAGCTATTCCCTTTACTACCATAGGCCTCAAAGCGCTCCAAATCTCCACTTGCACATTCCACAACAAGAGTGTTTCCAAACTGCTCTATCAATAGGAATGTTCAACTCTGTGAGGTGAATGCAATCATCACAAAGCAGTTTCTGAGAATGCTTCCGTTTAGTTAGGTGCAGTTATCCCGTTTCCAACGAAATCCTCAGAGAGGTCCAAATATCCACTTGTAGATTCTACAAAATGTGTGTCTCAAACCTGCTCCATCCAAAGGAATGTTCAGCTCTGTGATTTAAACTCAATCATCACAAAGTATTTTCTGAGAATGCTTCTGTCTAGATTTTATGCGAAGATATACCCGTTTCGAACGAAGGCCACAGAGTGGTCCAAATAGCCACTTGCAGATCCTACAAAAAGAGTGTTTCAAACCTGAACTATCAAAGGAAGGTTCAACTCTGGGATTTGAATGCAAACATCACCAAGAAGTTTCTGAGAATGCTTCTGTTTAGTTTTTATGTGAAGATATTCCCGTTTCCAAAGACATCTTCGGAGAGGTCCACATATCCACTTGCAGATTCCACAAAAAGAGAGTTTCAACACTGCTCTATCCAATAGGAGGGTTCAACTCAGTGAGTTGAATGCAATCATCACAGAGAAGTTTCTGAGAAGGCTTCTCTCCAGTTTTTATGTGACCATAATTCGTTTTCCACCACAGGCCTGAAAGCGCTCCAAATGTCCACTTGCAGACACTACGAAAAGCATGTTTCAGAACTACTCTATGAAAAGCAACGTGAAACTCTGGGAGTTGAACACAAACATCACAGAGAAGTTTCTGAGAATGCTTCTGTTTAGCTTTTCTGTGAAGATTATCCCCTTTCCAAAGAAATCTTCAAAGAGGTCCAAATATCCACTTGCAGATTCCACAGAAAGAGTGTTTGGAAACTGCTGTTTGAAAAGGAACCTTCAACTCTGTGAGTTGAATGCAATCATCACAAAGAAGTTTCTGACAATGCTTCTATCTAGCTTTTACGGGAAGATAATTCCTTTTCCACCACAGGCCTCAAAGCCCTCCAAATGTCCACTTGCAGATTCTGGAAAAAGAGTGTTTCAAAGCTTCTCTCTCGAAAGGAAAGTTCAACTCTGTGAGTTGAATGCAAGCATCACAAAGAAGTTTCTGAGAATGCTGCTGTCTAGCTTTTATATGAAGCTATTTCCTTTACTACCATAGGCCTCAAAGCGGTCCATATCTCCACTTGCAGATTCTACACAAAGAGAGTTTCCAAACTGCTCTGTCAAAGGGAATGTTCAACTCTGTGACTTGAATGCAATCATCACAAAGTAGTTTCTGAGAATGCTTCTGTTTAGTTCTGTGCGGTTTATCCCGTTTCCAACGAAATCCTCAGAGAGGCCCACATATCCACTTGCACATTCTACAAATAGTGTGTTTCGAAACTGCTCCATCCAAAGGAATGTTCAGTTCTGTGAGTTAAACTCAGTCGTCACCAAGAGTTTTCTGTGAATGCTTCTGTTTTAGTTCTGTGCGGTTTATCCCGTTTCCAACGAAATCCTCAGAGAGGACCAAATATCCACTTGCAGTTTCTACAAAAAGAGTGTTTCAAAGCTGAACTATCAAAGAAAGGTTCAGCACTGTGAGTTGAATGCAAACATCACGAAGAAGGTTCTGAGAATGCTTCTGTTTGGTTCTGTGCGGTTTATCCCGTTTCCAAAGAAATCCTCAGAGAGGACCAAATATCCACTTGCAGTTTCTACAAAAAGAGTGTTTCAAAGCTGAACTATCAAAGAAAGGTTCAGCACTGTGAGTTGAATGCAAACATCACGAAGAGGGTTCTGAGAATGCTTCTGTCTTCTTTTTATAGGAAGTTATTTCCTTTACAACGGTAGGCCTCAAAGAAGTGCAATTATCCCCTTGCAGGTTCTACAAAAAGAGTGTTTCAAAGCTGAACTATCAAAGAAAGGTTCCACACTGTGAGTTGAATGCAGACATCACGAGGAAGGTTCTGAGAATGCTTCTGTTTAGTCAGCTGAAATTATCCCGTTTCCAACGAATTCCTCAGAGAGGTCCAAATATGCACTTGCAGATTCTGCAGAAAGTGTGTTTCTAAACTGCTACATCACAAGGAATGTTCAGCTCTGTGAGTTCAACTCAATCATCCCAAAGAATTTTCTGAGAAAGCTTCTGTCTAGATGTCATGTGAAGATATACCCGTTTCGAACGAAGGACACAGAGTGGTCCAAATATCCACTTGTAGATCCTGCAAAAAGAGTGTTTCAAACGTGAACTTTGAAAGGAAAGTTCAACTCTGGGATTTGAATGCAAACATCACAAAGAAGATTCTGAGACTGCTTCTGTATAGTTTTGATGTGAAGATGATTCCGTTTCCAACGAAATCTTCAAAGAGGTCTACATGTCCCCTTGCAGATGCCACAGAAACAGAGTTTCAAAACTGCGCTCTCAAAAGGAGTGTTCAACTCCGTGAGTTGAATGCAGTCATCACAGAGAAGCTTCTGAGAATGCTTCTATCTAGTATTTAGGTGAAGATATTTCCTTTTCCACCACAAACCACAAAGCCCTCCAAACGTCCACTTGCAGATTCTAGAAAAAGAGTGTTTCATAGCTGCTCTTTCCAAAGGAAAGTTCAACTCTGGGAGTTGAATACAAACATCACCAAAAAGTTCCTGAGAATGCATCTGTCTAGTTTTTCTATGAAGGTATTCCCTTTACTACCATAGGCCTCAAAGCGCTCCAAATCTCCACTTGCACATTCCACAACAAGAGTGTTTCCAAACTGCTCTATCAATAGGAATGTTCAACTCTGTGAGGTGAATGCAATCATCACAAAGCAGTTTCTGAGAATGCTTCCGTTTAGTTAGGTGCAGTTATCCCGTTTCCAACGAAATCCTCAGAGAGGTCCAAATATCCACTTGTAGATTCTACAAAAAGTGTGTCTCAAACCTGCTCCATCCAAAGGAATGTTCAGCTCTGTGATTTAAACTCAATCATCACAAAGTATTTTCTGAGAATGTTTCTGTCTAGATTTTATGCGAAGATATACCCGTTTCGAACGAAGGCCACAGAGTGGTCCAAATAGCCACTTGCAGATCCTACAAAAAGAGTGTTTCAAACCTGAACTATCAAAGGAAGGTTCAACTCTGGGATTTGAATGCAAACATCACCAAGAAGTTTCTGAGAATGCTTCTGTTTAGTTTTTATGTGAAGATATTCCCGTTTCCAAAGACATCTTCGGCGAGGTCCACATATCCACTTGCAGATTCCACAAAAAGAGAGTTTCAACACTGCTCTATCCATAGGAGGGTTCAACTCTGTGAGTTGAATGCAATCATCACAGAGAAGTTTCTGAGAAGGCTTCTCTCCAGTTTTTATGTGACCATAATTCGTTTTCCACCACAGGCCTGAAAGCGCTCCAAATGTCCACTTGCAGACACTACGAAAAGCATGTTTCAGAACTACTCTATGAAAAGCAACGTGAAACTCTGGGAGTTGAACACAAACATCACAGAGAAGTTTCTGAGAATGCTTCTGTTAAGCTTTTCTGTGAAGATTCTCCCGTTTCCAACGAAATCTTCAAAGAGGTCGAAATATCCACTTGCAGATTCCACAGAAAGAGTGATTGGAAACTGCTGTTTGAAAAGGAACCTTCAACTCTGTGAGTTGAATGCAATCATCACAAAGAAGTTTCTGACAATGCTTCTATCTAGCTTTTACGGGAAGATAATTCCTTTTCCACCCCAGGCCTCAAAGCTCCCCAAATGTCCACTTGCACATTCTGGAAAAAGAGTGTTTCAAAGCTTCTCTCTCGAAAGGAAAGTTCAACTCTGTGAGTTGAATGCAAGCATCACAAAGAAGTTTCTGAGAATGCTACTGTCTAGCTTTTATATGAAGCTATTTCCTTTACTACCATAGGCCTCAAAGCGGTCCATATCTCCACTTGCAGATTCTACACAAAGAGAGTTTCCAAACTGCTCTGTCAAAGGGAATGTTCAACTCTGTGACTTGAATGCAATCATCACAAAGTAGTTTCTGAGAATGCTTCTGTTTTAGTTCTGTGCGGTATATCCCGTTTCCAACGAAATCCTCAGAGAGGCCCAAATATCCAGTTGCACATTCTACAAATAGTGTGTTTCGAAACTGCTCCATCCAAAGGAATGTTCAGCTCTGTGAGTTAAACTCAGTCGTCACCAAGAGTTTTCTGTGAATGCTTCTGTTTAGTTCTGTGCGGTTTATCCCGTTTCCAACGAAATCCTCAGAGAGGACCAAATATCCACTTGCAGTTTCTACAAGAAGAGTGTTTCAAAGCTGAACTATCAAAGAAAGGTTCAGCACTGTGAGTTGAATGCAAACATCACGAAGAGGGTTCTGAGAATGCTTCTGTCTTCTTTTTATAGGAAGTTATGTCCTTTACTACAGTAGGCCTCAAAGAAGTGCAATTATCCCCTTGCAGTTTCTACAAAAAGAGTGTTTCAAACCTGAACTATCAAAGAAAGGTTCCACACTGTGAGTTGAATGCAGACATCACGAAGAAGATTCTGAGAATGCTTCTGTTTAGTCAGCTGAAATTATCCCGTTTCCAACGAATTCCTCAGAGAGGTCCAAATATGCACTTGCAGATTCTGCAGAAAGTGTGTTTCTAAACTGCTACATCGCAAGGAATGTTCAGCTCTGTGAGTTCCACTCAATCATCCCAAAGAATTTTCTGAGAAAGCTTCTGTCTAGATGTCGTGTGAAGATATACCCGTTTCGAACGAAGGACACAGAGTGGTCCAAATATCCACTTGTAGATCCTGCAAAAAGAGTGTTTCAAACGTGAACTTTGAAAGGAAAGTTCAACTCTGGGATTTGAATGCAAACATCACAAAGAAGATTCTGAGACTGCTTCTGTATAGTTTTTATGTGAAGATGATTCCGTTTCCAACGAAATCTTCAAAGAGGTCTGCATGTCCCCTTGCAGATGCCACAGAAAGAGAGTTTCAAAACTGCGCTCTCAAAAGGAGTGTTCAACTCCGTGAGTTGAATGCAGTCATCACAGAGAAGCTTCTGAGAATGCTTCTATCTAGTATTTAGGTGAAGATATTTCCTTTTCCACCACAAACCACAAAGCCCTCCAAACGTCCACTTGCAGATTCTAGAAAAAGAGTGTTTCATAGCTGCTCTTTCCAAAGGAAAGTTCAACTCTGGGAGTTGAATACAAACATCACCAAAAAGTTCCTGAGAATGCATCTGTCTAGTTTTTCTATGAAGCTATTCCCTTTACTACCATAGGCCTCAAAGCGCTCCAAATCTCCACTTGCACATTCCACAACAAGAGTGTTTCCAAACTGCTCTATCAATAGGAATGTTCAACTCTGTGAGGTGAATGCAATCATCACAAAGCAGTTTCTGAGAATGCTTCCGTTTAGTTAGGTGCAGTTATCCCGTTTCCAACGAAATCCTCAGAGAGGTCCAAATATCCACTTGTAGATTCTACAAAAAGTGTGTCTCAAACCTGCTCCATCCAAAGGAATGTTCAGCTCTGTGATTTAAACTCAATCATCACAAAGTATTTTCTGAGAATGCTTCTGTCTAGATTTTATGCGAAGATATACCCGTTTCGAACGAAGGCCACAGAGTGGTCCAAATAGCCACTTGCAGATCCTACAAAAAGAGTGTTTCAAACCTGAACTATCAAAGGAAGGTTCAACTCTGGGATTTGAATGCAAACATCACCAAGAAGTTTCTGACAATGCTTCTGTTTAGTTTTTATGTGAAGATATTCCCGTTTCCAAAGACATCTTCGGAGAGGTCCACATATCCACTTGCAGATTCCACAAAAAGAGAGTTTCAACACTGCTCTATCCATAGGAGGGTTCAACTCTGTGAGTTGAATGCAATCATCACAGAGAAGTTTCTGAGAAGGCTTCTCTCCAGTTTTTATGTGACCATAATTCGTTTTCCACCACAGGCCTGAAAGCGCTCCAAATGTCCACTTGCAGACACTACGAAAAGCATGTTTCAGAACTACTCTATGAAAAGCAATGTGAAACTCTGGGAGTTGAACACAAACATCACAGAGAAGTTTCTGAGAATGCTTCTGTTTAGCTTTTCTGTGAAGATTCTCCCGTTTCCAACGAAATCTTCAAAGAGGTCCAAACATCCACTTGCAGATTCCACAGAAAGTGTGATTGGAAACTGCTGTTTGAAAAGGAACCTGCAACTCTGTGAGTTGAATGCAATCATCACAAAGAAGTTTCTGACAATGCTTCTATCTAGCTTTTACGGGAAGATAATTCCTTTTCCACCACAGGCCTCAAAGCCCTCCAAATGTCCACTTGCAGATTCTGGAAAAAGAGTGTTTCAAAGCTTCTCTCTCGAAAGGAAAGTTCAACTCTGTGAGTTGAATGCAAGCATCACAAAGAAGTTTCTGAGAATGCTACTGTCTAGCTTTTATATGAAGCTATTTCCTTTACTACCATAGTCCTCAAAGCATTCCATATCTCCACTTGCAGATTCTACACAAAGAGAGTTTCCAAACTGCCCCGTCAAAGGGAATGTTCAACTCTGTGACTTGAATGCAATCATCACAAAGTAGTTTCTGAGAATGCTTCTGTTTTAGTTCTGTGCGGTTTATCCCATTTCCAACGAAATCCTCAGAGTGGCCCAAATATCCACCTGCAGATTCTACAAAGAGTGTGTTTCGAAACTGCTCCAACCTAGGGAATGTTCAGCTCTGTGAGTTAAACTCAGTCGTCACCAAGGGTTTTCTGTGAATGCTTCTGTTTTAGTTCTGTGCGGGTTATCCCGTTTCCAACGAAATCCTCAGAGAGGTCCAAATATCTACTTGCAGTTTCTACAGAAAGACCGTTTCAAACCTGAACTATCAAAGAAAGGTTCAACACTGTGAGTTGAATGCAAACATCACGAAGAAGGTTCTGAGAATGCTTCTGTTTAGTTCTGTGCGGTTTATCCCGTTTCCAACGAAATCCTCAGAGAGGACCAAATATCCACTTGCAGTTTCTACAAAAAGAGTGTTTCAAAGCTGAACTATCAAAGAAAGGTTCAGCACTGTGAGTTGAATGCAAACATCACGAAGAGGGTTCTGAGAATGCTTCTGTCTTCTTTTTATAGGAAGTTATTTCCTTTACTACGGTAGACCTGAAAGAAGTGCAATTATCCCCTTGCAGTTTCTACAAAAAGAGTGTTTCAAACCTGAACTATCAAAGAAAGGTTCCACACTGTGAGTTGAATGCAGACATCACGAAGAAGGTTCTGAGAATGCTTCTGTTTAGTCGGCTGAAATTATCCCGTTTCCAACGAATTCCTCAGAGAGGTCCAAATATGCACTTGCAGATTCTGCAGAAAGTGTGTTTCTAAACTGCTCCATCGCAAGGAATGTTCAGCTCTGTGAGTTCAACTCAATCATCCCAAAGAATTTTCTGAGAAAGCTTCTGTCTAGATGTCATGTGAAGATATACCCGTTTCGAACGAAGGACACAGAGTGGTCCAAATATCCACTTGTAGATCCTGCAAAAAGAGTGTTTCAAACGTGAACTTTGAAAGGAAAGTTCAACTCTGGGATTTGAATGCAAACATCACAAAGAAGATTCTGAGACTGCTTCTGTATAGTTTTTATGTGAAGATGATTCCGTTTCCAACGAAATCTTCAAAGAGGTCTACATGTCCCCTTGCGGATGCCACAGAAAGAGAGTTTCAAAACTGCGCTCTCAAAAGGAGTGTTCAACTCCGTGAGTTGAATGCAGTCATCACAGAGAAGCTTCTGAGAATGCTTCTCTCTAGTATTTAGGTGAAGATATTTCCTTTTCCACCACAAACCACAAAGCCCTCCAAACGTCCACTTGCAGATTCTAGAAAAAGAGTGTTTCATAGCTGCTCTTTCCAAAGGAAAGTTCAACTCTGGGAGTTGAATACAAACATCACCAAAAAGTTCCTGAGAATGCATCTGTCTAGTTTTTCTATGAAGCTATTCCCTTTACTACCATAGGCCTCAAAGCGCTCCAAATCTCCACTTGCACATTCCACAACAAGAGGGTTTCCAAACTGCTCTATCAATAGTAACGGTCAACTCTGTGAGGTGAGTGCAATCATCACAAAGCAGTTTCTGAGAATGCTTCCGCTTAGTTAGGTGCAGTTATCCCGTTTCCAACGAAATCCTCAGAGAGGTCCAAATATCCACTTGTAGATTCTACAAAAAGTGTGTCTCAAGCCTGCTCCATCCAAAGGAATGTTCAGCTCTGTGAGTTAAACTCAATCATCACAAAGTATTTTCTGAGAATGCTTCTGTCTAGATTTTATGCGAAGATGTACCCGTTTCGAACGAAGGCCACAGAGTGGTCCAAATATCCACTTGCAGATCCTACAAAAAGAGTGTTTCAACCCTGAACTATCAAAGGAAGGTTCAACTCTGGGATTTGAATGCAAACATCACCAAGAAGTTTCTGAGAATGCTTCTGTTTAGTTTTTATGTGAAGATATTCCCGTTGCCAAAGACATCTTCGGAGAGGTCCACATATCCGCTTGCAGATTCCACAAAAAGAGAGTTTCAACACTGCTCTATCCATAGGAGGGTTCAACTCTGTGAGTTGAATGCAATCATCACAGAGAAGTTTCTGAGAAGGCTTCTCTCCAGTTTTTATGTGACCATAATTCGTTTTCCACCACAGGCCTGAAAGCGCTCCAAATGTCCACTTGCAGACACTACGAAAAGCATGTTTCAGAACTACTCTATGAAAAGCAACGTGAAACTCTGGGAGTTGAACACAAACATCACAGAGAAGTTTCTGAGAATGCTTCTGTTTTAGTTCTGTGCGTTTTATCCCGTTTCCAACGAAATCCTCAGAGAGGCCCAAATATCCACTTGCAGATTCCACAGAAAGAGTGATTGGAAACTGCTGTTTGAAAAGGAACCTTCAACTCTGTGAGTTGAATGCAATCATCACAAAGAAGTTTCTGACAATGCTTCTGTTTTAGTTCTGTGCGGTTTATCCCGTTTCCAACGAAATCCTCAGAGAGGACCAAACATCCACTTGCAGTTTCTACAAAAAGAGTGTTTCAAAGCTGCACTATCAAAGAAAGGTTCAGCACTGTGAGTTGAATGCAAACATCACGAAGAGGGCTCTGAGAATGCTTCTGTTTAGTTCTGTGCGGTTTATCCCTTTTCCAATGAAATCCTCAGAGAGGACCAAATATCCACTTGCAGTTTCTACAAGAAGAGTGTTTCAAAGCTGAACTATCAAAGAAAGGTTCAGCACTGTGAGTTGAATGCAAACATCACGAAGAGGGTTCTGAGAATGCTTCTGTCTTCTTTCTATAGGAAGTTATTTCCTTTACTACGGTAGGCCTCAAAGAAGTGCAATTATCCCCTTGCAGTTTCTACAAAAAGAGTGTTTCAAACCTGAACTATCAAAGAAAGGTTCCACACTGTGAGTTGAATGCAGACATCACGAAGAAGGTTCTGAGAATGCTTCTGTTTAGTCAGCTGAAATTATCCCGTTTCCAACGAATTCCTCAGAGAGGTCCAAATATGCACTTGCAGATTCTGCAGAAAGTGTGTTTCTAAACTGCTACATCGCAAGGGAATGTTCAGCTCTGTGAGTTCCACTCAATCATCCCAAAGAATTTTCTGAGAAAGCTTCTGTCTAGATGTCGTGTGAAGATATACCCGTTTCGAACGAAGGACACAGAGTGGTCCAAATATCCACTTGTAGATCCTGCAAAAAGAGTGTTTCAAACGTGAACTTTGAAAGGAAAGTTCAACTCTGGGATTTGAATGCAAACATCACAAAGAAGATTCTGAGACTGCTTCTGTATAGTTTTTATGTGAAGATGATTCCGTTTCCAACGAAATCTTCAAAGAGGTCTACATGTCCCCTTGCAGATGCCACAGAAAGAGAGTTTCAAAACTACGCTCTCAAAAGGAGTGTTCAACTCCGTGAGTTGAATGCAGTCATCACAGAGAAGCTTCTGAGAATGCTTCTATCTAGTATTTAGGTGAAGATATTTCCTTTTCCACCACAAACCACAAAGCCCTCCAAACGTCCACTTGCAGATTCTAGAAAAAGAGTGTTTCATAGCTGCTCTTTCCAAAGGAAAGTTCAACTCTGGGAGTTGAATACAAACATCACCAAAAAGTTCCTGAGAATGCATCTGTCTAGTTTTTCTATGAAGCTATTCCCTTTACTACCATAGGCCTCAAAGCGCTCCAAATCTCCACTTGCACATTCCACAACAAGAGTGTTTCCAAACTGCTCTATCAATAGGAATGTTCAACTCTGTGAGGTGAATGCAATCATCACAAAGCAGTTTCTGTGAATGCTTCCGTTTAGTTAGGTGCAGTTATCCCGTTTCCAACGAAATCCTCAGAGAGGTCCAAATATCCACTTGTAGATTCTACAAAAAGTGTGTCTCAAACCTGCTCCATCCAAAGGAATGGTCAGCTCTGTGATTTAAACTCAATCATCACAAAGTATTTTCTAAGAATGCTTCTGTCTAGATTTTATGCGAAGATATACCCGTTTCGAACGAAGGCCACAGAGTGGTCCAAATAGCCACTTGCAGATCCTACAGAAAGAGTGTTTCAAACCTGAACTATCAAAGGAAGGTTCAACTCTGGGATTTGAATGCAAACATCACCAAGAAGTTTCTGAGAATGCTTCTGTTTAGTTTTTATGTGAAGATATTCCCGTTTCCAAAGACATCTTCGGAGAGGTCCACATATCCACTTGCAGATTCCACAAAAAGAGAGTTTCAACACTGCTCTATCCATAGGAGGGTTCAACTCTGTGAGTTGAATGCAATCATCACAGAGAAGTTTCTGAGAAGGCTTCTCTCCAGTTTTTATGTGACCATAATTCGTTTTCCACCACAGGCCTGAAAGCGCTCCAAATGTCCACTTGCAGACACTACGAAAAGCATGTTTCAGAACTACTCTATGAAAAGCAACGTGAAACTCTGGGAGTTGAACACAAACATCACAGAGAAGTTTCTGAGAATGCTTCTGTTTTAGTTCTGTGCGTTTTATCCCGTTTCCAACGAAATCCTCAGAGAGGCCCAAATATCCACTTGCAGATTCCACAGAAAGAGTGATTGGAAACTGCTGTTTGAAAAGGAACCTTCAACTCTGTGAGTTGAATGCAATCATCACAAAGAAGTTTCTGACAATGCTTCTGTTTTAGTTCTGTGCGGTTTATCCCGTTTCCAACGAAATCCTCAGAGAGGACCAAACATCCACTTGCAGTTTCTACAAAAAGAGTGTTTCAAAGCTGCACTATCAAAGAAAGGTTCAGCACTGTGAGTTGAATGCAAACATCACGAAGAGGGCTCTGAGAATTCTTCTGTCTTCTTTCTATAGGAAGTTATTTCCTTTACTACGGTAGGCCTCAAAGAAGTGCAATTATCCCCTTGCAGTTTCTACAAAAAGAGTGTTTCAAACCTGAACTATCAAAGAAAGGTTCCACACTGTGAGTTGAATGCAGACATCACGAAGAAGGTTCCTGAGAATGCTTTCTGTTTAGTCAGCTGAAATTATCCCGTTTCCAACGAATTCCTCAGAGAGGTCCAAATATGCACTTGCAGATTCTGCAGAAAGTGTGTTTCTAAACTGCTACATCGCAAGGAATGTTCAGCTCTGTGAGTTCCACTCAATCATCCCAAAGAATTTTCTGAGAAAGCTTCTGTCTAGATGTCATGTGAAGATATACCCGTTTCGAACGAAGGACACAGAGTGGTCCAAATATCCACTTGTAGATCCTGCAAAAAGAGTGTTTCAAACGTGAACTTTGAAAGGCAAGTTCAACTCTGGGATTTGAATGCAAACATCACAAAGAAGATTCTGAGACTGCTTCTGTATAGTTTTTATGTGAAGATGATTCCGTTTCCAACGAAATCTTCAAAGAGGTCTACATGTCCCCTTGCAGATGCCACAGAAAGAGAGTTTCAAAACTGCGCTCTCAAAAGGAGTGTTCAACTCCGTGAGTTGAATGCAGTCATCACAGAGAAGCTTCTGAGGATGCTTCTATCTAGTATTTAGGTGAAGATATTTCCTTTTCCACCACAAACCACAAAGCCCTCCAAACGTCCACTTGCAGATTCTAGAAAAAGAGTGTTTCATAGCTGCTCTTTCCAAAGGAAAGTTCAACTCTGGGAGTTGAATACAAACATCACCAAAAAGTTACCTGAGAATGCATCTGTCTAGTTTTTCTATGAAGCTATTCCCTTTACTACCATAGGCCTCAAAGCGCTCCAAATCTCCACTTGCACATTCCACAACAAGAGTGTTTCCAAACTGCTCTATCAATAGGAATGTTCAACTCTGTGAGGTGAATGCAATCATCACAAAGCAGTTTCTGAGAATGCTTCCGTTTAGTTAGGTGCAGTTATCGCGTTTCCAACGAAATCCTCAGAGAGGTCCAAATATCCACTTGTAGATTCTACAAAAAGTGTGTCTCAAACCTGCTCCATCCAAAGGAATGTTCAGCTCTGTGAGTTAAACTCAATCATCACAAAGTATTTTCTGAGAATGCTTCTGTCTAGATTTTATGCGAAGATATACCCGTTTCGAACGAAGGCCACAGAGTGGTCCAAATATCCACTTGCAGATCCTACAAAAAGAGTGTTTCAAACCTGAACTATCAAAGGAAGGTTCTACTCTGGGATTTGAATGCAAACATCACCAAGAAGTTTCTGAGAATGCTTCTGTTTAGCTTTCCTGTGAAGATTCTCCCGTTTCCAACGAAATCTTCAAAATAGGTCCAAATATCCACTTGCAGATTCCACAGAAAGAGTGATTGGAAACTGCTCTTTGAAAAGGAACCTTCAACTCTGTGAGTTGAATGCAATCATCACAGAGAAGTTTCTGAGAAGGCTTCTATCTAGCTTTTACGGGAAGATAATTCCTTTTCCACCACAGGCCTCAAAGCCCTCCAAATGTCCACTTGCAGATTCTGGAAAAAGAGTGTTTCAAAGCTTCTCTCTCGAAAGGAAAGTTCAACTCTGTGAGTTGAATGCAAGCATCACAAAGAAGTTTCTGAGAATGCTACTGTCTAGCTTTTATATGAAGCTATTTCCTTTACTACCATAGGCCTCAAAGCGGTCCATATCTCCACTTGCAGATTCTACACAAAGATAGTTTCCAAGCTGCTCTGTCAAAGGGAATCTTCAACTCTGTGACTTGAATGCAATCATCACAAAGTAGTTTCTGAGAATGCTTCTGTTTTAGTTCTGTGCGTTTTATCCCGTTTCCAACGAAATCCTCAGAGAGGCCCAAATATCCACTTGCAGATTCTACAAATAGTGTGTTTCGAAACTGCTCCATCCAAAGGAATGTTCAGCTCTGTGAGTTAAACTCAGTCGTCACCAAGAGTTTTCTGTGAATGCTTCTGTTTTAGTTCTGTGCGGTTTATCCCGTTTCCAACGAAATCCTCAGAGAGGACCAAATATCGACTTGCAGTTTCTACAAAAAGAGTGTTTCAAAGCTGCACTATCAAAGAAAGGTTCAGCACTGTGAGTTGAATGCAAACATCACGAATAGGGCTCTGAGAATTCTTCTGTTTAGTTCTGTGCGGTTTATCCCGTTTCCAACGAAATCCTCAGAGAGGACCAAATATCCACTTGCAGTTTCTACAAGAAGAGTGTTTCAAAGCTGAACTATCAAAGAAAGGTTCAGCACTGTGAGTTGAATGCAAACATCACGAAGAGGGTTCTGAGAATGCTTCTGTCTTCTTTCTATAGGAAGTTATTTCCTTTACTACGGTAGGCCTCAAAGAAGTGCAATTATCCCCTTGCAGTTTCTACAAAAAGAGTGTTTCAAACCTGAACTATCAAAGAAAGGTTCCACACTGTGAGTTGAATGCAGACATCACGAAGAAGGTTCTGAGAATGCTTCTGTTTAGTCAGCTGAAATTATCCCGTTTCCAACGAATTCCTCGGAGAGGTCCAAATATGCACTTGCAGATTCTGCAGAAAGTGTGTTTCTAAACTGCTACATCGCAAGGAATGTTCAGCTCTGTGAGTTCCACTCAATCATCCCAAAGAATTTTCTGAGAAAGCTTCTGTCTAGATGTCGTGTGAAGATATACCCGTTTCGAACGAAGGACACAGAGTGGTCCAAATATCCACTTGTAGATCCTGCAAAAAGAGTGTTTCAAACGTGAACTTTGAAAGGAAAGTTCAACTCTGGGATTTGAATGCAAACATCACAAAGAAGATTCTGAGACTGCTTCTGTACAGTTTTTATGTGAAGATGATTCCGTTTCCAACGAAATCTTCAAAGAGGTCCACATGTCCCCTTGCGGATGCCACAGAAAGAGAGTTTCAAAACTGCGCTCTCAAAAGGAGTGTTCAACTCCGTGAGTTGAATGCAGTCATCACAGAGAAGCTTCTGAGAATGCTTCTATCTAGTATTTAGGTGAAGATATTTCCTTTTCCACCACAAACCACAAAGCCCTCCAAACGTCCACTTGCAGATTCTAGAAAAAGAGTGTTTCATAGCTGCTCTTTCCAAAGGAAAGTTCAACTCTGGGAGTTGAATACAAACATCACCAAAAAGTTCCTGAGAATGCATCTGTCTAGTTTTTCTATGAAGCTATTCCCTTTACTACCACAGGCCTCAAAGCGCTCCAAATCTCCACTTGCACATTCCACAACAAGAGTGTTTCCAAACTGCTCTATCAATAGGAATGTTCAACTCTGTGAGGTGAATGCAATCATCACAAAGCAGTTTCTGAGAATGCTTCCGTTTAGTTAGGTGCAGTTATCCCGTTTCCAACGAAATCCTCAGAGAGGTCCAAATATCCACTTGTAGATTCTACAAAAAGTGTGTCTCAAACCTGCTCCATCCAAAGGAATGGTCAGCTCTGTGATTTAAACTCAATCATCACAAAGTATTTTCCTGAGAATGCTTCTGTCTAGATTTTATGTGAAGATGTACCCGTTTCGAACGAAGGCCACAGAGTGGTCCAAATATCCACTTGCAGATACTACAAAAAGAGTGTTTCAAACCTGAACTATCACAGGAAGGTTCAACTCTGGGATTGGAATGCAAACATCACCAAGAAGTTTCTGAGAATGCTTCTGTTTAGTTTTTATGTGAAGATATTCCCGTTTCCAAAGACATCTTCGGAGAGGTCCACATATCCACTTGCAGATTCCACAAAAAGAGAGTTTCAACAATGCTCTATCCATAGGAGGGTTCAAATCTGTGAGTTGAATGCAATCATCACAGAGAAGTTTCTGAGAAGGCTTCTCTCCAGTTTTTATGTGACCATAATTCGTTTTCCACCACAGGCCTGAAAGCGCTCCAAATGTCCACTTGCAGACACTACGAAAAGCATGTTTCAGAACTACTCTATGAAAAGCAATGTGAAACTCTGGGAGTTGAACACAAACATCACAGAGAAGTTTCTGAGAATGCTTCTGTTTAGCTTTTCTGTGAAGATTCTCCCGTTTCCAACGAAATCTTCAAAGAGGTCCAAATATCCACTTGCAGATTCCACAGAAAGAGTGATTGGAAACTGCTCTTTGAAAAGGAACCTTCACCTCTGTGAGTTGAATCCAATCATCACAAAGAAGTTTCTGACAATGCTTCTATCTAGCTTTTACGGGAAGATAATTCCTTTTCCACCACAGGCCTCAAAGCCCTCCAAATGTCCACTTGCACATTCTGGAAAAAGAGTGTTTCAAAGCTTCTCTCTCGAAAGGAAAGTTCAACTCTGTGAGTTGAATGCAAGCATCACAAAGAAGTTTCTGAGAATGCTACTGTCTAGCTTTCATATGAAGCTATTACCTTTACTACCATAGGCCTCAAAGCGGTCCATATCTCCACTTGCAGATTCTACACAAAGAGAGTTTCCAAACTGCTCTGTCAAAGGGAATGTTCAACTCTGTGACTTGAATGCAATCGTCACAAAGTAGTTTCTGAGAATGCTTCTGTTTAGTTCTGTGCGGTTTATCCCGTTTCCAATGAAATCCTCAGAGAGGCCCAAATATCCACTTGCACATTCTACAAATAGTGTGTTTTGAAACTGCTCCATCCAAAGGAATGTTCAGCTCTGTGAGTTAAACTCAGTCGTCACCAAGAGTTTTCTGTGAATGCTTCTGTTTTAGTTCTTTGCGGTTTATCCCGTTTCCAACGAAATCCTCAGAGAGGTCCAAATATCTACTTGCAGTTTCTACAGAAAGACCGTTTCCAACCTGAACTATCAAAGAAAGGTTCAACACTGTGAGTTGAATGCAAACATCACGAAGAAGGTTCTGAGAATGCTTCTGTTTAGTTCTGTGCGGTTTATCCCGTTTCCAACGAAATCCTCAGAGAGGACCAAATATCCACTTGCAGTTTCTACAAGAAGAGTGTTTCAAAGCTGAACTATCAAAGAAAGGTTCAGCACTGTGAGTTGAATGCAAACATCACGAAGAGGGTTCTGAGAATGCTTCTGTCTTCTTTCTATAGGAAGTTATTTCCTTTACTACGGTAGGCCTCAAAGAAGTGCAATTATCCCCTTGCAGTTTCTACAAAAAGAGTGTTTCAAACCTGAACTATCAAAGAAAGGTTCCACACTGTGAGTTGAATGCAGACATCACGAAGAAGGTTCTGAGAATGCTTCTGTTTAGTCAGCTGAAATTATCCCGTTTCCAACGAATTCCTCAGAGAGGTCCAAATATGCACTTGCAGATTCTGCAGAAAGTGTGTTTCTAAACTGCTACATCGCAAGGAATGTTCAGCTCTGTGAGTTCCACTCAATCATCCCAAAGAATTTTCTGAGAAAGCTTTCTGTCTAGATGTCGTGTGAAGATATACCCGTTTCGAATGAAGGACACAGAGTGGTCCAAATATCCACTTGTAGATCCTGCAAAAAGAGTGTTTCAAACGTGAACTTTGAAAGGAAAGTTCAACTCTGGGATTTGAATGCAAACATCACAAAGAAGATTCTGAGACTGCTTCTGTATAGTTTTTATGTGAAGATGATTCCGTTTCCAACGAAATCTTCAAAGAGGTCTACATGTCCCCTTGCAGATGCCACAGAAAGGGAGTTTCAAAACTGCGCTCTCAAAAGGAGTGTTCAACTCCGTGAGTTGAATGCAGTCATCACAGAGAAGCTTCTGAGAAAGCTTCTATCTAGTATTTAGGTGAAGATATTTCCTTTTCCACCACAAACCACAAAGCCCTCCAAACGTCCACTTGCAGATTCTAGAAAAAGAGTGTTTCATAGCTGCTCTTTCCAAAGGAAAGTTCAACTCTGGGAGTTGAATACAAACATCACCAAAAAGTTCCTGAGAATGCATCTGTCTAGTTTTTCTATGAAGCTATTCCCTTTACTACCATAGGCCTCAAAGCGCTCCAAATCTCCACTTGCACATTCCACAACAAGAGTGTTTCCAAACTGCTCTATCAATAGGAATGTTCAACTCTGTGAGGTGAATGCAATCATCACAAAGCAGTTTCTGAGAATGCTTCCGTTTAGTTAGGTGCAGTTATCCCGTTTCCAACGAAATCCTCAGAGAGGTCCAAATATCCACTTGTAGATTCTACAAAAAGTGTGTCTCAAACCTGCTCCATCCAAAGGAATGGTCAGCTCTGTGATTTAAACTCAATCATCACAAAGTATTTTCTGAGAATGCTTCTGTCTAGATTTTATGCGAAGATATACCCGTTTCGAACGAAGGCCACAGAGTGGTCCAAATAGCCACTTGCAGATCCTACAGAAAGAGTGTTTCAAACCTGAACTATCAAAGGAAGGTTCAACTCTGGGATTTGAATGCAAACATCACCAAGAAGTTTCTGAGAATGCTTCTGTTTAGTTTTTATGTGAAGATATTCCCGTTTCCAAAGACATCTTCGGAGAGGTCCACATATCCACTTGCAGATTCCACAAAAAGAGAGTTTCAACACTGCTCTACCCATAGGAGGGTTCAACTCTGTGAGTTGAATGCAATCATCACAGAGAAGTTTCTGAGAAGGCTTCTCTCCCAGTTTTTATGTGACCATAATTCGTTTTCCACCACAGGCCTGAAAGCGCTCCAAATGTCCACTTGCAGACACTACGAAAAGCATGTTTCAGAACTACTCTATGAAAAGCAACGTGAAACTCTGGGAGTTGAACACAAACATCACAGAGAAGTTTCTGAGAATGCTTCTGTTTTAGTTCTGTGCGTTTTATCCCGTTTCCAACGAAATCCTCAGAGAGGCCCAAATATCCACTTGCAGATTCCACAGAAAGAGTGATTGGAAACTGCTGTTTGAAAAGGAACCTTCAACTCTGTGAGTTGAATGCAATCATCACAAAGAAGTTTCTGACAATGCTTCTATCTAGCTTTTACGGGAAGATAATTCCTTTTCCACCACAGGCCTCAAAGCCCTCCAAATCTCCACTTGCACATTCTGGAAAAAGAGTGTTTCAAAGCTTCTCTCTCGAAAGGAAAGTTCAACTCTGTGAGTTGAATGCAAGCATCACAAAGAAGTTTCTGAGAATGCTACTGTCTAGCTTTTATATGAAGCTCTTTCCTTTACTACCATAGGCCTCAAAGCGGTCCATATCTCCACTTGCAGATTCTACACAAAGAGAGTTTCCAAACTGCTCTGTCAAAGGGAATGTTCAACTCTGTGACTTGAATGCAATCGTCACAAATTAGTTTCTGAGAATGCTTCTGTTTAGTTCTGTGCGGTTTATCCCGTTTCCAACGAAATCCTCAGAGAGGCCCAAATATCCACTTGCACATTCTACAAATAGTGTGTTTCGAAACTGCTCCATCCAAAGGAATGTTCAGCTCTGTGAGTTAAACTCAGTCGTCACCAAGAGTTTTCTGTGAATGCTTCTGTCTTCTTTCTATTGGAAGTTATTTCCTTTACTACGGTAGGCCTCAAAGAAGTGCAATTATACCCTTGCAGTTTCTACAAAAAGAGTGTTTCAAACCTGAACTATCAAAGAAAGGATCCACACTGTGAGTTGAATGCAGACATCACGAAGAAGGTTCTGAGAATGCTTCTGTTTAGTCAGCTGAAATTATCCCGTTTCCAACGAATTCCTCAGAGAGGTCCAAATATGCACTTGCAGATTCTGCAGAAAGTGTGTTTCTAAACTGCTCCATCGCAAGGAATGTTCAGCTCTGTGAGTTCCACTCAATCATCCCAAAGAATTTTCTGAGAAAGCTTCTGTCTAGATGTCATGTGAAGATATACCCGTTTCGAACGAAGGACACAGAGTGGTCCAAATATCCACTTGTAGATCCTGCAAAAAGAGTGTTTCAAACGTGAACTTGGAAAGGAAAGTTCAACTCTGGGATTTGAATGCAAACATCACAAAGAAGATTCTGAGACTGCTTCTGTATAGTTTTGATGTGAAGATGATTCCGTTTCCAACGAAATCTTCAAAGAGGTCTACATGTCCCCTTGCAGATGCCACAGAAAGAGAGTTTCAAAACTGCGCTCTCAAAAGGAGTGTTCAACTCCGTGAGTTGAATGCAGTCATCACAGAGAAGCTTCTGAGAATGCTTCTATCTAGTATTTAGGTGAAGATATTTCCTTTTCCACCACAAACCACAAAGCCCTCCAAACGTCCACTTGCAGATTCTAGAAAAAGAGTGTTTCATAGCTGCTCTTTCCAAAGGAAAGTTCAACTCTGGGAGTTGAATACAAACATCACCAAAAAGTTGCTGAGAATGCATCTGTCTAGTTTTTCTATGAAGCTATTCCCTTTACTACCATAGGCCTCAAAGCGCTCCAAATCTCCACTTGCACATTCCACAACAAGAGTGTTTCCAAACTGCTCTATCAATAGGAATGTTCAACTCTGTGAGGTGAATGCAATCATCACAAAGCAGTTTCTGAGAATGCTTCCGTTTAGTTAGGTGCAGTTATCCCGTTTCCAACGAAATCCTCAGAGAGGTCCAAATATCCACTTGTAGATTCTACAAAAAGTGTGTCTCAAACCTGCTCCATCCAAAGGAATGTTCAGCTCTGTGAGTTAAACTCAATCATCACGAAGTATTTTCTGAGAATGCTTCTGTCTAGATTTTATGCGAAGATATACCCGTTTCGAACGAAGGCCACAGAGTGGTCCAAATATCCACTTGCAGATCCTACAAAAAGAGTGTTTCAAACCTGAACTATCAAAGGAAGGTTCAACTCTGGGATTTGAATGCAAACATCACCAAGAAGTTTCTGAGAATGCTTCTGTTTAGTTTTTATGTGAAGATATTCCCGTTTCCAAAGACATCTTCGGAGAGGTCCACGTATCCACTTGCAGATTCCACAAAAAGAGAGTTTCAACACTGCTCTATCCATAGGAGGGTTCAACTCTGTGAGTTGAATGCAATCATCACAGAGAAGTTTCTGAGAAGGCTTCTCTCCAGTTTTTATGTGACCATAATTCGTTTTCCACCACAGGCCTGAAAGCGCTCCAAATGTCCACTTGTAGACACTACGAAAAGCATGTTTCAGAACTACTCTATGAAAAGCAATGTGAAACTCTGGGAGTTGAACACAAACATCACAGAGAAGTTTCTGAGAATGCTTCTGTTTAGCTTTTCTGGGAAGATTCTCCCGTTTCCAACGAAATCTTCAAAGAGGTCGAAATATCCACTTGCAGATTCCACAGAAAGAGTGATTGGAAACTGCTGTTTGAAAAGGAACCTTCAACTCTGTGAGTTGAATGCAATCATCACAAAGAAGTTTCTGACAATGCTTCTATCTAGCTTTTACGGGAAGATAATTCCTTTTCCACCCCAGGCCTCAAAGCTCCCCAAATGTCCACTTGCACATTCTGGAAAAAGAGTGTTTCAAAGCTTCTCTCTCGAAAGGAAAGTTCAACTCTGTGAGTTGAATGCAAGCATCACAAAGAAGTTTCTGAGAATGCTACTGTCTAGCTTTTATATGAAGCTATTTCCTTTACTACCATAGGCCTCAAAGCGGTCCATATCTCCACTTGCAGATTCTACACAAAGAGAGTTTCCAAACTGCTCTGTCAAAGGAAATGTTCAACTCTGTGACTTGAATGCAATCATCACAAAGTAGTTTCTGAGAATGCTTCTGTTTAGTTCTGTGCGGTTTATCCCGTTTCCAACGAAATCCTCAGAGAGGCCCAAATATCCACTTGCACATTCTACAAATAGTGTGTTTCGAAACTGCTCCATCCAAAGGAATGTTCAGCTCTGTGAGTTAAACTCAGTCGTCACCAAGAGTTTTCTGTGAATGCTTCTGTTTTAGTTCTGTGCGGGTTATCCCGTTTCCAACGAAATCCTCAGAGAGGTCCAAATATCTACTTGCAGTTTCTACAGAAAGACCGTTTCAAACCTGAACTATCAAAGAAAGGTTCAACACTGTGAGTTGAATGCAAACATCACGAAGAAGGTTCTGAGAATGCTTCTGTTTAGTTCTGTGCAGTTTATCCCGTTTCCAACGAAATCCTCAGAGAGGACCAAATATCCACTTGCAGTTTCTACAAAAAGAGTGTTTCAAAGCTGAACTATCAAAGAAAGGTTCAGCACTGTGAGTTGAATGCAAACATCACGAAGAGGGTTCTGAGAATGCTTCTGTCTTCTTTTTAGAGGAAGTTATTTCCTTTACTACGGTACTCCTCAAAGAGTGCAATTATCCCCTTGCAGTTTCTACAAAAAGAGTGTTTCAAACCTGAACTATCAAAGAAAGGTTCCACACTGTGAGTTGAATGCAGACATCACGAAGAAGGTTCTGAGAATGCTTTCTGTTTAGTCAGCTGAAATTATCCCGTTTCCAACGAATTCCTCAGAGAGGTCCAAATATGCACTTGCAGATTCTGCAGAAAGTGTGTTTCTAAACTGCTACATCGCAAGGAATGCTCAGCTCTGTGAGTTCAAATCAATCATCCCAAACAATTTTCTGAGAAAGCTTCTGTCTAGATGTCATGTGAAGATATACCCGTTTCGAACGAAGGACACAGAGTGGTCCAAATATCCACTTGTAGATCCTGCAAAAAGAGTGTTTCAAACGTGAACTTTGAAAGGAAAGTTCAACTCGGGGATTTGAATGCAAACATCACAAAGAAGATTCTGAGACTGCTTCTGTATAGTTTTTATGTGAAGATGATTCCGTTTCCAACGAAACCTTCAAAGAGGTCTACATGTCCCCTTGCAGATGCCACAGAAAGAGAGTTTCAAAACTGCGCTCTCAAAAGGAGTGTTCAACTCCGTGAGTTGAATGCAGTCATCACAGAGAAGCTTCTGAGAATGCTTCTATCTAGTATTTAGGTGAAGATATTTCCTTTTCCACCACAAACCACAAAGCCCTCCAAACGTCCACTTGCAGATTCTAGAAAAAGAGTGTTTCATAGCTGCTCTTTCCAAAGGAAAGTTCAACTCTGGGAGTTGAATACAAACATCACCAAAAAGTTCCTGAGAATGCATCTGTCTAGTTTTTCTATGAAGCTATTCCCTTTACTACCATAGGCCTCAAAGCGCTCCAAATCTCCACTTGCACATTCCACAACAAGAGTGTTTCCAAACTGCTGTATCAATAGGAATGTTCAACTCTGTGAGGTGAATGCAATCATCACAAAGCAGTTTCTGAGAATGCTTCCGTTTAGTTAGGTGCAGTTATCCCGTTTCCAACGAAATCCTCAGAGAGGTCCAAATATCCACTTGTAGATTCTACAAAAAGTGTGTCTCAAACCTGCTCCATCCAAAGGAATGGTCAGCTCTGTGATTTAAACTCAATCATCACAAAGTATTTTCTGAGAATGCTTTTGTCTAGATTTTATGCGAAGATATACCCGTTTCGAACGAAGGCCACAGAGTTGTCCAAATAGCCACTTGCAGATCCTACAGAAAGAGTGTTTCAAACCTGAACTATCAAAGGAAGGTTCAACTCTGGGATTTGAATGCAAACATCACCAAGAAGTTTCTGAGAATGCTTCTGTTTAGTTTTTATGTGAAGATATTCCCGTTTCCAAAGACATCTTCGGAGAGGTCCACATATCCACTTGCAGATTCCACAAAAAGAGAGTTTCAACACTGCTCTATCCATAGGAGGGTTCAACTCTGTGAGTTGAATGCAATCATCACAGAGAAGTTTCTGAGAAGGCTTCTCTCCAGTTTTTATGTGACCATAATTCGTTTTCCACCACAGGCCTGAAAGCGCTCCAAATGTCCACTTGCAGACACTACGAAAAGCATGTTTCAGAACTACTCTATGAAAAGCAACGTGAAACTCTGGGAGTTGAACACAAACATCACAGAGAAGTTTCTGAGAATGCTTCTGTTTTAGTTCTGTGCGTTTTATCCCGTTTCCAATGAAATCCTCAGAGAGGCCCAAATATCCACTTGCAGATTCCACAGAAAGAGTGATTGGAAACTGCTGTTTGAAAAGGAACCTTCAACTCTGTGAGTTGAATGCAATCATCACAAAGAAGTTTCTGACAATGCTTCTGTTTTAGTTCTGTGCGGTTTATCCCGTTTCCAACGAAATCCTCAGAGAGGACCAAAACATCCACTTGCAGTTTCTACAAAAAGAGTGTTTCAAAGCTGCACTATCAAAGAAAGGTTCAGCACTGTGAGTTGAATGCAAACATCACGAAGAGGGCTCTGAGAATTCTTCTGTTTAGTTCTGTGCGGTTTATCCCGTTTCCAACGAAATCCTCAGAGAGGACCAAATATCCACTTGCAGTTTCTACAAGAAGAGTGTTTCAAAGCTGAACTATCAAAGAAAGGTTCAGCACTGTGAGTTGAATGCAAACATCACGAAGAGGGTTCTGAGAATGCTTCTGTCTTCTTTCTATAGGAAGTTATTTCCTTTACTACGGTAGGCCTCAAAGAAGTGCAATTATCCCCTTGCAGTTTCTACAAAAAGAGTGTTTCAAACCTGAACTATCAAAGAAAGGTTCCACACTGTGAGTTGAATGCAGACATCACGAAGAAGGTTCTGAGAATGCTTCTGTTTAGTCAGCTGAAATTATCCCGTTTCCAACGAATTCCTCAGAGAGGTCCAAATATGCACTTGCAGATTCTGCAGAAAGTGTGTTTCTAAACTGCTACATCGCAAGGAATGTTCAGCTCTGTGAGTTCCACTCAATCATCCCAAAGAATTTTCTGAGAAAGCTTCTGTCTAGATGTCGTGTGAAGATATACCCGTTTCGAACGAAGGACACAGAGTGGTCCAAATATCCACTTGTAGATCCTGCAAAAAGAGTGTTTCAAACGTGAACTTTGAAAGGAAAGTTCAACTCTGGGATTTGAATGCAAACATCACAAAGAAGATTCTGAGACTGCTTCTGTATAGTTTTTATGTGAAGATGATTCCGTTTCCAACGAAATCTTCAAAGAGGTCTACATGTCCCCTTGCAGATGCCACAGAAAGAGAGTTTCAAAACTGCGCTCTCAAAAGGAGTGTTCAACTCCGTGAGTTGAATGCAGTCATCACAGAGAAGCTTCTGAGAATGCTTCTATCTAGTATTTAGGTGAAGATATTTCCTTTTCCACCACAAACCACAAAGCCCTCCAAACGTCCACTTGCAGATTCTAGAAAAAGAGTGTTTCATAGCTGCTCTTTCCAAAGGAAAGTTCAACTCTGGGAGTTGAATACAAACATCACCAAAAAGTTCCTGAGAATGCATCTGTCTAGTTTTTCTATGAAGCTATTCCCTTTACTACCACAGGCCTCAAAGCGCTCCAAATCTCCACTTGCACATTCCACAACAAGAGTGTTTCCAAACTGCTCTATCAATAGGAATGTTCAACTCTGTGAGGTGAATGCAATCATCACAAAGCAGTTTCTGAGAATGCTTCCGTTTAGTTAGGTGCAGTTATCCCGTTTCCAACGAAATCCTCAGAGAGGTCCAAATATCCACTTGTAGATTCTACAAAAAGTGTGTCTCAAACCTGCTCCATCCAAAGGAATGGTCAGCTCTGTGATTTAAACTCAATCATCACAAAGTATTTTCTGAGAATGCTTCTGTCTAGATTTTATGCGAAGATATACCCGTTTCGAACGAAGGCCACAGAGTGGTCCAAATAGCCACTTGCAGATCCTACAGAAAGAGTGTTTCAAACCTGAACTATCAAAGGAAGGTTCAACTCTGGGATTTGAATGCAAACATCACCAAGAAGTTTCTGAGAATGCTTCTGTTTAGTTTTTATGTGAAGATATTCCCGTTTCCAAAGACATCTTCGGCGAGGTCCACATATCCACTTGCAGATTCCACAAAAACATAGTTTCAACACTGCTCTATCCATACGAGGGTTCAACTCTGTGAGTTGAATGCAATCATCGCAGAGAAGTTTCTGAGAAGGCTTCTCTCCAGTTTTTATGTGACCATAATTCGTTTTCCACCACAGGCCTGAAAGCGCTCCAAATGTCCACTTGCAGACACTACGAAAAGCATGTTTCAGAACTACTCTATGAAAAGCAACGTGAAACTCTGGGAGTTGAACACAAACATCACAGAGAAGTTTCTGAGAATGCTTCTGTTTAGCTTTTCTGTGAAGATTCTCCCTTTTCCAACGAAATCTTCAAAGAGGTTGAAATATCCCCTTGCAGATTCCACAGAAAGAGTGATTGGAAACTGCTGTTTGAAAAGGAACCTTCAACTCTGTGAGTTGAATGCAATCATCACAAAGAAGTTTCTGACAATGCTTCTATCTAGCTTCTACGGGAAGATAATTCCTTTTCCACCACAGGCCTCAAAGCCCTCCAAATGTCCACTTGCACATTCTGGAAAAAGAGTGTTTCAAAGCTTCTCTCTCGAAAGGAAAGTTCAACTCTGTGAGTTGAATGCAAGCATCACAAAGAAGTTTCTGAGAATGCTACTGTCTAGCTTTCATATGAAGCCATTTCCTTTACTACCATAGGCCTCAAAGCGGTCCATATCTCCACTTGCAGACTCTACACAAAGAGAGTTTCCAAACTGCTCTGTCAAAGGGAATGTTCAACTCTGTGACTTGAATGCAATCATCACAAAGTAGTTTCTGAGAATGCTTCTGTTTAGTTCTGTGCGGTTTATCCCGTTTCCAACGAAATCCTCAGAGAGGCCCAAATATCCACTTGCACATTCTACAAATAGTGTGTTTCGAAACTGCTCCATCCAAAGGAATGTTCAGCTCTGTGAGTTAAACTCAGTCGTCACCAAGAGTTTTCTGTGAATGCTTCTGTTTTAGTTCTGTGCGGTTTATCCCGTTTCCAACGAAATCCTCAGAGAGGTCCAAATATCTACTTGCAGTTTCTACAGAAAGATCGTTTCAAACCTGAACTATCAAAGAAAGGTTCAACACTGTGAGTTGAATGCAAACATCACGAAGAAGGTTCTGAGAATGCTTCTGTTTAGTTCTGTGCGGTTTATCCCGTTTCCAACGAAATCCTCAGAGAGGACCAAATATCCACTTGCAGTTTCTACAAAAAGAGTGTTTCAAAGCTGAACTATCAAAGAAAGGTTCAGCACCGTGAGTTGAAAGCAAACATCACGAAGAGGGTTCTGAGAATGCTTCTGTCTTCTTTCTATAGGAAGTTATTTCCTTTACTACGGTAGGCCTCAAAGAAGTGCAATTATCCCCTTGCAGTTTCTACAAAAAGAGTGTTTCAAACCTGAACTATCAAAGAAAGGTTCCACACTGTGAGTTGAATGCAGACATCACGAAGAAGGTTCTGAGAATGCTTCTGTTTAGTCAGCTGAAATTATCCCGTTTCCAACGAATTCCTCAGAGAGGTCCAAATATGCACTTGCAGATTCTGCAGAAAGTGTGTTTCTAAACTGCTCCATCGCAAGGAATGTTCAGCTCTGTGAGTTCCACTCAATCATCCCAAAGAATTTTCTGAGAAAGCTTCTGTCTAGATGTCGTGTGAAGATATACCCGTTTCGAACGAAGGACACAGAGTGGTCCAAATATCCACTTGTAGATCCTGCAAAAAGAGTGTTTCAAACGTGAACTTTGAAAGGAAAGTTCAACTCTGGGATTTGAATGCAAACATCACAAAGAAGATTCTGAGACTGCTTCTGTATAGTTTTTATGTGAAGATGATTCCGTTTCCAACGAAATCTTCAAAGAGGTCTACATGTCCCCTTGCAGATGCCACAGAAAGAGAGTTTCAAAACTGCGCTCTCAAAAGGAGTGTTCAACTCCGTGAGTTGAATGCAGTCATCACAGAGAAGCTTCTGAGAATGCTTCTATCTAGTATTTAGGTGAAGATATTTCCTTTTCCACCACAAACCACAAAGCCCTCCAAACGTCCACTTGCAGATTCTAGAAAAAGAGTGTTTCATAGCTGCTCTTTCCAAAGGAAAGTTCAACTCTGGGAGTTGAATACAAACATCACCAAAAGGTTCCTGAGAATGCATCTGTCTAGTTTTTCTATGAAGCTATTCCCTTTACTACCATAGGCCTCAAAGCGCTCCAAATCTCCACTTGCACATTCCACAACAAGAGTGTTTCCAAACTGCTCTATCAATAGGAATGTTCAACTCTGTGAGGTGAATGCAATCATCACAAAGCAGTTTCTGAGAATGCTTCCGTTTAGTTAGGTGCAGTTATCCCGTTTCCAACGAAATCCTCAGAGAGGTCCAAATATCCACTTGTAGATTCTACAAAAAGTGTGTCTCAAACCTGCTCCATCCAAAGGAATGGTCAGCTCTGTGATTTAAACTCAATCATCACAAAGTATTTTCTGAGAATGCTTCTGTCTAGATTTTATGCGAAGATATACCCGTTTCGAACGAAGGCCACAGAGTGGTCCAAATAGCCACTTGCAGATCCTACAGAAAGAGTGTTTCAAACCTGAACTATCAAAGGAAGGTTCAACTCTGGGATTTGAATGCAAACATCACCAAGAAGTTTCTGAGAATGCTTCTGTTTAGTTTTTATGTGAAGATATTCCCGTTTCCAAAGACATCTTCGGAGAGGTCCACATATCCACTTGCAGATTCCACAAAAAGAGAGTTTCAACACTGCTCTATCCATAGGAGGGTTCAACTCTGTGAGTTGAATGCAATCATCACAGAGAAGTTTCTGAGAAGGCTTCTCTCCAGTTTTTATGTGACCATAATTCGTTTTCCACCACAGGCCTGAAAGCGCTCCAAATGTCCACTTGCAGACACTACGAAAAGCATGTTTCAGAACTACTCTATGAAAAGCAACGTGAAACTCTGGGAGTTGAACACAAACATCACAGAGAAGTTTCTGAGAATGCTTCTGTTTTAGTTCTGTGCGTTTTATCCCGTTTCCAACGAAATCCTCAGAGAGGCCCAAATATCCACTTGCAGATTCCACAGAAAGAGTGATTGGAAACTGCTGTTTGAAAAGGAACCTTCAACTCTGTGAGTTGAATGCAATCATCACAAAGAAGTTTCTGACAATGCTTCTGTTTTAGTTCTGTGCGGTTTATCCCGTTTCCAACGAAATCCTCAGAGAGGACCAAACATCCACTTGCAGTTTCTACAAAAAGAGTGTTTCAAAGCTGCACTATCAAAGAAAGGTTCAGCACTGTGAGTTGAATGCAAACATCACGAAGAGGGCTCTGAGAATTCTTCTGTTTAGTTCTGTGCGGTTTATCCCGTTTCCAACGAAATCCTCAGAGAGGACCAAATATCCACTTGCAGTTTCTACAAGAAGAGTGTTTCAAAGCTGAACTATCAAAGAAAGGTTCAGCACTGTGAGTTGAATGCAAACATCACGAAGAGGGTTCTGAGAATGCTTCTGTCTTCTTTCTATAGGAAGTTATTTCCTTTACTACGGTAGGCCTCAAAGAAGTGCAATTATCCCCTTGCAGTTTCTACAAAAAGAGTGTTTCAAACCTGAACTATCAAAGAAAGGTTCCACACTGTGAGTTGAATGCAGACATCACGAAGAAGGTTCTGAGAATGCTTCTGTTTAGTCAGCTGAAATTATCCCGTTTCCAACGAATTCCTCAGAGAGGTCCAAATATGCACTTGCAGATTCTGCAGAAAGTGTGTTTCTAAACTGCTACATCGCAAGGAATGTTCAGCTCTGTGAGTTCCACTCAATCATCCCAAAGAATTTTCTGAGAAAGCTTCTGTCTAGATGTCGTGTGAAGATATACCCGTTTCGAACGAAGGACACAGAGTGGTCCAAATATCCACTTGTAGATCCTGCAAAAAGAGTGTTTCAAACGTGAACTTTGAAAGGAAAGTTCAACTCTGGGATTTGAATGCAAACATCACAAAGAAGATTCTGAGACTGCTTCTGTATAGTTTTGATGTGAAGATGATTCCGTTTCCAACGAAATCTTCAAAGAGGTCTACATGTCCCCTTGCAGATGCCACAGAAAGAGAGTTTCAAAACTGCGCTCTCAAAAGGAGTGTTCAACTCCGTGAGTTGAATGCAGTCATCACAGAGAAGCTTCTGAGAATGCTTCTATCTAGTATTTAGGTGAAGATATTTCCTTTTCCACCACAAACCACAAAGCCCTCCAAACGTACACTTGCAGATTCTAGAAAAAGAGTGTTTCATAGCTGCTCTTTCCAAAGGAAAGTTCAACTCTGGGAGTTGAATACAAACATCACCAAAAAGTTCCTGAGAATGCATCTGTCTAGTTTTTCTATGAAGCTATTCCCTTTACTACCATAGGCCTCAAAGCGCTCCAAATCTCCACTTGCACATTCCACAACAAGAGTGTTTCCAAACTGCTCTATCAATAGGAATGTTCAACTCTGTGAGGTGAATGCAATCATCACAAAGCAGTTTCTGAGAATGCTTCCGTTTAGTTAGGTGCAGTTATCCCGTTTCCAACGAAATCCTCAGAGAGGTCCAAATATCCACTTGTAGATTCTACAAAAAGTGTGTCTCAAACCTGCTCCATCCAAAGGAATGGTCAGCTCTGTGATTTAAACTCAATCATCACAAAGTATTTTCCTGAGAATGCTTCTGTCTAGATTTTATGCGAAGATATACCCGTTTCGAACGAAGGCCACAGAGTGGTCCAAATAGCCACTTGCAGATCCTACAGAAAGAGTGTTTCAAACCTGAACTATCAAAGGAAGGTTCAACTCTGGGATTTGAATGCAAACATCACCAAGAAGTTTCTGAGAATGCTTCTGTTTAGTTTTTATGTGAAGATATTCCCGTTTCCAAAGACATCTTCGGAGAGGTCCACATATCCACTTGCAGATTCCACAAAAAGAGAGTTTCAACACTGCTCTATCCATAGGAGGGTTCAACTCTGTGAGTTGAATGCAATCATCACAGAGAAGTTTCCTGAGAAGGCTTCTCTCCAGTTTTTATGTGACCATAATTCGTTTTCCACCACAGGCCTGAAAGCGCTCCAAATGTCCACTTGTAGACACTACGAAAAGCATGTTTCAGAACTACTCTATGAAAAGCAATGTGAAACTCTGGGAGTTGAACACAAACATCACAGAGAAGTTTCTGAGAATGCTTCTGTTTAGCTTTTCTGTGAAGATTATCCCGTTTCCAATGAAATCTTCAAAGAGGTCCAAATATCCACTTGCAGATTCCACAGAAAGAGTGATTGGAAACTGCTGTTTGAAAAGGAACCTTCAACTCTGTGAGTTGAATGCAATCATCACAAAGAAGTTTCTGACAATGCTTCTATCTAGCTTTTACTGGAAGATAATTCCTTTTCCACCACAGGCCTCAAAGCCCTCCAAATGTCCACTTGCAGATTCTGGAAAAAGAGTGTTTCAAAGCTTCTCTCTCGAAAGGAAAGTTCAACTCTGTGAGTTGAATGCAAGCATCACAAAGAAGTTTCTGAGAATGCTACTGTCTAGCTTTTATATGAAGCTATTTCCTTTACTACCATAGTCATCAAAGCGGTCCATATCTCCACTTGCAGATTCTACACAAAGAGAGTTTCCAAACTGCTCTGTCAAAGGGAATGTTCAACTCTGTGACTTGAATGCAATCATCACAAAGTAGTTTCTGAGAATGCTTCTGTTTAGTTCTGTGCGGTTTATCCCGTTTCCAACGAAATCCTCAGAGAGGCCTAAATATCCACTTGCACATTCTACAAATAGTGTGTTTCGAAACTGCTCCATCCAAAGGAATGTTCAGCTCTGTGAGTTAAACTCAGTCGTCACCAAGAGTTTTCTGTGAATGCTTCTGTTTTAGTTCTGTGCGGGTTATCCCGTTTCCAACGAAATCCTCAGAGAGGTCCAAATATCTACTTGCAGTTTCTACAGAAAGACCGTTTCAAACCTGAACTATCAAAGAAAGGTTCAACACTGTGAGTTGAATGCAAACATCACGAAGAAGGTTCTGAGAATGCTTCTGTTTAGTTCTGTGCAGTTTATCCCGTTTCCAACGAAATGCTCAGAGAGGACCAAATATCCACTTGCAGTTTCTACAAAAAGAGTGTTTCAAAGCTGAACTATCAAAGAAAGGTTCAGCACTGTGAGTTGAATGCAAACATCACGAAGAGGGTTCTGAGAATGCTTCTGTCTTCTTTCTATAGGAAGTTATTTCCTTTACTACGGTAGGCCTCAAAGAAGTGCAATTATCCCCTTGCAGTTTCTACAAAAAGAGTGTTTCAAACCTGAACTATCAAAGAAAGGTTCCACACTGTGAGTTGAATGCAGACATCACGAAGAAGTTCTGAGAATGCTTCTGTTTAGTCAGCTGAAATTATCCCGTTTCCAACGAATTCCTCAGAGAGGTCCAAATATGCACTTGCAGATTCTGCAGAAAGTGTGTTTCTAAACTGCTACATCGCAAGGAATGTTCAGCTCTGTGAGTTCCACTCAATCATCCCAAAGAATTTTCTGAGAAAGCTTCTGTCTAGATGTCGTGTGAAGATATACCCGTTTCGAACGAAGGACACAGAGTGGTCCAAATATCCACTTGTAGATCCTGCAAAAAGAGTGTTTCAAACGTGAACTTTGAAAGGAAAGTTCAACTCTGGGATTTGAATGCAAACATCACAAAGAAGATTCTGAGACTGCTTCTGTATAGTTTTTATGTGAAGATGATTCCGTTTCCAACGAAATCTTCAAAGAGGTCTACATGTCCCCTTGCAGATGCCACAGAAAGAGAGTTTCAAAACTGCGCTCTCAAAAGGAGTGTTCAACTCCGTGAGTTGAATGCAGTCATCACAGAGAAGCTTCTGAGAATGCTTCTATCTAGTATTTAGGTGAAGATATTTCCTTTTCCACCACAAACCACAAAGCCCTCCAAACGTCCACTTGCAGATTCTAGAAAAAGAGTGTTTCATAGCTGCTCTTTCCAAAGGAAAGTTCAACTCTGGGAGTTGAATACAAACATCACCAAAAAGTTCCTGAGAATGCATCTGTCTAGTTTTTCTATGAAGCTATTCCCTTTACTACCATAGGCCTCAAAGCGCTCCAAATCTCCACTTGCACATTCCACAACAAGAGTGTTTCCAAACTGCTCTATCAATAGGAATGTTCAACTCTGTGAGGTGAATGCAATCATCACAAAGCAGTTTCTGAGAATGCTTCCGTTTAGTTAGGTGCAGTTATCCCGTTTCCAACGAAATCCTCAGAGAGGTCCAAATATCCACTTGTAGATTCTACAAAAAGTGTGTCTCAAACCTGCTCCATCCAAAGGAATGGTCAGCTCTGTGATTTAAACTCAATCATCACAAAGTATTTTCTGAGAATGCTTCTGTCTAGATTTTATGCGAAGATATACCCGTTTCGAACGAAGGCCACAGAGTGGTCCAAATAGCCACTTGCAGATCCTACAGAAAGAGTGTTTCAAACCTGAACTATCAAAGGAAGGTTCAACTCTGGGATTTGAATGCAAACATCACCAAGAAGTTTCTGAGAATGCTTCTGTTTAGTTATTATGTGAAGATATTCCCGTTTCCAAAGACATCTTCGGAGAGGTCCACATATCCACTTGCAGATTCCACAAAAAGAGAGTTTCAACACTGCTCTATCCATAGGAGGGTTCAACTCTGTGAGTTGAATGCAATCATCACAGAGAAGTTTCTGAGAAAGCTTCTCTCCAGTTTTTAAGTGACCATAATTCGTTTTCCACCACAGGCCTGAAAGCGCTCCAAATGTCCACTTGCAGACACTACGAAAAGCATGTTTCAGAACTACTCTATGAAAAGCAACGTGAAACTCTGGGAGTTGAACACAAACATCACAGAGAAGTTTCTGAGAATGCTTCTGTTTAGCTTTTCTGTGAAGATTCTCCCGTTTCCAACGAAATCTTCAAAGAGGTCGAAATATCCACTTGCAGATTCCACAGAAAGAGTGATTGGAAACTGCTGTTTGAAAAGGAACCTTCAACTCTGTGAGTTGAATGCAATCATCACAAAGAAGTTTCTGACAATGCTTCTATCTAGCTTTTACGGGAAGATAATTCCTTTTCCACCACAGGCCTCAAAGCTCCCCAAATGTCCACTTGCACATTCTGGAAAAAGAGTGTTTCAAAGCTTCTCTCTCGAAAGGAAAGTTCAACTCTGTGAGTTGAATGCAAGCATCACAAAGACGTTTCTGAGAATGATACTGTCTAGCTTTTATATGAAGCTATTTCCTTTACTACCATAGGCCTCAAAGCGGTCCATATCTCCACTTGCAGATTCTACACAAAGAGAGTTTCCAAACTGCTCTGTCAAAGGGAATGTTCAACTCTGTGACTTGAATGCAATCATCACAAAGTAGTTTCTGAGAATGCTTCTGTTTAGTTCTGTGCGGTTTAACCCGTTTCCAACGAAATCCTCAGAGAGGCCTAAATATCCACTTGCACATTCTACAAATAGTGTGTTTCGAAACTGCTCCATCCAAAGGAATGTTCAGCTCTGTGAGTTAAACTCAGTCGTCACCAAGAGTTTTCTGTGAATGCTTCTGTTTTAGTTCTGTGCGGGTTATCCCGTTTCCAACGAAATCCTCAGAGCGGTCCAAATATCTACTTGCAGTTTCTGCAGAAAGACCGTTTCAAACCTGAACTATCAAAGAAAGGTTCAACACTGTGAGTTGAATGCAAACATCACGAAGAAGGTTCTGAGAATGCTTCTGTTTTAGTTCTGTGCGGTTTATCCCGTTTCCAACGAAATCCTCAGAGAGGACCAAACATCCACTTGCAGTTTCTACAAAAAGAGTGTTTCGAAGCTGCACTATCAAAGAAAGGTTCAGCACTGTGAGTTGAATGCAAACATCACGAAGAGGGCTCTGAGAATTCTTCTGTTTAGTTCTGTGCGGTTTATCCCGTTTCCAACGAAATCCTCAGAGAGGACCAAATATCCACTTGCAGTTTCTACAAGAAGAGTGTTTCAAAGCTGAACTATCAAAGAAAGGTTCAGCACTGTGAGTTGAATGCAAACATCACGAAGAGGGTTCTGAGAATGCTTCTGTCTTCTTTCTATAGGAAGTTATTTCCTTTACTACGGTAGGCCTCAAAGAAGTGCAATTATCCCCTTGCAGTTTCTACAAAAAGAGTGTTTCAAACCTGAACTATCAAAGAAAGGTTCCACACTGTGAGTTGAATGCAGACATCACGAAGAAGGTTCTGAGAATGCTTCTGTTTAGTCAGCTGAAATTATCCCGTTTCCAACGAATTCCTCAGAGAGGTCCAAATATGCACTTGCAGATTCTGCAGAAAGTGTGTTTCTAAACTGCTACATCGCAAGGAATGTTCAGCTCTGTGAGTTCCACTCAATCATCCCAAAGAATTTTCTGAGAAAGCTTCTGTCTAGATGTCGTGTGAAGATATACCCGTTTCGAACGAAGGACACAGAGTGGTCCAAATATCCACTTGTAGATCCTGCAAAAAGAGTGTTTCAAACGTGAACTTTGAAAGGAAAGTTCAACTCTGGGATTTGAATGCAAACATCACAAAGAAGATTCTGAGACTGCTTCTGTATAGTTTTTATGTGAAGATGATTCCGTTTCCAACGAAATCTTCAAAGAGGTCTACATGTCCCCTTGCAGATGCCACAGAAAGAGAGTTTCAAAACTACGCTCTCAAAAGGAGTGTTCAACTCCGTGAGTTGAATGCAGTCATCACAGAGAAGCTTCTGAGAATGCTTCTATCTAGTATTTAGGTGAAGATATTTCCTTTTCCACCACAAACCACAAAGCCCTCCAAACGTCCACTTGCAGATTCTAGAAAAAGAGTGTTTCATAGCTGCTCTTTCCAAAGGAAAGTTCAACTCTGGGAGTTGAATACAAACATCACCAAAAAGTTCCTGAGAATGCATCTGTCTAGTTTTTCTATGAAGCTATTCCCTTTACTACCACAGGCCTCAAAGCGCTCCAAATCTCCACTTGCACATTCCACAACAAGAGTGTTTCCAAACTGCTCTATCAATAGGAATGTTCAACTCTGTGAGGTGAATGCAATCATCACAAAGCAGTTTCTGAGAATGCTTCCGTTTAGTTAGGTGCAGTTATCCCGTTTCCAACGAAATCCTCAGAGAGGTCCAAATATCCACTTGTAGATTCTACAAAAAGTGTGTCTCAAACCTGCTCCATCCAAAGGAATGGTCAGCTCTGTGATTTAAACTCAATCATCACAAAGTATTTTCTGAGAATGCTTCTGTCTAGATTTTATGCGAAGATATACCCGTTTCGAACGAAGGCCACAGAGTGGTCCAAATAGCCACTTGCAGATCCTACAGAAAGAGTGTTTCAAACCTGAACTATCAAAGGAAGGTTCAACTCTGGGATTTGAATGCAAACATCACCAAGAAGTTTCTGAGAATGCTTCTGTTTAGTTTTTATGTGAAGATATTCCCGTTTCCAAAGACATCTTCGGAGAGGTCCACATATCCACTTGCAGATTCCACAAAAAGAGAGTTTCAACACTGCTCTATCCATAGGAGGGTTCAACTCTGTGAGTTGAATGCAATCATCACAGAGAAGTTTCTGAGAAGGCTTCTCTCCAGTTTTTATGTGACCATAATTCGTTTTCCACCACAGGCCTGAAAGCGCTCCAAATGTCCACTTGCAGACACTACGAAAAGCATGTTTCAGAACTACTCTATGAAAAGCAACGTGAAACTCTGGGAGTTGAACACAAACATCACAGAGAAGTTTCTGAGAATGCTTTCTGTTTTAGTTCTGTGCGTTTTATCCCGTTTCCAACGAAATCCTCAGAGAGGCCCAAATATCCACTTGCAGATTCCACAGAAAGAGTGATTGGAAACTGCTGTTTGAAAAGGAACCTTCAACTCTGTGAGTTGAATGCAATCATCACAAAGAAGTTTCTGACAATGCTTCTATCTAGCTTTTACGGGAAGATAATTCCTTTTCCTCCACAGGCCTCAAAGCTCCCCAAATGTCCACTTGCACATTCTGGAAAAAGAGTGTTTCAAAGCTTCTCTCTCGAAAGGAAAGTTCAACTCTGTGAGTTGAATGCAAGCATCACAAAGAAGTTTCTGAGAATGCTACTGTCTAGCTTTTATATGAAGCTATTTCCTTTACTACCATAGGCCTCAAAGCGGTCCATATCTCCACTTGCAGATTCTACACAAAGAGAGTTTCCAAACTGCTCTGTCAAAGGGAATGTTCAACTCTGTGACTTGAATGCAATAATCACAAAGTAGTTTCTGAGAATGCTTCTGTTTTAGTTCTGTGCGTTTTATCCCGTTTCCAACGAAATCCTCAGAGAGGCCCAAATATCCACTTGCAGATTCTACAAATAGTGTGTTTCGAAACTGCTCCATCCAAAGGAATGTTCAGCTCTGTGAGTTAAACTCAGTCGTCACCAAGAGTTTTCTGTGAATGCTTCTGTTTTAGTTCTGTGCGGTTTATCCCGTTTCCAACGAAATCCTCAGAGAGGACCAAATATCCACTTGCAGTTTCTACAAAAAGAGTGTTTCAAAGCTGCACTATCAAAGAAAGGTTCAGCACTGTGAGTTGAATGCAAACATCACGAAGAGGGCTCTGAGAATTCTTCTGTTTAGTTCTGTGCGGTTTATCCCGTTTCCAACGAAATCCTCAGAGAGGACCAAATATCCACTTGCAGTTTCTACAAGAAGAGTGTTTCAAAGCTGAACTATCAAAGAAAGGTTCAGCACTGTGAGTTGAATGCAAACATCACGAAGAGGGTTCTGAGAATGCTTCTGTCTTCTTTCTATAGGAAGTTATTTCCTTTACTACGGTAGGCCTCAAAGAAGTGCAATTATCCCCTTGCAGTTTCTACAAAAAGAGTGTTTCAAACCTGAACTATCAAAGAAAGGTTCCACACTGTGAGTTGAATGCAGACATCACGAAGAAGGTTCTGAGAATGCTTCTGTTTAGTCAGCTGAAATTATCCCGTTTCCAACGAATTCCTCAGAGAGGTCCAAATATGCACTTGCAGATTCTGCAGAAAGTGTGTTTCTAAACTGCTACATCGCAAGGAATGTTCAGCTCTGTGAGTTCCACTCAATCATCCCAAAGAATTTTCTGAGAAAGCTTCTGTCTAGATGTCGTGTGAAGATATACCCGTTTCGAACGAAGGACACAGAGTGGTCCAAATATCCACTTGTAGATCCTGCAAAAAGAGTGTTTCAAACGTGAACTTTGAAAGGAAAGTTCAACTCTGGGATTTGAATGCAAACATCACAAAGAAGATTCTGAGACTGCTTCTGTATAGTTTTTATGTGAAGATGATTCCGTTTCCAACGAAATCTTCAAAGAGGTCTACATGTCCCCTTGCAGATGCCACAGAAAGAGAGTTTCAAAACTGCGCTCTCAAAAGGAGTGTTCAACTCCGTGAGTTGAATGCAGTCATCACAGAGAAGCTTCTGAGAATGCTTCTATCTAGTATTTAGGTGAAGATATTTCCTTTTCCACCACAAACCACAAAGCCCTCCAAACGTCCACTTGCAGATTCTAGAAAAAGAGTGTTTCATAGCTGCTCTTTCCAAAGGAAAGTTCAACTCTGGGAGTTGAATACAAACATCACCAAAAAGTTCCTGAGAATGCATCTGTCTAGTTTTTCTATGAAGCTATTCCCTTTACTACCATAGGCCTCAAAGCGCTCCAAATCTCCACTTGCACATTCCACAACAAGAGTGTTTCCAAACTGCTCTATCAATAGGAATGTTCAACTCTGTGAGGTGAATGCAATCATCACAAAGCAGTTTCTGAGAATGCTTCCGTTTAGTTAGGTGCAGTTATCCCGTTTCCAACGAAATCCTCAGAGAGGTCCAAATATCCACTTGTAGATTCTACAAAAAGTGTGTCTCAAACCTGCTCCATCCAAAGGAATGTTCAGCTCTGTGAGTTAAACTCAATCATCACAAAGTATTTTCTGAGAATGCTTCTGTCTAGATTTTATGCGAAGATATACCCGTTTCGAACGAAGGCCACAGAGTGGTCCAAATAGCCACTTGCAGATCCTACAAAAAGAGTGTTTCAAACCTGAACTATCAAAGGAAGGTTCAACTCTGGGATTTGAATGCAAACATCACCAAGAAGTTTCTGAGAATGCTTCTGTTTAGTTTTTATGTGAAGATATTCCCGTTTCCAAAGACATCTTCGGAGAGGTCCACATATCCACTTGCAGATTCCACAAAAAGAGAGTTTGAACACTGCTCTATCCATAGGAGGGTTCAACTCTGTGAGTTGAATGCAATCATCACAGAGAAGTTTCTGAGAAGGCTTCTCTCCAGTTTTTATGTGACCATAATTCGTTTTCCACCACAGGCCTGAAAGCGCTCCAAATGTCCACTTGCAGACACTACGAAAAGCATGTTTCAGAACTACTCTATGAAAAGCAACGTGAAACTCTGGGAGTTGAACACAAACATCACAGAGAAGTTTCTGAGAATGCTTCTGTTTAGCTTTTCTGTGAAGATTCTCCCGTTTCCAACGAAATCTTCAAAGAGGTCGAAATATCCACTTGCAGATTCCACAGAAAGAGTGATTGGAAACTGCTGTTTGAAAAGGAACCTTCAACTCTGTGAGTTGAATGCAATCATCACAAAGAAGTTTCTGACAATGCTTCTATCTAGCTTTTACGGGAAGATAATTCCTTTTCCACCACAGGCCTCAAAGCTCCCCAAATGTCCACTTGCACATTCTGGAAAAAGAGTGTTTCAAAGCTTCTCTCTCGAAAGGAAAGTTCAACTCTGTGAGTTGAATGCAAGCATCACAAAGAAGTTTCTGAGAATGCTACTGTCTCGCTTTTATATGAAGCTATTTCCTTTACTACCATAGGCCTCAAAGCGGTCCATATCTCCACTTGCAGATTCTACACAAAGAGAGTTTCCAAACTGCTCTGTCAAAGGGAATGTTCAACTCTGTGACTTGAATGCAATCATCACAAAGTAGTTTCTGAGAATGCTTCTGTTTTAGTTCTGTGCGTTTTATCCCGTTTCCAACGAAATCCTCAGAGAGGCCCAAATATCCACTTGCAGATTCTACAAATAGTGTGTTTCGAAACTGCTCCATCCAAAGGAATGTTCAGCTCTGTGAGTTAAACTCAGTCGTCACCAAGAGTTTTCTGTGAATGCTTCTGTTTTAGTTCTGTGCGGTTTATCCCGTTTCCAACGAAATCCTCAGAGAGGACCAAATATCCACTTGCAGTTTCTACAAAAAGAGTGTTTCAAAGCTGCACTATCAAAGAAAGGTTCAGCACTGTGAGTTGAATGCAAACACCACGAAGAGGGCTCTGAGAATTCTTCTGTTTAGTTCTGTGCGGTTTATCCCGTTTCCAACGAAATCCTCAGAGAGGACCAAATATCCACTTGCAGTTTCTACAAGAAGAGTGTTTCAAAGCTGAACTATCAAAGAAAGGTTCAGCACTGTGAGTTGAATGCAAACATCACGAAGAGGGTTCTGAGAATGCTTCTGTCTTCTTTCTATAGGAAGTTATTTCCTTTACTACGGTAGGCCTCAAAGAAGTGCAATTATCCCCTTGCAGTTTCTACAAAAAGAGTGTTTCAAACCTGAACTATCAAAGAAAGGTTCCACACTGTGAGTTGAATGCAGACATCACGAAGAAGGGTGTCTGAGAATGCTTCTGTTTAGTCAGCTGAAATTATCCCGTTTCCAACGAATTCCTCAGAGAGGTCCAAATATGCACTTGCAGATTCTGCAGAAAGTGTGTTTCTAAACTGCTACATCGCAAGGAATGTTCAGCTCTGTGAGTTCCACTCAATCATCCCAAAGAATTTTCTGAGAAAGCTTCTGTCTAGATGTCATGTGAAGATATACCCGTTTCGAACGAAGGACACAGAGTGGTCCAAATATCCACTTGTAGATCCTGCAAAAAGAGTGCTTCAAACGTGAACTTTGAAAGGAAAGTTCAACTCTGGGATTTGAATGCAAACATCACAAAGAAGATTCTGAGACTGCTTCTGTATAGTTTTTATGTGAAGATGATTCCGTTTCCAACGAAATCTTCAAAGAGGTCTACATGTCCCCTTGCAGATGCCACAGAAAGAGAGTTTCAAAACTGCGCTCTCAAAAGGAGTGTTCAACTCCGTGAGTTGAATGCAGTCATCACAGAGAAGCTTCTGAGAATGCTTCTATCTAGTATTTAGGTGAAGATATTTCCTTTTCCACCACAAACCACAAAGCCCTCCAAACGTCCACTTGCAGATTCTAGAAAAAGAGTGTTTCATAGCTGCTCTTTCCAAAGGAAAGTTCAACTCTGGGAGTTGAATACAAACATCACCAAAAAGTTCCTGAGAATGCATCTGTCTAGTTTTTCTATGAAGCTATTCCCTTTACGACCATAGGCCTCAAAGCGCTCCAAATCTCCACTTGCACATTCAACAACAAGAGTGTTTCCAAACTGCTCTATCAATAGGAATGTTCAACTCTGTGAGGTGAATGCAATCATCACAAAGCAGTTTCTGGGAATGCTTCCGTTTAGTTAGGTGCAGTTATCCCGTTTCCAACGAAATCCTCAGAGAGGTCCAAATATCCACTTGTAGATTCTACAAAAAGTGTGTCTCAAACCTGCTCCATCCAAAGGAATGTTCAGCTCTGTGAGTTCAACTCAATCATCACAAAGTATTTTCTGAGAATGCTTCTGTCTACATATTATGCGAAGATGTACCCGTTTTGAACGAAGGCCACAGTGTGGTCCAAATATCCACTTGCAGATCCTACAAAAAGAGTGTTTCAAACCTGAACTATCAAAGGAAGGTTCAACTCTGGGATTTGAATGCAAACATCACCAAGAAGTTTCTGAGAATGCTTCTGTTTAGTTTTTATGTGAAGATATTCCCGTTTCCAAAGACATCTTCGGAGAGGTCCACATATCCACTTGCAGATTCCACAAAAACAGAGTTTCAACACTGCTCTATCCATAGGAGGGTTCAACTCTGTGAGTTGAATGCAATCATCACAGAGAAGTTTCTGAGAAGGCTTCTCTCCAGTTTTTATGTGACCATAATTCGTTTTCCACCACAGGCCTGAAAGCGCTCCAAATGTCCACTTGCAGACACTACGAAAAGCATGTTTCAGAACTACTCTATGAAAAGCAACGTGAAACTCTGGGAGTTGAACACAAACATCACAGAGAAGTTTCTGAGAATGCTTCTGTTTAGCTTTTCTGTGAAGGTTATCCCGTTTCCAACGAAATCTTCAAAGAGGTCCAAATATCCACTTGCAGATTCCACAGAAATAGTGTTTGGAAACTGCTGTTTGAAAAGGAACCTTCAACTCTGTGAGTTGAATGCAATCATCTCAAAGAAGTTTCTGACAATGCTTCTATCCAGCTTTTACGGGAAGATAATTCCTTTTCCACCACAGGCCTCAAAGCCCTCCAAATGTCCACTTGCAGATTCTGGAAAAAGAGTGTTTCAAAGCTTCTCTCTCGAAAGGAAAGTTCAACTCTGTGAGTTGAATGCAAGCATCACAAAGAAGTTTCTGAGAATGCTACTGTCTAGCTTTTCTATGAAGCTATTTCCTTTACTACCATAGTCCTCAAAGCATTCCATATCTCCACTTGCAGATTCTACAGAAAGAGAGTTTCCAAACTGCTCTGTCAAAGGGAATGTTCAGCTCTGTGACTTGAATGCAATCATCACAAAGTAGTTTCTGAGAATGCTTCTGTTTAGTTCTGTGCGGTTTACCCCGTTTCCAACGAAATCCTCAGAGAGGCCTAAATATCCACTTGCACATTCTACAAATAGTGTGTTTCGAAACTGCTCCATCCAAAGGAATGTTCAGCTCTGTGAGTTAAACTCAGTCGTCACCAAGAGTTTTCTGTGAATGCTTCTGTTTTAGTTCTGTGCGGGTTATCCCGTTTCCAACGAAATCCTCAGAGAGGTCCAAATATCTACTTGCAGTTTCTACAGAAAGACCGTTTCAAACCTGAACTATCAAAGAAAGGTTCAACACTGTGAGTTGAATGCAAACATCACGAAGAAGGTTCTGAGAATGCTTCTGTTTAGTTCTGTGCAGTTTATCCCGTTTCCAACGAAATGCTCAGAGAGGACCAAATATCCACTTGCAGTTTCTACAAAAAGAGTGTTTCAAAGCTGAACTATCAAAGAAAGGTTCAGCACTGTGAGTTGAATGCAAACATCACGAAGAGGGTTCTGAGAATGCTTCTGTCTTCTTTTTATAGGAAGTTATTTCCTTTACTACGGTACTCCTCAAAGAGTGCAATTATCCCCTTGCAGTTTCTACAGAAAGAGTGTTTCAAACCTGAACTATCAAAGAAAGGTTCCACACTGTGAGTTGAATGCAGACATCACGAAGAAGGTTCTGAGAATGCTTCTGTTTAGTCAGCTGAAATTATCCCGTTTCCAACGAATTCCTCACAGAGGTCCAAATATGCACTTGCAGATTCTGCAGAAAGTGTGTTTCTAAACTGCTACATCGCAAGGAATGCTCAGCTCTGTGAGTTCAACTCAATCATCCCAAAGAATTTTCTGAGAAAGCTTCTGTCTAGATGTCATGTGAAGATATACCCGTTTCGAACGAAGGACACAGAGTGGTCCAAATATCCACTTGTAGATCCTGCAAAAAGAGTGTTTCAAACGTGAACTTTGAAAGGAAAGTTCAACTCGGGGATTTGAATGCAAACATCACAAAGAAGATTCTGAGACTGCTTCTGTGTAGTTTTTATGTGAAGATGATTCCGTTTCCAACGAAATCTTCAAAGAGGTCTACATGTCCCCTTGCAGATGCCACAGAAAGAGAGTTTCAAAACTGCGCTCTCAAAAGGAGTGTTCAACTCCGTGAGTTGAATGCAGTCATCACAGAGAAGCTTCTGAGGATGCTTCTATCTAGTATTTAGGTGAAGATATTTCCTTTTCCACCACAAACCACAAAGCCCTCCAAACGTCCACTTGCAGATTCTAGAAAAAGAGTGTTTCATAGCTGCTCTTTCCAAAGGAAAGTTCAACTCTGGGAGTTGAATACAAACATCACCAAAAAGTTCCTGAGAATGCATCTGTCTAGTTTTTCTATGAAGCTATTCCCTTTACTACCACAGGCCTCAAAGCGCTCCAAATCTCCACTTGCACATTCCGCAACAAGAGTGTTTCCAAACTGCTCTATCAATAGGAATGTTCAACTCTGTGAGGTGAATGCAATCATCACAAAGCAGTTTCTGAGAATGCTTCCGTTTAGTTAGGTGCAGTTATCCCGTTTCCAACGAAATCCTCAGAGAGGTCCAAATATCCACTTGTAGATTCTACAAAAAGTGTGTCTCAAACCTGCTCCATCCAAAGGAATGGTCAGCTCTGTGATTTAAACTCAATCATCACAAAGTATTTTCTGAGAATGCTTCTGTCTAGATTTTATGCGAAGATATACCCGTTTCGAACGAAGGCCACAGAGTGGTCCAAATAGCCACTTGCAGATCCTACAGAAAGAGTGTTTCAAACCTGAACTATCAAAGGAAGGTTCAACTCTGGGATTTGAATGCAAACATCACCAAGAAGTTTCTGAGAATGCTTCTGTTTAGTTTTTATGTGAAGATATTCCCGTTTCCAAAGACATCTTCGGAGAGGTCCACATATCCACTTGCAGATTCCACAAAAAGAGAGTTTCAACACTGCTCTATCCATAGGAGGGTTCAACTCTGTGAGTTGAATGCAATCATCACAGAGAAGTTTCTGAGAAGGCTTCTCTCCAGTTTTTATGTGACCATAATTCGTTTTCCACCACAGGCCTGAAAGCGCTCCAAATGTCCACTTGCAGACACTACGAAAAGCATGTTTCAGAACTACTCTATGAAAAGCAACGTGAAACTCTGGGAGTTGAACACAAACATCACAGAGAAGTTTCTGAGAATGCTTCTGTTTTAGTTCTGTGCGTTTTATCCCGTTTCCAACGAAATCCTCAGAGAGGCCCAAATATCCACTTGCAGATTCCACAGAAAGAGTGATTGGAAACTGCTGTTTGAAAAGGAACCTTCAACTCTGTGAGTTGAATGCAATCATCACAAAGAAGTTTCTGACAATGCTTCTGTTTTAGTTCTGTGCGGTTTATCCCGTTTCCAACGAAATCCTCAGAGAGGACCAAACATCCACTTGCAGTTTCTACAAAAAGAGTGTTTCAAAGCTGCACTATCAAAGAAAGGTTCAGCACTGTGAGTTGAATGCAAACATCACGAAGAGGGCTCTGAGAATTCTTCTGTTTAGTTCTGTGCGGTTTATCCCGTTTCCAACGAAATCCTCAGAGAGGACCAAATATCCACTTGCAGTTTCTACAAGAAGAGTGTTTCAAAGCTGAACTATCAAAGAAAGGTTCAGCACTGTGAGTTGAATGCAAACATCACGAAGAGGGTTCTGAGAATGCTTCTGTCTTCTTTCTATAGGAAGTTATTTCCTTTACTACGGTAGGCCTCAAAGAAGTGCAATTATCCCCTTGCAGTTTCTACAAAAAGAGTGTTTCAAACCTGAACTATCAAAGAAAGGTTCCACACTGTGAGTTGAATGCAGACAGCACGAAGAAGGTTCTGAGAATGCTTCTGTTTAGTCAGCTGAAATTATCCCGTTTCCAACGAATTCCTCAGAGAGGTCCAAATATGCACTTGCAGATTCTGCAGAAAGTGTGTTTCTAAACTGCTACATCGCAAGGAATGTTCAGCTCTGTGAGTTCCACTCAATCATCCCAAAGAATTTTCTGAGAAAGCTTCTGTCTAGATGTCGTGTGAAGATATACCCGTTTCGAACGAAGGACACAGAGTGGTCCAAATATCCACTTGTAGATCCTGCAAAAAGAGTGTTTCAAACGTGAACTTTGAAAGGAAAGTTCAACTCTGGGATTTGAATGCAAACATCACAAAGAAGATTCTGAGACTGCTCTGTATAGTTTTTATGTGAAGATGATTCCGTTTCCAACGAAATCTTCAAAGAGGTCTACATGTCCCCTTGCAGATGCCACAGAAAGAGAGTTTCAAAACTGCGCTCTCAAAAGGAGTGTTCAACTCCGTGAGTTGAATGCAGTCATCACAGAGAAGCTTCTGAGAATGCTTTCTATCTAGTATTTAGGTGAAGATATTTCCTTTTCCACCACAAACCACAAAGCCCTCCAAACGTCCACTTGCAGATTCTAGAAAAAGAGTGTTTCATAGCTGCTCTTTCCAAAGGAAAGTTCAACTCTGGGAGTTGAATACAAACATCACCAAAAAGTTCCTGAGAATGCATCTGTCTAGTTTTTCTATGAAGCTATTCCCTTTACTACCATAGGCCTCAAAGCGCTCCAAATCTCCACTTGCACATTCCACAACAAGAGTGTTTCCAAACTGCTCTATCAATAGGAATGTTCAACTCTGTGAGGTGAATGCAATCATCACAAAGCAGTTTGCTGAGAATGCTTCCGTTTAGTTAGGTGCAGTTATCCCGTTTCCAACGAAATCCTCAGAGAGGTCCAAATATCCACTTGTAGATTCTACAAAAAGTGTGTCTCAAACCTGCTCCATCCAAAGGAATGTTCAGCTCTGTGAGTTAAACTCAATCATCACAAAGTATTTTCTGAGAATGCTTCTGTCTAGATTTTATGCGAAGATATACCCGTTTCGAACGAAGGCCACAGAGTTGTCCAAATAGCCACTTGCAGATCCTACAAAAAGAGTGTTTCAAACCTGAACTTTCAAAGGAAGGTTCAACTCTGGGATTTGAATGCAAACATCACCAAGAAGTTTCTGAGAATGCTTCTGTTTAGTTTTTATGTGAAGATATTCCCGTTTCCAAAGACATCTTCGGAGAGGTCCACATATCCACTTGCAGATTCCACAAAAAGAGAGTTTCAACACTGCTCTATCCATAGGAGGGTTCAACTCTGTGAGTTGAATGCAATCATCACAGAGAAGTTTCTGAGAAGGCTTCTCTCCAGTTTTTATGTGACCATAATTCGTTTTCCACCACAGGCCTGAAAGCGCTCCAAATGTCCACTTGCAGACACTACGAAAAGCATGCTTCAGAACTACTCTATGAAAAGCAACGTGAAACTCTGGGAGTTGAACACAAACATCACAGAGAAGTTTCTGAGAATGCTTCTGTTTTATTTCTGTGCGTTTTATCCCGTTTCCAACGAAATCCTCAGAGAGGCCCAAATATCCACTTGCAGATTCCACAGAAAGAGTGATTGGAAACTGCTGTTTGAAAAGGAACCTTCAACTCTGTGAGTTGAATGCAATCATCACAAAGAAGTTTCTGACAATGCTTCTGTTTTAGTTCTGTGCGGTTTATCCCGTTTCCAACGAAATCCTCAGAGAGGACCAAACATCCACTTGCAGTTTCTACAAAAAGAGTGTTTCAAAGCTGCACTATCAAAGAAAGGTTCAGCACTGTGAGTTGAATGCAAACATCACGAAGAGGGCTCTGAGAATTCTTCTGTCTTCTTTCTATAGGAAGTTATTTCCTTTACTACGGTAGGCCTCAAAGAAGTGCAATTATCCCCTTGCAGTTTCTACAAAAAGAGTGTTTCAAACCTGAACTATCAAAGGAAGGTTCAGCACTGTGAGTTGAATGCAAACATCACGAAGAGGGTTCTGAGAATGCTTCTGTTTAGTCAGCTGAAATTATCCCGTTTCCAACGAATTCCTCAGAGAGGTCCAAATATGCACTTGCAGATTCTGCAGAAAGTGTGTTTCTAAACTGCTACATCGCAAGGAATGTTCAGCTCTGTGAGTTCCACTCAATCATCCCAAAGAATTTTCTGAGAAAGCTTCTGTCTAGATGTCATGTGAAGATATACCCGTTTCGAACGAAGGACACAGAGTGGTCCAAATATCCACTTGTAGATCCTGCAAAAAGAGTGTTTCAAACGTGAACTTGGAAAGGAAAGTTCAACTCAGGGATTTGAATGCAAACATCACAAAGAAGATTCTGAGACTGCTTCTGTATAGTTTTTATGTGAAGATGATTCCGTTTCCAACGAAATCTTCAAAGAGGTCTACATGTCCCCTTGCAGATGCCACAGAAAGAGAGTTCCAAAACTGCGCTCTCAAAAGGAGTGTTCAACTCCGTGAGTTGAATGCAGTCATCACAGAGAAGCTTCTGAGAATGCTTCTATCTAGTATTTAGGTGAAGATATTTCCTTTTCCACCACAAACCACAAAGCCCTCCAAACGTCCACTTGCAGATTCTAGAAAAAGAGTGTTTCATAGCTGCTCTTTCCAAAGGAAAGTTCAACTCTGGGAGTTGAATACAAACATCACCAAAAAGTTCCTGAGAATGCATCTGTCTAGTTTTTCTATGAAGCTATTCCCTTTACTACCATAGGCCTCAAAGCGCTCCAAATCTCCACTTACACATTCCACAACAAGAGTGTTTCCAAACTGCTCTATCAATAGGAATGTTCAACTCTGTGAGGTGAATGCAATCATCACAAAGCAGTTTCTGAGAATGCTTCCGTTTAGTTAGGTGCAGTTATCCCGTTTCCAACGAAATCCTCAGAGAGGTCCAAATATCCACTTGTAGATTCTACAAAAAGTGTGTCTCAAACCTGCTCCATCCAAAGGAATGTTCAGCTCTGTGAGTTAAACTCAATCATCACAAAGTATTTTCTGAGAATGCTTCTGTCTAGATTTTATGCGAAGATGTACCCGTTTCGAACGAAGGCCACAGAGTGGTCCAAATATCCACTTGCAGATCCTACAAAAAGAGTGTTTCAAACCTGAACTATCAAAGGAAGCTTCAACTCTGGGATTTGAATGTAAACATCACCAAGAAGTTTCTGAGAATGCTGCTGTTTAGTTTTTATGTGAAGATATTCCCGTTTCCAAAGACATCTTCGGAGAGGTCCACATATCCACTTGCAGATTCCACAAAACAGAGTTTCAACACTGCTCTATCCATAGGAGGGTTCAACTCTGTGAGTTGAATGCAATCATCACAGAGAAGTTTCTGAGAAGGCTTCTCTCCAGTTTTTCTGTGACCATAATTCGTTTTCCACCACAGGCCTGAAAGCGCTCCAAATGTCCACTTGCAGACACTACGAAAAGCATGTTTCAGAACTACTCTATGAAAAGCAATGTGAAACTCTGGGAGTTGAACACAAACATCACAGAGAAGTTTCTGAGAATGCTTCTGTTTAGCTTTTCTGTGAAGATTCTCCCGTTTCCAACGAAATCTTCAAAGAGGTCGAAATATCCACTTGCAGATTCCACAGAAAGAGTGATTGGAAACTGCTGTTTGAAAAGGAACCTTCAACTCTGTGAGTTGAATGCAATCATCACAAAGAAGTTTCTGACAATGCTTCTATCTAGCTTTTACGGGAAGATAATTCCTTTTCCTCCACAGGCCTCAAAGCTCCCCAAATGTCCACTTGCACATTCTGGAAAAAGAGTGTTTCAAAGCTTCTCTCTCGAAAGGAAAGTTCAACTCTGTGAGTTGAATGCAAGCATCACAAAGAAGTTTCTGAGAATGCTACTGTCTAGCTTTTATATGAAGCTATTTCCTTTACTACCATAGGCCTCAAAGCGGTCCATATCTCCACTTGCAGATTCTACACAAAGAGAGTTTCCAAACTGCTCTGTCAAAGGGAATGTTCAACTCTGTGACTTGAATGCAATAATCACAAAGTAGTTTCTGAGAATGCTTCTGTTTTAGTTCTGTGCGTTTTATCCCGTTTCCAACGAAATCCTCAGAGAGGCCCAAATATCCACTTTCAGATTCTACAAATAGTGTGTTTCGAAACTGCTCCATCCAAAGGAATGTTCAGCTCTGTGAGTTAAACTCAGTCGTCACCAAGAGTTTTCTGTGAATGCTTCTGTTTTAGTTCTGTGCGGTTTATCCCGTTTCCAACGAAATCCTCAGAGAGGACCAAACATCCACTTGCAGTTTCTACAAAAAGAGTGTTTCAAAGCTGCACTATCAAAGAAAGGTTCAGCACTGTGAGTTGAATGCAAACATCACGAAGAGGGCTCTGAGAATTCTTCTGTTTAGTTCTGTGCGGTTTATCCCGTTTCCAACGAAATCCTCAGAGAGGACCAAATATCCACTTGCAGTTTCTACAAGAAGAGTGTTTCAAAGCTGAACTATCAAAGAAAGGTTCAGCACTGTGAGTTGAATGCAAACATCACGAAGAGGGTTCTGAGAATGCTTCTGTCTTCTTTCTATAGGAAGTTATTTCCTTTACTACGGTAGGCCTCATAGAAGTGCAATTATCCCCTTGCAGTTTCTACAAAAAGAGTGTCTCAAACCTGAACTATCAAAGAAAGGTTCCACACTGTGAGTTGAATGCAGACATCACGAAGAAGGTTCTGAGAATGCTTCTGTTTAGTCAGCTGAAATTATCCCATTTCCGACGAATTCCTCAGAGAGGTCCAAATATGCACTTGCAGATTCTGCAGAAAGTGTGTTTCTAAACTGCTACATCGCAAGGAATGTTCAGCTCTGTGAGTTCCACTCAATCATCCCAAAGAATTTTCTGAGAAAGCTTCTGTCTAGATGTCATGTGAAGATATACCCGTTTCGAACGAAGGACACAGAGTGGTCCAAATATCCACTTGTAGATCCTGCAAAAAGAGTGTTTCAAACGTGAACTTTGAAAGGAAAGTTCAACTCTGGGATTTGAATGCAAACATCACAAAGAAGATTCTGAGACTGCTTCTGTATAGTTTTGATGTGAAGATGATTCCGTTTCCAACGAAATCTTCAAAGAGGTCTACATGTCCCCTTGCAGATGCCACAGAAAGAGAGTTTCAAAACTGCGCTCTCAAAAGGAGTGTTCAACTCCGTGAGTTGAATGCAGTCATCACAGAGAAGCTTCTGAGAATGCTTCTATCTAGTATTTAGGTGAAGATATTTCCTTTTCCACCACAAACCACAAAGCCCTCCAAACGTCCACTTGCAGATTCTAGAAAAAGAGTGTTTCATAGCTGCTCTTTCCAAAGGAAAGTTCAACTCTGGGAGTTGAATACAAACATCACAAAAAAGTTCCTGAGAATGCATCTGTCTAGTTTTTCTATGAAGCTATTCCCTTTACTACCACAGGCCTCAAAGCGCTCCAAATCTCCACTTGCACATTCCACAACAAGAGTGTTTCCAAACTGCTCTATCAATAGGAATGTTCAACTCCTGTGAGGTGAATGCAATCATCACAAAGCAGTTTCTGAGAATGCTTTCCGTTTAGTTAGGTGCAGTTATCCCGTTTCCAACGAAATCCTCAGAGAGGTCCAAATATCCACTTGTAGATTCTACAAAAAGTGTGTCTCAAACCTGCTCCATCCAAAGGAATGGTCAGCTCTGTGATTTAAACTCAATCATCACAAAGTATTTTCTGAGAATGCTTCTGTCTAGATTTTATGCGAAGTATATACCCGTTTCGAACGAAGGCCACAGAGTGGTCCAAATAGCCACTTGCAGATCCTACAAAAAGAGTGTTTCAAACCTGAACTATCAAAGGAAGGTTCAACTCTGGGATTTGAATGCAAACATCACCAAGAAGTTTCTGAGAATGCTTCTCTCCAGTTTTTATGTGACCATAATTCGTTTTCCACCACAGGCCTGAAAGCGCTCCAAATGTCCACTTGCAGACACTACGAAAAGCATGTTTCAGAACTACTCTATGAGAAGCAATGTGAAACTCTGGGAGTTGAACACAAACATCACAGAGAAGTTTCTGAGAATGTTTCTGTTTAGCTTTTCTGTGAAGATTCTCCCGTTTCCAACGAAATCTTCAAAGAGGTCCAAATATCCACTTGCAGATTCCACAGAAAGAGTGATTGGAAACTGCTCTTTGAAAAGGAACCTTCAACTCTGTGACTTGAATGCAATCATCACAAAGAAGTTTCTGACAATGCTTCTATCTAGCTTTTATGGGAAGATAATTCCTTTTCCACCACAGGCCTCAAAGCCCTCCAAATGTCCACTTGCAGATTCTGGAAAAAGAGTGTTTCAAAGCTTCTCTCTCGAAAGGAAAGTTCAACTCTGTGAGTTGAATGCAAGCATCACAAAGAAGTTTCTCAGAATGCTACTGTCTAGCTTTTATATGAAGCTATTTCCTTTACTACCATAGGCCTCAAAGCGGTCCATATCTCCACTTGCAGATTCTACACAAAGAGAGTTTCCAAACTGCTCTGTCAAAGGGAATGTTCAACTCTGTGACTTGAATGCAATCATCACAAAGTAGTTTCTGAGAATGCTTCTGTTTAGTTCTGTGCGGTTTATCCCGTTTCCAACGAAATCCTCAGAGAGGCCCAAATATCCACTTGCACATTCTACAAATAGTGTGTTTCGAAACTGCTCCATCCAAAGGAATGTTCAGCTCTGTGAGTTAAACTCAGTCGTCACCAAGAGTTTTCTGTGAATGCTTCTGTTTTAGTTCTGTGCGGGTTATCCCGTTTCCAACGAAATCCTCAGAGAGGTCCAAATATCTACTTGCAGTTTCTACAGAAAGACCGTTTCAAACCTGAACTATCAAAGAAAGGTTCAACACTGTGAGTTGAATGCAAACATCACGAAGAAGGTTCTGAGAATGCTTCTGTTTTAGTTCTGTGCGGTTTATCCCGTTTCCAACGAAATCCTCAGAGAGGACCAAATATCCACTTGCAGTTTCTACAAAAAGAGTGTTTCAAAGCTGCACTATCAAAGAAAGGTTCAGCACTGTGAGTTGAAGGCAAACATCACGAAGAGGGCTCTGAGAATGCTTCTGTTTTAGTTCTGTGCGGTTTATCCCGTTTCCAACGAAATCCTCAGAGAGGACCAAATATCCACTTGCAGTTTCTACAAAAAGAGTGTTTCAAAGCTGCACTATCAAAGAAAGGTTCAGCACTGTGAGTTGAATGCAAACATCACGAAGAGGGTTCTGAGAATGCTTCTGTCTTCTTTCTATAGGAAGTTATTTCCTTTACTACGGTAGGCCTCAAAGAAGTGCAATTATCCCCTTGCAGTTTCTACAAAAAGAGTGTTTCAAACCTGAACTATCAAAGAAAGGTTCCACACTGTGAGTTGAATGCAGACATCACGAAGAAGGTTCTGAGAATGCTTCTGTTTAGTCAGCTGAAATTATCCCGTTTCCAACGAATTCCTCAGAGAGGTCCAAATATGCACTTGCAGATTCTGCAGAAAGTGTGTTTCTAAACTGCTCCATCGCAAGGAATGTTCAGCTCTGTGAGTTCCACTCAATCATCCCAAAGAATTTTCTGAGAAAGCTTCTGTCTAGATGTCGTGTGAAGATATACCCGTTTCGAACGAAGGACACAGAGTGGTCCAAATATCCACTTGTAGATCCTGCAAAAAGAGTGTTTCAAACGTGAACTTTGAAAGGAAAGTTCAACTCTGGGATTTGAATGCAAACATCACAAAGAAGATTCTGAGACTGCTTCTGTATAGTTTTTATGTGAAGATGATTCCGTTTCCAACGAAATCTTCAAAGAGGTCTACATGTCCCCTTGCAGATGCCACAGAAAGAGAGTTTCAAAACTGCGCTCTCAAAAGGAGTGTTCAACTCCGTGAGTTGAATGCAGTCATCACAGAGAAGCTTCTGAGAATGCTTCTATCTAGTATTTAGGTGAAGATATTTCCTTTTCCACCACAAACCACAAAGCCCTCCAAACGTCCACTTGCAGATTCTAGAAAAAGAGTGTTTCATAGCTGCTCTTTCCAAAGGAAAGTTCAACTCTGGGAGTTGAATACAAACATCACCAAAAAGTTCCTGAGAATGCATCTGTCTAGTTTTTCTATGAAGCTATTCCCTTTACTACCATAGGCCTCAAAGCGCTCCAAATCTCCACTTGCACATTCCACAACAAGAGTGTTTCCAAACTGCTCTATCAATAGGAATGTTCAACTCTGTGAGGTGAATGCAATCATCACAAAGCAGTTTCTGAGAATGCTTCCGTTTAGTTAGGTGCAGTTATCCCGTTTCCAACGAAATCCTCAGAGAGGTCCAAATATCCACTTGTAGATTCTACAAAAAGTGTGTCTCAAACCTGCTCCATCCAAAGGAATGTTCAGCTCTGTGAGTTCAACTCAATCATCACAAAGTATTTTCTGAGAATGCTTCTGTCTAGATTTTATGCGAAGATGTACCCGTTTCGAACGAAGGCCACAGAGTGGTCCAAATATCCACTTGCAGATCCTACAAAAAGAGTATTTCAAACCTGAACTATCAAAGGAAGGTTCAACTCTGGGATTTGAATGCAAACATCACCAAGAAGTTTCTGAGAATGCTTCTGTTTAGTTTTTATGTGAAGATATTCCCGTTTCCAAAGACATCCTCGGAGAGGTCCACATATCCACTTGCAGATTCCACAAAAAGAGAGTTTCAACACTGCTCTATCCATAGGAGGGTTCAACTCTGTGAGTTGAATGCAATCATCACAGAGAAGTTTCTGAGAAGGCTTCTCTCCAGTTTTTATGTGACCATAATTCGTTTTCCACCACAGGCCTGAAAGCGCTCCAAATGTCCACTTGCAGACACTACGAAAAGCATGTTTCAGAACTACTCTATGAAAAGCAACGTGAAACTCTGGGAGTTGAACACAAACATCACAGAGAAGTTTCTGAGAATGCTTCTGTTTTAGTTCTGTGCGTTTTATCCCGTTTCCAACGAAATCCTCAGAGAGGCCCAAATATCCACTTGCAGATTCCACAGAAAGAGTGATTGGAAACTGCTGTTTGAAAAGGAACCTTCAACTCTGTGAGTTGAATGCAATCATCACAAAGAAGTTTCTGACAATGCTTCTGTTTTAGTTCTGTGCGGTTTATCCCGTTTCCAACGAAATCCTCAGAGAGGACCAAACATCCACTTGCAGTTTCTACAAAAAGAGTGTTTCAAAGCTGCACTATCAAAGAAAGGTTCAGCACTGTGAGTTGAATGCAAACATCACGAAGAGGGCTCTGAGAATTCTTCTGTTTAGTTCTGTGCGGTTTATCCCGTTTCCAACGAAATCCTCAGAGAGGACCAAATATCCACTTGCAGTTTCTACAAGAAGAGTGTTTCAAAGCTGAACTATCAAAGAAAGGTTCAGCACTGTGAGTTGAATGCAAACATCACGAAGAGGGTTCTGAGAATGCTTCTGTCTTCTTTCTATAGGAAGTTATTTCCTTTACTACGGTAGGCCTCAAAGAAGTGCAATTATCCCCTTGCAGTTTCTACAAAAAGAGTGTTTCAAACCTGAACTATCAAAGAAAGGTTCCACACTGTGAGTTGAATGCAGACATCACGAAGAAGGTTCTGAGAATGCTTCTGTTTAGTCAGCTGAAATTATCCCGTTTCCAACGAATTCCTCAGAGAGGTCCAAATATGCACTTGCAGATTCTGCAGAAAGTGTGTTTCTAAACTGCTACATCGCAAGGAATGTTCAGCTCTGTGAGTTCCACTCAATCATCCCAAAGAATTTTCTGAGAAAGCTTCTGTCTAGATGTCGTGTGAAGATATACCCGTTTCGAACGAAGGACACAGAGTGGTCCAAATATCCACTTGTAGATCCTGCAAAAAGAGTGTTTCAAACGTGAACTTTGAAAGGAAAGTTCAACTCTGGGATTTGAATGCAAACATCACAAAGAAGATTCTGAGACTGCTTCTGTATAGTTTTTATGTGAAGATGATTCCGTTTCCAACGAAATCTTCAAAGAGGTCTACATGTCCCCTTGCAGATGCCACAGAAAGAGAGTTTCAAAACTGCGCTCTCAAAAGGAGTGTTCAACTCCGTGAGTTGAATGCAGTCATCACAGAGAAGCTTCTGAGAATGCTTCTATCTAGTATTTAGGTGAAGATATTTCCTTTTCCACCACAAACCACAAAGCCCTCCAAACGTCCACTTGCAGATTCTAGAAAAAGAGTGTTTCATAGCTGCTCTTTCCAAAGGAAAGTTCAACTCTGGGAGTTGAATACAAACATCACCAAAAGGTTCCTGAGAATGCATCTGTCTAGTTTTTCTATGAAGCTATTCCCTTTACTACCACAGGCCTCAAAGCGCTCCAAATCTCCACTTGCACATTCCACAACAAGAGTGTTTCCAAACTGCTCTATCAATAGGAATGTTCAACTCTGTGAGGTGAATGCAATCATCACAAAGCAGTTTCTGAGAATGCTCCGTTTAGTTAGGTGCAGTTATCCCGTTTCCAACGAAATCCTCAGAGAGGTCCAAATATCCACTTGTAGATTCTACAAAAAGTGTGTCTCAAACCTGCTCCATCCAAAGGAATGGTCAGCTCTGTGATTTAAACTCAATCATCACAAAGTATTTTCTGAGAATGCTTTCTGTCTAGATTTTATGCGAAGATATACCCGTTTCGAACGAAGGCCACAGAGTGGTCCAAATAGCCACTTGCAGATCCTACAGAAAGAGTGTTTCAAACCTGAACTATCAAAGGAAGGTTCAACTCTGGGATTTGAATGCAAACATCACCAAGAAGTTTCTGAGAATGCTTCTGTTTAGTTTTTATGTGAAGATATTCCCGTTTCCAAAGACATCTTCGGAGAGGTCCACATATCCACTTGCAGATTCCACAAAAAGAGAGTTTCAACACTGCTCTATCCATAGGAGGGTTCAACTCTGTGAGTTGAATGCAATCATCACAGAGAAGTTTCCTGAGAAGGCTTCTCTCCAGTTTTTATGTGACCATAATTCGTTTTCCACCACAGGCCTGAAAGCGCTCCAAATGTCCACTTGCAGACACTACGAAAAGCATGTTTCAGAACTACTCTATGAAAAGCAACGTGAAACTCTGGGAGTTGAACACAAACATCACAGAGAAGTTTCTGAGAATGCTTCTGTTTAGCTTTTCTGTGAAGATTCTCCCGTTTCCAACGAAATCTTCAAAGAGGTCGAAATATCCACTTGCAGATTCCACAGAAAGAGTGATTGGAAACTGCTGTTTGAAAAGGAACCTTCAACTCTGTGAGTTGAATGCAATCATCTCAAAGAAGTTTCTGACAATGCTTCTATCTAGCTTTTACGGGAAGATAATTCCTTTTCCACCACAGGCCTCAAAGCTCCCCAAATGTCCACTTGCACATTCTGGAAAAAGAGTGTTTCAAAGCTTCTCTCTCGAAAGGAAAGTTCAACTCTGTGAGTTGAATGCAAGCATCACAAAGAAGTTTCTGAGAATGCTACTGTCTAGCTTTTATATGAAGCTATTTCCTTTACTACCATAGGCCTCAAAGCGGTCCATATCTCCACTTGCAGATTCTACACAAAGAGAGTTTCCAAACTGCTCTGTCAAAGGGAATGTTCAACTCTGTGACTTGAATGCAATCATCACAAAGTAGTTTCTGAGAATGCTTCTGTTTAGTTCTGTGCGGTTTATCCCGTTTCCAACGAAATCCTCAGAGAGGCCCACATATCCACTTGCACATTCTACAAATCGTGTGTTTCGAAACTGCTCCATCCAAAGGAATGTTCAGCTCTGTGAGTTAAACTCAGTCGTCACCAAGAGTTTTCTGTGAATGCTTCTGTTTTAGTTCTGTGCGGGTTATCCCGTTTCCAACGAAATCCTCAGAGAGGTCCAAATATCTACTTGCAGTTTCTACAGAAAGACCGTTTCAAACCTGAACTATCAAAGAAAGGTTCAACACTGTGAGTTGAATGCAAACATCACGAAGAAGGTTCTGAGAATGCTTCTGTTTAGTTCTGTGCGGTTTATCCCGTTTCCAACGAAATCCTCAGAGAGGACCAAATATCCACTTGCAGTTTCTACAAGAAGAGTGTTTCAAAGCTGAACTATCAAAGAAAGGTTCAGCACTGTGAGTTGAATGCAAACATCACGAAGAGGGTTCTGAGAATGCTTCTGTCTTCTTTCTATAGGAAGTTATTTCCTTTACTACGGTAGGCCTCAAAGAAGTGCAATTATCCCCTTGCAGTTTCTACAAAAAGAGTGTTTCAAACCTGAACTATCAAAGAAAGGTTCCACACTGTGAGTTGAATGCAGACATCACGAAGAAGGTTCTGAGAATGCTTCTGTTTAGTCAGCTGAAATTATCCCGTTTCCAACGAATTCCTCAGAGAGGTCCAAATATGCACTTGCAGATTCTGCAGAAAGTGTGTTTCTAAACTGCTACATCGCAAGGAATGTTCAGCTCTGTGAGTTCAACTCAATCAACCCAAAGAATTTTCTGAGAAAGCTTCTGTCTAGATGTCATGTGAAGATATACCCGTTTCGAACGAAGGACACAGAGTGGTCCAAATATACACTTGTAGATCCTGCAAAAAGAGTGTTTCAAACGTGAACTTTGAAAGGAAAGTTCAACTCTGGGATTTGAATGCAAACATCACAAAGAAGATTCTGAGACTGCTTCTGTATAGTTTTTATGTGAAGATGATTCCGTTTCCAACGAAATCTTCAAAGAGGTCTACATGTCCCCTTGCAGATGCCACAGAAAGAGAGTTTCAAAACTGCGCTCTCAAAAGGAGTGTTCAACTCCGTGAGTTGAATGCAGTCATCACAGAGAAGCTTCTGAGAATGCTTCTATCTAGTATTTAGGTGAAGATATTTCCTTTTCCACCACAAACCACAAAGCCCTCCAAACGTCCACTTGCAGATTCTAGAAAAACAGTGTTTCATAGCTGCTCTTTCCAAAGGAAAGTTCAACTCTGGGAGTTGAATACAAACATCACCAAAAAGTTCCTGAGAATGCATCTGTCTTGTTTTTCTATGAAGCTATTCCCTTTACTACCATAGGCCTCAAAGCGCTCCAAATCTCCACTTGCACATTCCACAACAAGAGTGTTTCCAAACTGCTCTATCAATAGGAATGTTCAACTCTGTGAGGTGAATGCAATCATCACAAAGCAGTTTCTGAGAATGCTTCCGTTTAGTTAGGTGCAGTTATCGCGTTTCCAACGAAATCCTCAGAGAGGTCCCAATATCCACTTGTAGATTCTACAAAAAGTGTGTCTCAAACCTGCTCCATCCAAAGGAATGTTCAGCTCCGTGAGTTAAACTCAATCATCACAAAGTATTTTCTGAGAATGCTTCTGTCTAGATTTTATGTGAAGATGTACCCGTTTCGAACGAAGGCCACAGAGTGGTCCAAATATCCACTTGCAGATCCTACAAAAAGAGTGTTTCAAACCTGAACTATCACAGGAAGGTTCAACTCTGGGATTTGAATGCAAACATCACCAAGAAGTTTCTGAGAATGCTTCTGTTTAGTTTTTATGTGAAGATATTCCCGTTGCCAAAGACATCTTCGGAGAGGTCCACATATCCACTTGCAGATTCCACAAAAAGAGAGTTTCAACAATGCTCTATCCATAGGAGGGTTCAACTCTGTGAGTTGAATGCAATCATCACAGAGAAGTTTCTGAGAAGGCTTCTCTCCAGTTTTTATGTGACCATAATTCGTTTTCCACCACAGGCCTGAAAGCGCTCCAAATGTCCACTTGCAGACACTACGAAAAGCATGTTTCAGAACTACTCTATGAGAAGCAATGTGAAACTCTGGGAGTTGAACACAAACATCACAGAGAAGTTTCTGAGAATGCTTCTGTTTAGCTTTTCTGTGAAGATTCTCCCGTTTCCAACGAAATCTTCAAAGAGGTCCAAATATCCACTTGCAGATTCCACAGAAAGAGTGATTGGAAACTGCTCTTTGAAAAGGAACCTTCAACTCTGTGACTTGAATGCAATCATCACAAAGAAGTTTCTGACAATGCTTCTATCTAGCTTTTACGGGAAGATAATTCCTTTTCCACCACAGGCCTCAAAGCCCTCCAAATGTCCACTTGCACATTCTGGAAAAAGAGTGTTTCAAAGCTTCTCTCTCGAAAGGAAAGTTCAACTCTGTGAGTTGAATGCAAGCATCACAAAGAAGTTTCTGAGAATGCTACTGTCTAGCTTTTATATGAAGCTATTTCCTTTACTACCATAGGCCTCAAAGCGGTCCATATCTCCACTTGCAGATTCTACACAAAGAGAGTTTCCAAACTGCTCTGTCATAGGGAATGTTCAACTCTGTGACTTGAATGCAATCATCACAAAGTAGTTTCTGAGAATGCTTCTGTTTTAGTTCTGTGCGGTTTATCCCGTTTCCAACGAAATCCTCAGAGAGGCCCACATATCCACTTGCAGATTCTACAAATAGTGTGTTTTGAAACTGCTCCATCCAAAGGAATGTTCAGCACTGTGAGTTAAACTCATTCGTCACCAAGGGTTTTCTGTGAATGCTTCTGTTTTAGTTCTGTGCGGTTTATCCCGTTTCCAACGAAATCCTCAGAGAGGTCCAAATATCTACTTGCAGTTTCTACAGAAAGACCGTTTCAAACCTGAACTATCAAAGAAAGGTTCAACACTGTGAGTTGAATGCAAACATCACGAAGAAGGTTCTGAGAATGCTTCTGTTTAGTTCTGTGCGGTTTATCCCGTTTCCAACGAAATCCTCAGAGAGGACCAAATATCCACTTGCAGTTTCTACAAGAAGAGTGTTTCAAAGCTGAACTATCAAAGAAAGGTTCAGCACTGTGAGTTGAATGCAAACATCATGAAGAGGGTTCTGAGAATGCTTCTGTCTTCTTTCTATAGGAAGTTATTTCCTTTACTACGGTAGGCCTCAAAGAAGTGCAATTATCCCCTTGCAGTTTCTACAAAAAGAGTGTTTCAAACCTGAACTATCAAAGAAAGGTTCCACACTGTGAGTTGAATGCAGACATCACGAAGAAGGTTCTGAGAATGCTTCTGTTTAGTCAGCTGAAATTATCCCGTTTCCAACGAATTCCTCACAGAGGTCCCAAATATGCACTTGCAGATTCTGCAGAAAGTGTGTTTCTAAACTGCTACATCGCAAGGAATGCTCAGCTCTGTGAGTTCAACTCAATCATCCCAAAGAATTTTCTGAGAAAGCTTCTGTCTAGATGTCATGTGAAGATATACCCGTTTCGAACGAAGGACACAGAGTGGTCCAAATATCCACTTGTAGATCCTGCAAAAAGAGTGTTTCAAACGTGAACTTTGAAAGGAAAGTTCAACTCGGGGATTTGAATGCAAACATCACAAAGAAGATTGCTGAGACTGCTTCTGTGTAGTTTTTATGTGAAGATGATTCCGTTTCCAACGAAATCTTCAAAGAGGTCTACATGTCCCCTTGCAGATGCCACAGAAAGAGAGTTTCAAAACTGCGCTCTCAAAAGGAGTGTTCAACTCCGTGAGTTGAATGCAGTCATCACAGAGAAGCTTCTGAGGATGCTTCTATCTAGTATTTAGGTGAAGATATTTCCTTTTCCACCACAAACCACAAAGCCCTCCAAACGTCCACTTGCAGATTCTAGAAAAACAGTGTTTCATAGCTGCTCTTTCCAAAGGAAAGTTCAACTCTGGGAGTTGAATACAAACATCACCAAAAAGTTTCCTGAGAATGCATCTGTCTAGTTTTTCTATGAAGCTATTCCCTTTACTACCATAGGCCTCAAAGCGCTCCAAATCTCCACTTGCACATTCCACAACAAGAGTGTTTCCAAACTGCTCTATCAATAGGAATGTTCAACTCTGTGAGGTGAATGCAATCATCACAAAGCAGTTTCTGAGAATGCTTCCGTTTAGTTAGGTGCAGTTATCCCGTTTCCAACGAAATCCTCAGAGAGGTCCAAATATCCACTTGTAGATTCTACAAAAGGTGTGTCTCAAACCTGCTCCATCCAAAGGAATGTTCAGCTCTGTGAGTTAAACTCAATCATCACAAAGTATTTTCTGAGAATGCTTCTGTCTAGATTTTATGCGAAGATATACCCGTTTCGAACGAAGGCCACAGAGTGGTCCAAATATCCACTTGCAGATCCTACAAAAAGAGTGTTTCAAACCTGAACTATCAAAGGAAGGTTCAACTCTGGGATTTGAATGCAAACATCACCAAGAAGTTTCTGAGAATGCTTCTGTTTAGTTTTTATGTGAAGATATTCCCGTTTCCAAAGACATCTTCGGAGAGGTCCACATATCCACTTGCAGATTCCACAAAAAGAGAGTTTCAACACTGCTCTATCCATAGGAGGGTTCAACTCTGTGAGTTGAATGCAATCATCACAGAGAAGTTTCTGAGAAGGCTTCTCTCCAGTTTTTATGTGACCATAATTCGTTTTCCACCACAGGCCTGAAAGTGCTCCAAATGTCCACTTGCAGACACTACGAAAAGCATGTTTCAGAACTACTCTATGAAAAGCAACGTGAAACTCTGGGAGTTGAACACAAACATCACAGAGAAGTTTCTGAGAATGCTTCTGTTTAGCTTTTCTGTGAAGATTCTCCCGTTTCCAACGAAATCTTCAAAGAGGTCGAAATATCCACTTGCAGATTCCACAGAAAGAGTGATTGGAAACTGCTGTTTGAAAAGGAACCTTCAACTCTGTGAGTTGAATGCAATCATCACAAAGAAGTTTCTGACAATGCTTCTATCTAGCTTTTACGGGAAGATAATTCCTTTTCCACCACAGGCCTCAAAGCTCCCCAAATGTCCACTTGCACATTCTGGAAAAAGAGTGTTTCAAAGCTTCTCTCTCGAAAGGAAAGTTCAACTCTGTGAGTTGAATGCAAGCATCACAAAGAAGTTTCTGAGAATGCTACTGTCTAGCTTTTATATGAAGGTATTTCCTTTACTACCATAGGCCTCAAAGCGGTCCATATCTCCACTTGCAGATTCTACACAAAGAGAGTTTCCAAACTGCTCTGTCAAAGGGAATGTTCAACTCTGTGACTTGAATGCAATCATCACAAAGTAGTTTCTGAGAATGCTTCTGTTTTAGTTCTGTGCGTTTTATCCCGTTTCCAACGAAATCCTCAGAGAGGCCCAAATATCCACTTGCAGATTCTACAAATAGTGTGTTTCGAAACTGCTCCATCCAAAGGAATGTTCAGCTCTGTGAGTTAAACTCAGTCGTCACCAAGAGTTTTCTGTGAATGCTTCTGTTTAGTTCTGTGCGGTTTATCCCGTTTCCAACGAAATCCTCAGAGAGGACCAAATATCCACTTGCAGTTTCTACAAAAAGAGTGTTTCAAAGCTGCACTATCAAAGAAAGGTTCAGCACTGTGAGTTGAATGCAAACATCACGAAGAGGGCTCTGAGAATTCTTAGGTTTTAGTTCTGTGCGGTTTATCCCGTTTCCAACGAAATCCTCAGAGAGGTCCAAATATCTACTTGCAGTTTCTACAGAAAGACCGTTTCCAACCTGAACTATCAAAGAAAGGTTCAACACTGTGAGTTGAATGCAAACATCACGAAGAAGGTTCTGAGAATGCTTCTGTTTAGTCAGCTGAAATTATCCCGTTTCCAACGAATTCCTCAGAGAGGTCCAAATATGCACTTGCAGATTCTGCAGAAAGTGTGTTTCTAAACTGCTACATCGCAAGGAATGTTCAGCTCTGTGAGTTCCACTCAATCATCCCAAAGAATTTTCTGAGAAAGCTTCTGTCTAGATGTCATGTGAAGATATACCCGTTTCGAACGAAGGACACAGAGTGGTCCAAATATCCACTTGTAGATCCTGCAAAAAGAGTGTTTCAAACGTGAACTTTGAAAGGAAAGTTCAACTCTGGGATTTGAATGCAAACATCACAAAGAAGATTCTGAGACTGCTTCTGTATAGTTTTTATGTGAAGATGATTCCGTTTCCAACGAAATCTTCAAGGAGGTCTACATGTCCCCTTGCAGATGCCACAGAAAGAGAGTTTCAAAACTGCGCTCTCAAAAGGAGTGTTCAACTCCGTGAGTTGAATGCAGTCATCACAGAGAAGCTTCTGAGGATGCTTCTATCTAGTATTTAGGTGAAGATATTTCCTTTTCCACCACAAACCACAAAGCCCTCCAAACGTCCACTTGCAGATTCTAGAAAAAGAGTGTTTCATAGCTGCTCTTTCCAAAGGAAAGTTCAACTCTGGGAGTTGAATACAAACATCACCAAAAAGTTCCTGAGAATGCATCTGTCTAGTTTTTCTATGAAGCTATTCCCTTTACTACCATAGGCCTCAAAGCGCTCCAAATCTCCACTTGCACATTCCACAACAAGAGTGTTTCCAAACTGCTCTATCAATAGGAATGTTCAACTCTGTGAGGTGAATGCAATCATCACAAAGCAGTTTCTGAGAATGCTTCCGTTTAGTTAGGTGCAGTTATCCCGTTTCCAACGAAATCCTCAGAGAGGTCCAAATATCCACTTGTAGATTCTACAAAAAGTGTGTCTCAAACCTGCTCCATCCAAAGGAATGGTCAGCTCTGTGATTTAAACTCAATCATCACAAAGTATTTTCTGAGAATGCTTCTGTCTAGATTTTATGCGAAGATATACCCGTTTCGAACGAAGGCCACAGAGTGGTCCAAATAGCCACTTGCAGATCCTACAGAAAGAGTGTTTCAAACCTGAACTATCAAAGGAAGGTTCAACTCTGGGATTTGAATGCAAACATCACCAAGAAGTTTCTGAGAATGCTTCTGTTTAGTTTTTATGTGAAGATATTCCCGTTTCCAAAGACATCTTCGGAGAGGTCCACATATCCACTTGCAGATTCCACAAAAAGAGAGTTTCAACACTGCTCTATCCATAGGAGGGTTCAACTCTGTGAGTTGAATGCAATCATCACAGAGAAGTTTCTGAGAAGGCTTCTCTCCAGTTTTTATGTGACCATAATTCGTTTTCCACCACAGGCCTGAAAGCGCTCCAAATGTCCACTTGCAGACACTACGAAAAGCATGTTTCAGAACTACTCTATGAAAAGCAACGTGAAACTCTGGGAGTTGAACACAAACATCACAGAGAAGTTTCTGAGAATGCTTCTGTTTAGCTTTTCTGTGAAGATTCTCCCGTTTCCAACGAAATCTTCAAAGAGGTCGAAATATCCACTTGCAGATTCCACAGAAAGAGTGATTGGAAACTGCTGTTTGAAAAGGAACCTTCAACTCTGTGAGTTGAATGCAATCATCACAAAGAAGTTTCTGACAATGCTTCTATCTAGCTTTTACGGGAAGATAATTCCTTTTCCACCCCAGGCCTCAAAGCTACCCAAATGTCCACTTGCACATTCTGGAAAAAAAGTGTTTCAAAGCTTCTCTCTCGAAAGGAAAGTTCAACTCTGTGAGTTGAATGCAAGCATCACAAAGAAGTTTCTGAGAATGCTACTGTCTAGCTTTTATATGAAGCTATTTCCTTTACTACCATAGGCCTCAAAGCGGTCCATATCTCCACTTGCAGATTCTACACAAAGAGAGTTTCCAAACTGCTCTGTCAAAGGGAATGTTCAACTCTGTGACTTGAATGCAATCATCACAAAGTAGTTTCTGAGAATGCTTCTGTTTAGTTCTGTGCGGTTTATCCCGTTTCCAACGAAATCCTCAGAGAGGCCCAAATATCCACTTGCACATTCTACAAATAGTGTGTTTCGAATCTGCTCCATCCAAAGGAATGTTCAGCTCTGTGAGTTAAACTCAGTCGTCACCAAGAGTTTTCTGTGAATGCTTCTGTTTTAGTTCTGTGCGGGTTATCCCGTTTCCAACGAAATCCTCAGAGAGGTCCAAATATCTACTTGCAGTTTCTACAGAAAGACCGTTTCAAACCTGAACTATCAAAGAAAGGTTCCACACTGTGAGTTGAATGCAAACATCACGAAGAAGGTTCTGAGAATGCTTCTGTTTAGTTCTGTGCAGTTTATCCCGTTTCCAACGAAATCCTCAGAGAGGACCAAATATCCACTTGCAGTTTCTACAAAAAGAGTGTTTCAAAGCTGAACTATCAAAGAAAGGTTCAGCACTGTGAGTTGAATGCAAACATCACGAAGAGGGTTCTGAGAATGCTTCTGTCTTCTTTTTAGAGGAAGTTATTTCCTTTACTACGGTACTCCTCAAAGAGTGCAATTATCCCCTTGCAGTTTCTACAAAAAGAGTGTTTCAAACCTGAACTATCAAAGAAAGGTTCCACACTGTGAGTTGAATGCAGACATCACGAAGAAGGTTCTGAGAATGCTTCTGTTTAGTCAGCTGAAATTATCCCGTTTCCAACGAATTCCTCACAGAGGTCCAAATATGCACTTGCAGATTCTGCAGAAAGTGTGTTTCTAAACTGCTACATCGCAAGGAATGCTCAGCTCTGTGAGTTCAACTCAATCATCCCAAAGAATTTTCTGAGAAAGCCTCTGTCTAGATGTCATGTGAAGATATACCCGTTTCGAACGAAGGACACAGAGTGGTCCAAATATCCACTTGTAGATCCTGCAAAAAGAGTGTTTCAAACGTGAACTTTGAAAGGAAAGTTCAACTCGGGGATTTGAATGCAAACATCACAAAGAAGATTCTGAGACTGCTTCTGTATAGTTTTTATGTGAAGATGATTCCGTTTCCAACGAAATCTTCAAAGAGGTCTACATGTCCCCTTGCAGATGCCACAGAAAGAGAGTTTCAAAACTGCGCTCTCAAAAGGAGTGTTCAACTCCGTGAGTTGAATGCAGTCATCACAGAGAAGCTTCTGAGAATGCTTCTATCTAGTATTTAGGTGAAGATATTTCCTTTTCCACCACAAACCACAAAGCCCTCCAAACGTCCACTTGCAGATTCTAGAAAAACAGTGTTTCATAGCTGCTCTTTCCAAAGGAAAGTTCAACTCTGGGAGTTGAATACAAACATCACCAAAAAGTTCCTGAGAATGCATCTGTCTAGTTTTTCTATGAAGCTATTCCCTTTACTACCATAGGCCTCAAAGCGCTCCAAATCTCCACTTGCACATTCCACAACAAGAGTGTTTCCAAACTGCTCTATCAATAGGAATGTTCAACTCTGTGAGGTGAATGCAATCATCACAAAGCAGTTTCTGAGAATGCTTCCGTTTAGTTAGGTGCAGTTATCCCGTTTCCAACGAAATCCTCAGAGAGGTCCAAATATCCACTTGTAGATTCTACAAAAAGTGTGTCTCAAACCTGCTCCATCCAAAGGAATGTTCAGCTCTGTGATTTTAACTCAATCATCACAAAGTATTTTCTGAGAATGCTTCTGTCTAGATTTTATGCGAAGATATACCCGTTTCGAACGAAGGCCACAGAGTGGTCCAAATAGCCACTTGCAGATCCTACAGAAAGAGTGTTTCAAACCTGAACTATCAAAGGAAGGTTCAACTCTGGGATTTGAATGCAAACATCACCAAGAAGTTTCTGAGAATGCTTCTGTTTAGTTTTTATGTGAAGATATTCCCGTTTCCAAAGACATCTTCGGAGAGGTCCACATATCCACTTGCAGATTCCACAAAAAGAGAGTTTCAACACTGCTCTATCCATAGGAGGGTTCAACTCTGTGAGTTGAATGCAATCATCACAGAGAAGTTTCTGAGAAGGCTTCTCTCCAGTTTTTATGTGACCATAATTCGTTTTCCACCACAGGCCTGAAAGCGCTCCAAATGTCCACTTGCAGACACTACGAAAAGCATGTTTCAGAACTACTCTATGAAAAGCAACGTGAAACTCTGGGAGTTGAACACAAACATCACAGAGAAGTTTCTGAGAATGCTTCTGTTTTAGTTCTGTGCGTTTTATCCCGTTTCCAACGAAATCCTCAGAGAGGCCCAAATATCCACTTGCAGATTCCACAGAAAGAGTGATTGGAAACTGCTGTTTGAAAAGGAACCTTCAACTCTGTGAGTTGAATGCAATCATCACAAAGAAGTTTCTGACAATGCTTCTGTTTTAGTTCTGTGCGGTTTATCCCGTTTCCAACGAAATCCTCAGAGAGGACCAAACATCCACTTGCAGTTTCTACAAAAAGAGTGTTTCAAAGCTGCACTATCAAAGAAAGGTTCAGCACTGTGAGTTGAATGCAAACATCACGAAGAGGGCTCTGAGAATTCTTCTGTTTAGTTCTGTGCGGTTTATCCCGTTTCCAACGAAATCCTCAGAGAGGACCAAATATCCACTTGCAGTTTCTACAAGAAGAGTGTTTCAAAGCTGAACTATCAAAGAAAGGTTCAGCACTGTGAGTTGAATGCAAACATCACGAAGAGGGTTCTGAGAATGCTTCTGTCTTCTTTCTATAGGAAGTTATTTCCTTTACTACGGTAGGCCTCAAAGAAGTGCAATTATCCCCTTGCAGTTTCTACAAAAAGAGTGTTTCAAACCTGAACTATCAAAGAAAGGTTCCACACTGTGAGTTGAATGCAGACATCACGAAGGAGGTTCTGAGAATGCTTCTGTTTAGTCAGCTGAAATTATCCCGTTTCCAACGAATTCCTCAGAGAGGTCCAAATATGCACTTGCAGATTCTGCAGAAAGTGTGTTTCTAAACTGCTCCATCGCAAGGAATGTTCAGCTCTGTGAGTTCCACTCAATCATCCCAAAGAATTTTCTGAGAAAGCTTCTGTCTAGATGTCCTGTGAAGATATACCCGTTTCGAACGAAGGACACAGAGTGGTCCAAATATCCACTTGTAGATCCTGCAAAAAGAGTGTTTCAAACGTGAACTTTGAAAGGAAAGTTCAACTCTGGGATTTGAATGCAAACATCACAAAGAAGATTCTGAGACTGCTTCTGTATAGTTTTTATGTGAAGATGATTCCGTTTCCATCGAAATCTTCAAAGAGGTCTACATGTCCCCTTGCAGATGCCACAGAAAGAGAGTTTCAAAACTGCGCTCTCAAAAGGAGTGTTCAACTCCGTGAGTTGAATGCAGTCATCACAGAGAAGCTTCTGAGAATGCTTCTCTCTAGGATTTAGGTGAAGATATTTCCTTTTCCACCACAAACCACAAAGCCCTCCAAACGTCCACTTGCAGATTCTAGAAAAAGAGTGTTTCATAGCTGCTCTTTCCAAAGGAAAGTTCAACTCTGGGAGTTGAATACAAACATCACCAAAAAGTTCCTGAGAATGCATCTGTCTAGTTTTTCTATGAAGCTATTCCCTTTACTACCATAGGCCTCAAAGCGCTCCAAATCTCCACTTGCACATTCCACAACAAGAGTGTTTCCAAACTGCTCTATCAATAGGAATGTTCAACTCTGTGAGGTGAATGCAATCATCACAAAGCAGTTTCTGAGAATGCTTCCGTTTAGTTAGGTGCAGTTATCCCGTTTCCAACGAAATCCTCACAGAGGTCCAAATATCCACTTGTAGATTCTACAAAAAGTGTGTCTCAAACCTGCTCCATCCAAAGGAATGTTCAGCTCTGTGAGTTAAACTCAATCATCACAAAGTATTTTCTGAGAATGCTTCTGTCTAGATTTTATGCGAAGATGTACCCGTTTCGAACGAAGGCCACAGAGTGGTCCAAATATCCACTTGCAGATCCTACAAAAAGAGTGTTTCAAACCTGAACTATCAAAGGAAGGTTCAACTCTGGGATTTGAATGCAAACATCACCAAGAAGTTTCTGAGAATGCTTCTGTTTAGTTTTTATGTGAAGATATTCCCGTTTCCAAAGACATCTTCGGAGGGGTCCACATATCCACTTGCAGATTCCACAAAAAGAGAGTTTCAACACTGCTCTATCCATAGGAGGTTTCAACTCTGTGAGTTGAATGCAATCATCACAGAGAAGTTTCTCAGAAGGCTTCTCTCCAGTTTTTATGTGACCATAATTCGTTTTCCACCACAGGCCTGAAAGCGCTCCAAATGTCCACTTGCAGACACTATGAAAAGCATGTTTCAGAACTACTCTATGAGAAGCAATGTGAAACTCTGGGAGTTGAACACAAACATCACAGAGAAGTTTCTGAGAATGCTTCTGTTTAGCTTTTCTGTGAACATTATCCCGTTTCCAACGACATCTTCAAAGAGGTCCAAATATCCACTTGCAGATTCCACAGAAAGAGTGTTTGGAAAGTGCTGTTTATAAAGGAAACTTCAACTCTGTGAGTTGAATGCTATCATCACGAAGATGTTTCTGACAATGCTTCTATCTAGCTTTTACGGGAAGTTAATTCCTTTTCTACCACAGGCCTCAAAGCCCTCCAAATGTCCACTTGCAGATTCTGGAAAAAGAGTGTTTCAAAGCTTCTCTCTCGAAAGGAAAGTTCAACTCTGTGAGTTGAATGCAAGCATCACAAAGAAGTTTCTGAGAATGCTACTGTCTAGCTTTTATATGAAGCTATTTCCTTTACTACCATAGGCCTCAAAGCGGTCCATATCTCCACTTGCAGATTCTACACAAAGAGAGTTTCCAAACTGCTCTGTCAAAGGGAATGTTCAACTCTGTGACTTGAATGCAATCATCACAAAGTAGTTTCTGAGAATGCTTCTGTTTAGTTCTGTGCGGTTTATCCCGTTTCCAACGAAATCCTCAGAGAGGACCACATATCCACTTGCACATTCTACAAATAGTGTGTTTCGAAACTGCTCCATCCAAAGGAATGTTCAGCTCTGTGAGTTAAACTCAGTCGTCACCAAGAGTTTTCTGTGAATGCTTCTGTTTTAGTTCTGTGCGGGTTATCCCGTTTCCAACGAAATCCTCAGAGAGGTCCAAATATCTACTTGCAGTTTCTACAGAAAGACCGTTTCAAACCTGAACTATCAAAGAAAGGTTCAACACTGTGAGTTGAATGCAAACATCACGAAGAAGGTTCTGAGAATGCTTCTGTTTAGTTCTGTGTGGTTTATCCCGTTTCCAACGAAATCCTCAGAGAGGACCAAATATCCACTTGCAGTTTCTACAAGAAGAGTGTTTCAAAGCTGAACTATCAAAGAAAGGTTCAGCACTGTGTGTTGAATGCAAACATCACGAAGAGGGTTCTGAGAATGCTTCTGTCTTCTTTCTATAGGAAGTTATTTCCTTTACTACGGTAGGCCTCAAAGAAGTGCAATTATCCCCTTGCAGTTTCTACAAAAAGAGTGTTTCAAACCTGAACTATCAAAGAAAGGTTCCACACTGTGAGTTGAATGCAGACATCACGAAGAAGGTTCTGAGAATGCTTCTGTTTAGTCAGCTGAAATTATCCCGTTTCCAACGAATTCCTCAGAGAGGTCCAAATATGCACTTGCAGATTCTGCAGAAAGTGTGTTTCTAAACTGCTCCATCGCAAGGAATGTTCAGCTCTGTGAGTTCCACTCAATCATCCCAAAGAATTTTCTGAGAAAGCTTCTGTCTAGATGTCGTGTGAAGTTATACCCGTTTCGAACGAAGGACACAGAGTGGTCCAAATATCCACTTGTAGATCCTGCAAAAAGAGTGTTTCAAACGTGAACTTTGAAAGGAAAGTTCAACTCTGGGATTTGAATGCAAACATCACAAAGAAGATTCTGAGACTGCTTCTGTATAGTTTTTATGTGAAGATGATTCCGTTTCCAACCAAATCTTCAAAGAGGTCTACATGTCCCCTTGCAGATGCCACAGAAAGAGAGTTTCAAAACTGCGCTCTCAAAAGGAGTGTTCAACTCCGTGAGTTGAATGCAGTCATCACAGAGAAGCTTCTGAGAATGCTTCTATCTAGTATTTAGGTGAAGATATTTCCTTTTCCACCACAAACCACAAAGCCCTCCAAACGTCCACTTGCAGATTCTAGAAAAAGAGTGTTTCATAGCTGCTCTTTCCAAAGGAAAGTTCAACTCTGGGAGTTGAATACAAACATCACCAAAAAGTTCCTGAGAATGCATCTGTCTAGTTTTTCTATGAAGCTATTCCCTTTACTACCATAGGCCTCAAAGCGCTCCAAATCTCCACTTGCACATTCCACAACAACAGTGTTTCCAAACTGCTCTATCAATAGGAATGTTCAACTCTGTGAGGTGAATGCAATCATCACAAAGCAGTTTCTGAGAATGCTTCCGTTTAGTTAGGTGCAGTTATCCCGTTTCCAACGAAATCCTCAGAGAGGTCCAAATATCCACTTGTAGATTCTACAAAAAGTGTGTCTCAAACCTGCTCCATCCAAAGGAATGGTCAGCTCTGTGATTTAAACTCAATCATCACAAAGTATTTTCTGAGAATGCTTCTGTCTAGATTTTATGCGAAGATATACCCGTTTCGAACGAAAGCCACAGAGTGGTCCAAATAGCCACTTGCAGATCCTACAAAAAGAGTGTTTCAAACCTGAACTATCAAAGGAAGGTTCAACTCTGGGATTTGAATGCAAACATCACCAAGAAGTTTCTGAGAATGCTTCTGTTTAGTTTTTATGTGAAGATATTCCCGTTTCCAAAGACATCTTCGGAGAGGTCCACATATCCACTTGCAGATTCCACAAAAAGAGAGTTTCAACACTGCTCTATCCATAGGAGGGTTCAACTCTGTGAGTTGAATGCAATCATCACAGAGAAGTTTCTGAGAAGGCTTCTCTCCAGTTTTTATGTGACCATAATTCGTTTTCCACCACAGGCCTGAAAGCGCTCCAAATGTCCACTTGCAGACACTACGAAAAGCATGTTTCAGAACTACTCTATGAAAAGCAACGTGAAACTCTGGGAGTTGAACACAAACATCACAGAGAAGTTTCTGAGAATGCTTCTGTTTTAGTTCTGTGCGTTTTATCCCGTTTCCAACGAAATCCTCAGAGAGGCCCAAATATCCACTTGCAGATTCCACAGAAAGAGTGATTGGAAACTGCTGTTTGAAAAGGAACCTTCAACTCTGTGAGTTGAATGCAATCATCACAAAGAAGTTTCTGACAATGCTTCTATCTAGCTTTTACGGGAAGATAATTCCTTTTCCACCACAGGCCTCAAAGCCCTCCAAATGTCCACTTGCAGATTCTGGAAAAAGAGTGTTTCAAAGCTTCTCTCTCGAAAGGAAAGTTCAACTCTGTGAGTTGAATGCAAGCATCACAAAGAAGTTTCTCAGAATGCTACTGTCTAGCTTTTATATGAAGCTATTTCCTTTACTACCATAGGCCTCAAAGCGGTCCATATCTCCACTTGCAGATTCTACACAAAGAGAGTTTCCAAACTGCTCTGTCAAAGGGAATGTTCAACTCTGTGACTTGAATGCAATCATCACAAAGTAGTTTCTGAGAATGCTTCTGTTTAGTTCTGTGCGGTTTATCCCGTTTCCAACGAAATCCTCAGAGAGGCCCAAATATCCACTTGCACATTCTACAAATAGTGTGTTTCGAAACTGCTCCATCCAAAGGAATGTTCAGCTCTGTGAGTTAAACTCAGTCGTCACCAAGAGTTTTTTCTGAATGCTTCTGTTTTAGTTCTGTGCGGGTTATCCCGTTTCCAACGAAATCCTCAGAGAGGTCCAAATATCTACTTGCAGTTTCTACAGAAAGACCGTTTCAAACCTGAACTATCAAAGAAAGGTTCAACACTGTGAGTTGAATGCAAACATCACGAAGAAGGTTCTGAGAATGCTTCTGTTTAGTTCTGTGCGGTTTATCCCGTTTCCAACGAAATCCTCAGAGAGGACCAAATATCCACTTGCAGTTTCTACAAGAAGAGTGTTTCAAAGCTGAACTATCAAAGAAAGGTTCAGCACTGTGAGTTGAATGCAAACATCACGAAGAGGGTTCTGAGAATGCTTCTGTCTTCTTTCTATAGGAAGTTATTTCCTTTACTACGGTAGGCCTCAAAGAAGTGCAATTATCCCCTTGCAGTTTCTACAAAAGGAGTGTTTCAAACGTGAACTATCAAAGAAAGGTTCCACACTGTGAGTTGAATGCAGACATCACGAAGAAGGTTCTGAGAATGCTTCTGTTTAGTCAGCTGAAATTATCCCGTTGCCAACGAATTCCTCAGAGAGGTCCAAATATGCACTTGCAGATTCTGCAGAAAGTGTGTTTCTAAACTGCTACATCGCAAGGAATGTTCAGCTCTGTGAGTTCAACTCAATCATCCCAAAGAATTTTGCTGAGAAAGCTTCTGTCTAGATGTCGTGTGAAGATATACCCGTTTCGAACGAAGGACACAGAGTGGTCCAAATATCCACTTGTAGATCCTGCAAAAAGAGTGTTTCAAACGTGAACTTTGAAAGGAAAGTTCAACTCTGGGATTTGAATGCAAACATCACAAAGAAGATTCTGAGACTGCTTCTGTATAGTTTTTATGTGAAGATGATTCCGTTTCCAACGAAATCTTCAAAGAGGTCTACATGTCCCCTTGCAGATGCCACAGAAAGAGAGTTTCAAAACTGCGCTCTCAAAAGGAGTGTTCAACTCCGTGAGTTGAATGCAGTCATCACAGAGAAGCTTCTGAGAATGCTTCTATCTAGTATTTAGGTGAAGATATTTCCTTTTCCACCACAAACCACAAAGCCCTCCAAACGTCCACTTGCAGATTCTAGAAAAAGAGTGTTTCATAGCTGCTCTTTCCAAAGGAAAGTTCAACTCTGGGAGTTGAATACAAACATCACCAAAAAGTTCCTGAGAATGCATCTGTCTAGTTTTTCTATGAAGCTATTCCCTTTACTACCATAGGCCTCAAAGCGCTCCAAATCTCCACTTGCACATTCCACAACAAGAGTGTTTCCAAACTGCTCTATCAATAGGAATGTTCAACTCTGTGAGGTGAATGCAATCATCACAAAGCAGTTTCTGAGAATGCTTCCGTTTAGTTAGGTGCAGTTATCCCGTTTCCAACGAAATCCTCAGAGAGGTCCAAATATCCACTTGTAGATTCTACAAAAAGTGTGTCTCAAACCTGCTCCATCCAAAGGAATGTTCAGCTCTGTGAGTTAAACTCAATCATCACAAAGTATTTTCTGAGAATGCTTCTGTCTAGATTTTATGCGAAGATATACCCGTTTCGAACGAAGGCCACAGAGTGGTCCAAATATCCACTTGCAGATCCTACAAAAAGAGTGTTTCAAACCTGAACTAGCAAAGGAAGGTTCAACTCTGGGATTTGAATGCAAACATCACCAAGAAGTTTCTGAGAATGCTTCTGTTTAGTTTTTATGTGAAGATATTCCCGTTTCCAAAGACATCTTCGGAGAGGTCCACATATCCACTTGCAGATTCCACAAAAAGAGAGTTTCAACACTGCTCTATCCATAGGAGGGTTCAACTCTGTGAGTTGAATGCAATCATCACAGAGAAGTTTCTGAGAAGGCTTCTCTCCAGTTTTTATGTGACCATAATTCGTTTTCCACCACAGGCCTGAAAGCGCTCCAAATGTCCACTTGTAGACACTACGAAAAGCATGTTTCAGAACTACTCTATGAAAAGCAATGTGAAACTCTGGGAGTTGAACACAAACATCACAGAGAAGTTTCTGAGAATGCTTCTGTTTAGCTTTCCTGTGAAGATTCTCCCGTTTCCAACGAAATCTTCAAAATAGGTCCAAATATCCACTTGCAGATTCCACAGAAAGAGTGATTGGAAACTGCTCTTTGAAAAGGAACCTTCAACTCTGTGAGTTGAATGCAATCATCACAAAGAAGTTTCTGACAATGCTTCTATCTAGCTTTTACGGGAAGATAATTCCTTTTCCACCACAGGCCTCAAAGCCCTCCAAATGTCCACTTGCAGATTCTGGAAAAAGAGTGTTTCAAAGCTTCTCTCTCGAAAGGAAAGTTCAACTCTGTGAGTTGAATGCAAGCATCACAAAGAAGTTTCTCAGAATGCTACTGTCTAGCTTTTATATGAAGCTATTTCCTTTACTACCATAGGCCTCAAAGCGGTCCATATCTCCACTTGCAGATTCTACACAAAGAGAGTTTCCAAACTGCTCTGTCAAAGGGAATGTTCAACTCTGTGACTTGAATGCAATCATCACAAAGTAGTTTCTGAGAATGCTTCTGTTTACTTCTGTGCGGTTTATCCCGTTTCCAACGAAATCCTCAGAGAGGCCCAAATATCCACTTGCAGATTCTACAAATAGTGTGTTTCGAAACTGCTCCATCCAAAGGAATGTTCAGCTCTGTGAGTTAAACTCAGTCGTCACCAAGAGTTTTCTGTGAATGCTTCTGTTTTAGTTCTTTGCAGTTTATCCCGTTTCCAACGAAATCCTCAGAGAGGACCAAATATCCACTTGCAGTTTCTACAAAAAGAGTGTTTCAAAGCTGCACTATCAAAGAAAGGTTCAGCACTGTGAGTTGAATGCAAACATCACGAAGAGGGCTCTGAGAATGCTTCTGTTTAGTTCTGTGCGGGTTTATCCCGTTTCCAACGAAATCCTCAGAGAGGACCAAATATCCACTTGCAGTTTCTACAAGAAGAGTGTTTCAAAGCTGAACTATCAAAGAAAGGTTCAGCACTGTGAGTTGAATGCAAACATCACGAAGAGGGTTCTGAGAATGCTTCTGTCTTCTTTCTATAGGAAGTTATTTCCTTTACTACGGTAGGCCTCAAAGAAGTGCCATTATCCCCTTGCAGTTTCTACAAAAAGAGTGTTTCAAACCTGAACTATCAAAGAAAGCTTCCACACTGTGAGTTGAATGCAGACATCACGAAGAAGGTTCTGAGAATGCTTCTGTTTAGTCAGCTGAAATTATCCCGTTTCCAACGAATTCCTCAGAGAGGTCCAAATATGCACTTGCAGATTCTGCAGAAAGTGTGTTTCTAAACTGCTACATCGCAAGGAATGTTCAGCTCTGTGAGTTCAACTCAATCATCCCAAAGAATTTTCTGAGAAAGCTTCTGTCTAGATGTCATGTGAAGATATACCCGTTTCGAACGAAGGACACAGAGTGGTCCAAATATCCACTTGTAGATCCTGCAAAAAGAGTGTTTCAAACGTGAACTTTGAAAGGAAAGTTCAACTCTGGGATTTGAATGCAAACATCACAAAAAAGATTCTGAGACTGCTTCTGTATAGTTTTTATGTGAAGATGATTCCGTTTCCAACGAAATCTTCAAAGAGGTCTACATGTCCCCTTGCAGATGCCACAGAAAGAGAGTTTCAAAACTGCGCTCTCAAAAGGAGTGTTCAACTCCGTGAGTTGAATGCAGTCATCACAGAGAAGCTTCTGAGAATGCTTCTATCTAGTATTTAGGTGAAGATATTTCCTTTTCCACCACAAACCACAAAGCCCTCCAAACGTCCACTTGCAGATTCTAGACAAAGATTGTTTCATAGCTGCTCTTTCCAAAGGAAAGTTCAACTCTGGGAGTTGAATACAAACATCACCAAAAAGTTCCTGAGAATGCATCTGTCTAGTTTTTCTATGAAGCTATTCCCTTTACTACCATAGACCTCAAAGCGCTCCAAATCTCCACTTGCACATTCCACAACAAGAGTGTTTCCAAACTGCTCTATCAATAGGAATGTTCAACTCTGTGAGGTGAATGCAATCATCACAAAGCAGTTTCTGAGAATGCTTCCGTTTAGTTAGGTGCAGTTATCCCGTTTCCAACGAAATCCTCAGAGAGGTCCAAATATCCACTTGTAGATTCCACAAAAAGTGTGTCTCAAACCTGCTCCATCCAAAGGAATGTTCAGCTCTGTGAGTTCAACTCAATCATCACAAAGTATTTTCTGAGAATGCTTCTGTCTAGATTTTATTCGAAGATGTACCCGTTTCGAACGAAGGCCACAGAGTGGTCCAAATATCCACTTTCAGATCCTACAAAAAGAGTGTTTCAAACCTGAACTCTCAAAGGAAGGTTCAACTCTGGGATTTGAATGCAAACATCACCAAGAAGTTTCTGAGAATGCTTCTGTTTAGTTTTTATGTGAAGATATTCCCGTTTCCAAAGACATCTTCGGAGAGGTCCACATATCCGCTTGCAGATTCCACAAAAAGAGAGTTTCAACACTGCTCTATCCATAGGAGGGTTCAACTCTGTGAGTTGAATGCAATCATCACAGAGAAGTTTCTGAGAAGGCTTCTCTCCAGTTTTTATGTGACCATAATTCGTTTTCCACCACAGGCCTGAAAGCGCTGCAAATGTCCACTTGCAGACACTACGAAAAGCATGTTTCAGAACTACTCTATGAGAAGCAATGTGAATCTCTGGGAGTTGAACACAAACATCACAGAGAAGTTTCTGAGAATGCTTCTGTTTAGCTTTTCTGTGAAGATTCTCCCGTTTCCAACGAAATCTTCAAAGAGGTCCAAATATCCACTTGCAGATTCCACAGAAAGAGTGATTGGAAACTGCTCTTTGAAAAGGAACCTTCAACTCTGTGACTTGAATGCAATCATCACAAAGAAGTTTCTGACAATGCTTCTATCTAGCTTTTACGGGAAGATAATTCCTTTTCCACCACAGGCCTCAAAGCCCTCCAAATGTCCACTTGCAGATTCTGGAAAAAGAGTGTTTCAAAGCTTCTCTCTCGAAAGGAAAGTTCAACTCTGTGAGTTGAATGCAAGCATCACAAAGAAGTTTCTGAGAATGCTACTGTCTAGCTTTTATATGAAGCTATTTCCTTTACTACCATAGGCCTCAAAGCGGTCCATATCTCCACTTGCAGATTCTACAGAAAGAGAGTTTCCAAACTGCTCTGTCAAAGGGAATGTTCAACTCTGTGACTTGAATGCAATCATCACAAAGTAGTTTCTGAGAATGCTTCTGTTTAGTTCTGTGCGGTTTATCCCGTTTCCAACGAAATCCTCAGAGAGGCCTAAATATCCACTTGCACATTCTACAAATAGTGTGTTTCGAAACTGCTCCATCCAAAGGAATGTTCAGCTCTGTGAGTTAAACTCAGTCGTCACCAAGAGTTTTCTGTGAATGCTTCTGTTTTAGTTCTGTGCGGGTTATCCCGTTTCCAACGAAATCCTCAGAGAGGTCCAAATATCTACTTGCAGTTTCTACAGAAAGACCGTTTCAAACCTGAACTATCAAAGAAAGGTTCAACACTGTGAGTTGAATGCAAACATCACGAAGAAGGTTCTGAGAATGCTTCTGTTTAGTTCTGTGCAGTTTATCCCGTTTCCAACGAAATGCTCAGAGAGGACCAAATATCCACTTGCAGTTTCTACAAAAAGAGTGTTTCAAAGCTGAACTATCAAAGAAAGGTTCAGCACTGTGAGTTGAATGCAAACATCACGAAGAGGGTTCTGAGAATGCTTCTGTCTTCTTTTTAGAGGAAGTTATTTCCTTTACTACGGTACTCCTCAAAGAGTGCAATTATCCCCTTGCAGTTTCTACAAAAAGAGTGTTTCAAACCTGAACTATCAAAGAAAGGTTCCACACTGTGAGTTGAATGCAGACATCACGAAGAAGGTTCTGAGAATGCTTCTGTTTAGTCAGCTGAAATTATCCCGTTTCCAACGAATTCCTCACAGAGGTCCAAATATGCACTTGCAGATTCTGCAGAAAGTGTGTTTCTAAACTGCTACATCGCAAGGAATGCTCAGCTCTGTGAGTTCAACTCAATCATCCCAAAGAATTTTCTGAGAAAGCTTCTGTCTAGATGTCATGTGAAGATATACCCGTTTCGAACGAAGGACACAGAGTGGTCCAAATATCCACTTGTAGATCCTGCAAAAAGAGTGTTTCAAACGTGAACTTTGAAAGGAAAGTTCAACTCGGGGATTTGAATGCAAACATCACAAAGAAGATTCTGAGACTGCTTCTGTATAGTTTTTATGTGAAGATGATTCCGTTTCCAACGAAATCTTCAAAGAGGTCTACATGTCCCCTTGGAGATGCCACAGAAAGGGAGTTTCAAAACTGCGCTCTCAAAAGGAGTGTTCAACTCCGTGAGTTGAATGCAGTCATCACAGAGAAGCTTCTGAGAATGCTTCTATCTAGTATTTAGGTGAAGATATTTCCTTTTCCACCACAAACCACAAAGCCCTCCAAACGTCCACTTGCAGATTCTAGAAAAAGAGTGTTTCATAGCTGCTCTTTCCAAAGGAAAGTTCAACTCTGGGAGTTGAATACAAACATCACCAAAAAGTTCCTGAGAATGCATCTGTCTAGTTTTTCTATGAAGCTATTCCCTTTACTACCATAGGCCTCAAAGCGCTCCAAATCTCCACTTGCACATTCCACAACAAGAGTGTTTCCAAACTGCTCTATCAATAGGAATGTTCAACTCTGTGAGGTGAATGCAATCATCACAAAGCAGTTTCTGAGAATGCTTCCGTTTAGTTAGGTGCAGTTATCGCGTTTCCAACGAAATCCTCAGAGAGGTCCAAATATCCACTTGTAGATTCTACAAAAAGTGTGTCTCAAACCTGCTCCATCCAAAGGAATGTTCAGCTCTGTGAGTTAAACTCAATCATCACAAAGTATTTTCTGAGAATGCTTCTGTCTAGATTTTATGTGAAGATGTACCCGTTTCGAACGAAGGCCACAGAGTGGTCCAAATATCCACTTGCAGATCCTACAAAAAGAGTGTTTCAAACCTGAACTATCACAGGAAGGTTCAACTCTGGGATTTGAATGCAAACATCACCAAGAAGTTTCTGAGAATGCTTCTGTTTAGTTTTTATGTGAAGATATTCCCGTTTCCAAAGACATCTTCGGAGAGGTCCACATATCCACTTGCAGATTCCACAAAAAGAGAGTTTCAACACTGCTCTATCCATAGGAGGGTTCAACTCTGTGAGTTGAATGCAATCATCACAGAGAAGTTTCCTGAGAAGGCTTCTCTCCAGTTTTTATGTGACCATAATTCGTTTTCCACCACAGGCCTGAAAGCGCTCCAAATGTCCACTTGCAGACACTACGAAAAGCATGTTTCAGAACTACTCTATGAAAAGCAACGTGAAACTCTGGGAGTTGAACACAAACATCACAGAGAAGTTTCTGAGAATGCTTCTGTTTAGCTTTTCTGTGAAGATTCTCCCGTTTCCAACGAAATCTTCAAAGAGGTCGAAATATCCACTTGCAGATTCCACAGAAAGAGTGATTGGAAACTGCTGTTTGAAAAGGAACCTTCAACTCTGTGAGTTGAATGCAATCATCTCAAAGAAGTTTCTGACAATGCTTCTATCTAGCTTTTACGGGAAGATAATTCCTTTTCCACCACAGGCCTCAAAGCTCCCCAAATGTCCACTTGCACATTCTGGAAAAAGAGTGCTTCAAAGCTTCTCTCTCGAAAGGAAAGTTCAACTCTGTGAGTTGAATGCAAGCATCACAAAGAAGTTTCTGAGAATGCTACTGTCTAGCTTTTATATGAAGCTATTTCCTTTACTACCATAGGCCTCAAAGCGGTCCATATCTCCACTTGCAGATTCTACACAAAGAGAGTTTCCAAACTGCTCTGTCAAAGGGAATGTTCAACTCTGTGACTTGAATGCAATCATCACAAAGTAGTTTCTGAGAATGCTTCTGTTTTAGTTCTGTGCGTTTTATCCCGTTTCCAACGAAATCCTCAGAGAGGCCCAAATATCCACTTGCAGATTCTACAAATAGTGTGTTTCGAAACTGCTCCATCCAACGGAATGTTCAGCTCTGTGAGTTAAACTCAGTCGTCACCAAGAGTTTTCTGTGAATGCTTCTGTTTTAGTTCTGTGCGGTTTATCCCGTTTCCAACGAAATCCTCAGAGAGGTCCAAATATCTACTTGCAGTTTCTACAGAAAGACCGTTTCAAACCTGAACTATCAAAGAAAGGTTCAACACTGTGAGTTGAATGCAAACATCACGAAGAAGGTTCTGAGAATGCTTCTGTTTAGTTCTGTGCGGTTTATCCCGTTTCCAACGAAATCCTCAGAGAGGACCAAATATCCACTTGCAGTTTCTACAAGAAGAGTGTTTCAAAGCTGCACTATCAAAGAAAGGTTCAGCACTGTGAGTTGAATGCAAACATCACGAAGAGGGTTCTGAGAATGCTTCTGTCTTCTTTCTATAGGAAGTTATTTCCTTTACTACGGTAGGCCTCAAAGAAGTGCAATTATCCCCTTGCAGTTTCTACAAAAAGAGTGTTTCAAACCTGAACTATCAAAGAAAGGTTCCACACTGTGAGTTGAATGCAGACATCACGAAGAAGGTTCTGAGAATGCTTCTGTTTAGTCAGCTGAAAATATCCCGTTTCCAACGAATTCCTCAGAGAGGTCCAAATATGCACTTGCAGATTCTGCAGAAAGTGTGTTTCTAAAATGCTACATCGCAAGGAATGTTCAGCTCTGTGAGTTCCACTCAATCATCCCAAAGAATTTTCTGAGAAAGCTTCTGTCTAGATGTCATGTGACGATATACCCGTTTCGAACGAAGGACACAGAGTGGTCCAAATATCCACTTGTAGATCCTGCAAAAAGAGTGTTTCAAACGTGAACTTTGAAAGGAAAGTTCAACTCTGGGATTTGAATGCAAACATCACAAAGAAGATTCTGAGACTGCTTCTGTATAGTTTTTATGTGAAGATGATTCCGTTTCCAACGAAATCTTCAAAGAGGTCTACATGTCCCCTTGCAGATGCCACAGAAAGAGAGTTTCAAAACTGCGCTCTCAAAAGGAGTGTTCAACTCCGTGAGTTGAATGCAGTCATCACAGAGAAGCTTCTGAGAATGCTTCTATCTAGTATTTAGGTGAAGATATTTCCTTTTCCACCACAAACCACAAAGCCCTCCAAACGTCCACTTGCAGATTCTAGAAAAAGAGTGTTTCATAGCTGCTCTTTCCAAAGGAAAGTTCAACTCTGGGAGTTGAATACAAACATCACCAAAAAGTTCCTGAGAATGCATCTGTCTAGTTTTTCTATGAAGCTATTCCCTTTACTACCACAGGCCTCAAAGCGCTCCAAATCTCCACTTGCACATTCCACAACAAGAGTGTTTCCAAACTGCTCTATCAATAGGGATGTTCAACTCTGTGAGGTGAATGCAATCATCACAAAGCAGTTTCTGAGAATGCTTCCGTTTAGTTAGGTGCAGTTATCCCGTTTCCAACGAAATCCTCAGAGAGGTCCAAATATCCACTTGTAGATTCTACAAAAAGTGTGTCTCAAACCTGCTCCATCCAAAGGAATGTTCAGCTCTGTGATTTTAACTCAATCATCACAAAGTATTTTCTGAGAATGCTTCTGTCTAGATTTTATGCGAAGATATACCCGTTTCGAACGAAGGCCACAGAGTGGTCCAAATAGCCACTTGCAGATCCTACAGAAAGAGTGTTTCAAACCTGAACTATCAAAGGAAGGTTCAACTCTGGGATTTGAATGCAAACATCACCAAGAAGTTTCTGAGAATGCTTCTGTTTAGTTTTTATGTGAAGATATTCCCGTTTCCAAAGACATCTTCGGAGAGGTCCACATATCCGCTTGCAGATTCCACAAAAAGAGAGTTTCAACACTGCTCTATCCATAGGAGGGTTCAACTCTGTGAGTTGAATGCAATCATCACAGAGAAGTTTCTGAGAAGGCTTCTCTCCAGTTTTTATGTGACCATAATTCGTTTTCCACCACAGACCTGAAAGCGCTCCAAATGTCCACTTGCAGACACTACGAAAAGCATGTTTCAGAACTACTCTATGAGAAGCAATGTGAAACTCTGGGAGTTGAACAAAAACATCACAGAGAAGTTTCTGAGAATGCTTCTGTTTAGCTTTTCTGTGAAGATTCTCCCGTTTCCAACGAAATCTTCAAAGAGGTCCAAATATCCACTTGCAGATTCCACAGAAAGAGTGATTGGAAACTGCTCTTTGAAAAGGAACCTTCAACTCTGTGACTTGAATGCAATCATCACAAAGAAGTTTCTGACAATGCTTCTATCTAGCTTTTACGGGAAGATAATTCCTTTTCCACCACAGGCCTCAAAGCCCTCCAAATGTCCACTTGCAGATTCTGGAAAAAGAGTGTTTCAAAGCTTCTCTCTCGAAAGGAAAGTTCAACTCTGTGAGTTGAATGCAAGCATCACAAAGAAGTTTCTGAGAATGCTAATGTCTAGCTTTTATATGAAGCTATTTCCTTTACTACCATAGGCCTCAAAGCGGTCCATATCTCCACTTGCAGATTCTACACAAAGAGAGTTTCCAAACTGCTCTGTCAAAGGGAATGTTCAACTCTGTGACTTGAATGCAATCATCACAAAGTAGTTTCTGAGAATGCTTCTGTTTAGTTCTGTGCGGTTTATCCCGTTTCCAACGAAATCCTCAGAGAGGCCCAAATATCCACTTGCACATTCTACAAATAGTGTGTTTCGAAACTGCTCCATCCAAAGGAATGTTCAGCTCTGTGAGTTAAACTCAGTCGTCACCAAGAGTTTTCTGTGAATGCTTCTGTTTAGTTCTGTGCGGTTTATCCCGTTTCCAACGAAATCCTCAGAGAGGTCCAAATATCTACTTGCAGTTTCTACAGAAAGACCGTTTCAAACCTGAACTATCAAAGAAAGGTTCAACACTGTGAGTTGAATGCAAACATCACGAAGAAGGTTCTGAGAATGCTTCCGTTTAGTTCTGTGCGGTTTATCCCGTTTCCAACGAAATCCTCAGAGAGGACCAAATATCCATTTGCAGTTTCTACAAGAAGAGTGTTTCAAACCTGAACTATCAAAGAAAGGTTCCACACTGTGAGTTGAATGCAGACATCACTAAGAAGGTTCTCAGAATGCTTCTGTCTTCTTTCTATAGGAAGTTATTTCCTTTACTACGGTAGGCCTCAAAGAAGTGCAATTATCCCTGTGCAGTTTCTACAAAAAGAGTGTTTCAAACCTGAACTATCAAAGAAAGGTTCCACACTGTGAGTTGAATGCAGACATCACGAAGAAGGTTCTGAGAATGCTTCTGTTTAGTCAGCTGAAATTATTCCGTTTCCAACGAATTCCTCAGAGAGGTCCAAATATGCACTTGCAGATTCTGCAGAAAGTGTGTTTCTAAACTGCTACATCGCAAGGAATGTTAAGCTCTGTGACTTCCACTCAATCATCCCAAAGAATTTTCTGTGAAAGCTTCTGTCTAGATGTCATGTGAAGATATACCCGTTTCGAACGAAGGACACAGAGTGGTCCAAATATCCACTTGTAGATCCTGCAAAAAGAGTGTTTCAAACGTGAACTTCCAAAGGAAAGTTCAACTCTGGGATTTGAATGCAAACATCACAAAGACGATTCTGAGACTGCTTCTGTATAGTTTTTATGTGAAGATGATTCCGTTTCCAACGAAATCTTCAAAGAGGTCTACATGTCCCCTTGCAGATGCCACAGAAAGAGAGTTTCAAAACTGCGCTCTCAAAAGGAGTGTTCAGACTCCGTGAGTTGAATGCAGTCATCACAGAGAAGCTTCTGAGAATGCTTCTATCTAGTATTTAGGTGAAGATATTTCCTTTTCCACCACAAACCACAAAGCCCTCCAAACGTCCACTTGCAGATTCTAGAAAAAGAGTGTTTCATAGCTGCTCTTTCCAAAGGAAAGTTCAACTCTGGGAGTTGAATACAAACATCACCAAAAAGTTCCTGAGAATGCATCTGTCTAGTTTTTCTATGAAGCTATTCCCTTTACTACCATAGGCCTCAAAGCGCTCCAAATCTCCACTTGCACATTCCACAACAAGAGTGTTTCCAAACTGCTCTATCAATAGGAATGTTCAACTCTGTGAGGTGAATGCAATCATCACAAAGCAGTTTCTGAGAATGCTTCCGTTTAGTTAGGTGCAGTTATCCCGTTTCCAACGAAATCCTCAGAGAGGTCCAAATATCCACTTGTAGATTCTACAAAAAGTGTGTCTCAAACCTGCTCCATCCAAAGGAATGTTCAGCTCTGTGATTTTAACTCAATCATCACAAAGTATTTTCTGAGAATGCTTCTGTCTAGATTTTATGCGAAGATATACCCGTTTCGAACGAAGGCCACAGAGTGGTCCAAATAGCCACTTGCAGATCCTACAGAAAGAGTGTTTCAAACCTGAACTATCAAAGGAAGGTTCAACTCTGGGATTTGAATGCAAACATCACCAAGAAGTTTCTGAGAATGCTTCTGTTTAGTTTTTATGTGAAGATATTCCCGTTTCCAAAGACATCTTCGGAGAGGTCCACATATCCACTTGCAGATTCCACAAAAAGAGAGTTTCAACACTGCTCTATCCATAGGAGGGTTCAACTCTGTGAGTTGAATGCAATCATCACAGAGAAGTTTCTGAGAAGGCTTCTCTCCAGTTTTTATGTGACCATAATTCGTTTTCCACCACAGGCCTGAAAGCGCTCCAAATGTCCACTTGCAGACACTACGAAAAGCATGTTTCAGAACTACTCTATGAAAAGCAACGTGAAACTCTGGGAGTTGAACACAAACATCACAGAGAAGTTTCTGAGAATGCTTCTGTTTAGCTTTTCTGTGAAGATTCTCCCGTTTCCAACGAAATCTTCAAAGAGGTCGAAATATCCACTTGCAGATTCCACAGAAAGAGTGATTGGAAACTGCTGTTTGAAAAGGAACCTTCAACTCTGTGAGTTGAATGCAGTCATCACAAAGAAGTTTCTGACAATGCTTCTATCTAGCTTTTACGGGAAGATAATTCCTTTTCCACCACAGGCCTCAAAGCTCCCCAAATGTCCACTTGCACATTCTGGAAAAAGAGTGTTTCAAAGCTTCTCTCTCGAAAGGAAAGTTCAACTCTGTGAGTTGAATGCAAGCATCACAAAGAAGTTTCTGAGAATGCTACTGTCTAGCTTTTATATGAAGCTATTTCCTTTACTACCATAGGCCTCAAAGCGGTCCATATCTCCACTTGCAGATTCTACACAAAGAGAGTTTCCAAACTGCTCTGTCAAAGGGAATGTTCAACTCTGTGACTTGAATGCAATCATCACAAAGTAGTTTCTGAGAATGCTTCTGTTTTAGTTCTGTGCGTTTTATCCCGTTTCCAACGAAATCCTCAGAGAGGCCCAAATATCCACTTGCAGATTCTACAAATAGTGTGTTTCGAAACTGCTCCATCCAAAGGAATGTTCAGCTCTGTGAGTTAAACTCAGTCGTCACCAAGAGTTTTCTGTGAATGCTTCTGTTTTAGTTCTGTGCGGTTTATCCCGTTTCCAACGAAATCCTCAGAGAGGACCAAATATCCACTTGCAGTTTCTACAAAAAGAGTGTTTCAAAGCTGCACTATCAAAGAAAGGTTCAGCACTGTGAGTTGAATGCAAACACCACGAAGAGGGCTCTGAGAATTCTTCTGTTTAGTTCTGTGCGGTTTATCCCGTTTCCAACGAAATCCTCAGAGAGGACCAAATATCCACTTGCAGTTTCTACAAGAAGAGTGTTTCAAAGCTGAACTATCAAAGAAAGGTTCAGCACTGTGAGTTGAATGCAAACATCACGAAGAGGGTTCTGAGAATGCTTCTGTCTTCTTTCTATAGGAAGTTATTTCCTTTACTACGGTAGGCCTCAAAGAAGTGCAATTATCCCCTTGCAGTTTCTACAAAAAGAGTGTTTCAAACCTGAACTATCAAAGAAAGGTTCCACACTGTGAGTTGAATGCAGACATCACGAAGAAGGTTCTGAGAATGCTTCTGTTTAGTCAGCTGAAATTATCCCGTTTCCAACGAATTCCTCAGAGAGGTCCAAATATGCACTTGCAGATTCTGCAGAAAGTGTGTTTCTAAACTGCTACATCGCAAGGAATGTTCAGCTCTGTGAGTTCCACTCAATCATCCCAAAGAATTTTCTGAGAAACCTTCTGTCTAGATGTCGTGTGAAGTTATACCCGTTTCGAACGAAGGACACAGAGTGGTCCAAATATCCACTTGTAGATCCTGCAAAAAGAGTGTTTCAAACGTGAACTTTGAAAGGAAAGTTCAACTCTGGGATTTGAATGCAAACATCACAAAGAAGATTCTGAGACTGCTTCTGTATAGTTTTTATGCGAAGATGATTCCGTTTCCAACGAAATCTTCAAAGAGGTCAACATGTCCCCTTGCAGATGCCACAGAAAGAGAGTTTCAAAACTGCGCTCTCAAAAGGAGTGTTCAACTCCGTGAGTTGAATGCAGTCATCACAGAGAAGCTTCTGAGAATGCTTCTCTCTAGGATTTAGGTGAAGATATTTCCTTTTCCACCACAAACCACAAAGCCCTCCAAACGTCCACTTGCAGATTCTAGAAAAAGAGTGTTTCATAGCTGCTCTTTCCAAAGGAAAGTTCAACTCTGGGAGTTGAATACAAACATCACCAAAAAGTTCCTGAGAATGCATCTGTCTAGTTTTTTTATGAAGCTATTCCCTTTACTACCATAGGCCACAAAGCGCTCCAAATCTCCACTTGCACATTCCACAACAAGATTGTTTCCAAACTGCTCTATCAATAGGAATGTTCAACTCTGTGAGGTGAATGCAATCATCACAAAGCAGTTTCTGAGAATGCTTCCGTTTAGTTAGGTGCAGTTATCCCGTTTCCAACGAAATCCTCAGAGAGGTCCAAATATCCACTTGTAGATTCTACAAAAAGTGTGTCTCAAACCTGCTCCATCCAAAGGAATGTTCACCTCTGCGAGTTCAACTCAATCATCACAAAGTATTTTCTGAGAATGCTTCTGTCTAGATTTTATGTGAAGATATACCCGTTTAGAACGAAGGCCACAGAGTGGTCCAAATATCCACTTGCAGATCCTACAAAAAGAGGGTTTCAAACCTGAACTATCAAAGGAAGGTTCAACTCTGGGATTTGAAGGCAAACATCACAAAGAAGTTTCTGAGACTGCTTCTGTTTAGTTTTTATGTGAAGATATTCCCGTTTCCAAAGTCATCTTCGGAGAGGTCCACATATCCACTTGCAGATTCCACAAAAAGAGAGTTTCAACACTGCTCTATCCATAGGAGGGTTCAACTCTGTGAGTTGAATGCAATCATCACAGAGAAGTTTCTGAGAAGGCTTCTCTCCAGTTTTTATGTGACCATAATTCGTTTTCCACCACAGGCCTGAAAGCGCTCCAAATGTCCACTTGCAGACACTACGAAAAGCATGTTTCAGAACTACTCTATGAAAAGCAATGTGAAACTCTGGGAGTTGAACACAAACATCACAGAGAAGGTTCTGAGAATGCTTCTGTTTAGTCAGCTGAAATTATCCCGTTTCCAACGAATTCCTCAGAGAGGTCCAAATATGCACTTGCAGATTCCACAGAAAGGGTGTTTGGAAACTGCTGTTTGAAAAGGAACCTTCAACTCTGTGAGTTGAATGCAATCATCACAAAGAAGTTTCTGACAATGCTTCTGTCTAGATGTCATGTGAAGATATACCAGTTTGGAACGAAGGACACAGAGTGGTCCAAATATCCACTTGTAGATCCTGCAAAAAGAGTGTTTCAAACGTGAACTTTGAAAGGAAAGTTCAACTCTGGGATTTGAATGCAAACATCACAAAGAAGATTCTGAGACTGCTTCTGTATAGTTTTTATGTGAAGATGATTCCGTTTCCAACGAAATCTTCAAAGAGGTCTACATGTCCCCTTGCAGATGCCACAGAAAGAGAGTTTCAAAACTGCGCTCTCAAAAGGAGTGTTCAACTCCGTGAGTTGAATGCAGTCATCACAGAGAAGCTTCTGAGAATGCTTCTATCTAGTATTTAGGTGAAGATATTTCCTTTTCCACCACAAACCACAAAGCCCTCCAAACGTCCACTTGCAGATTCTAGAAAAAGAGTGTTTCATAGCTGCTCTTTCCAAAGGAAAGTTCAACTCTGGGAGTTGAATACAAACATCACCAAAAAGTTCCTGAGAATACATCTGTCTAGTTTTTCTATGAAGCTATTCCCTTTACTACCATAGGCCTCAAAGCGCTCCAAATCTCCACTTGCACATTCCACAACAAGAGTGTTTCCAAACTGCTCTATCAATAGGAATGTTCAACTCTGTGAGGTGAATGCAATCATCACAAAGCAGTTTCTGAGAATGCTTCCGTTTAGTTAGGTGCAGTTATCCCGTTTCCAACGAAATCCTCAGAGAGGTCCAAATATCCACTTGTAGATTCTACAAAAAGTGTGTCTCAAACCTGCTCCATCCAAAGGAATGGTCAGCTCTGTGATTTAAACTCAATCATCACAAAGTATTTTCTGAGAATGCTTCTGTCTAGATTTTATGCGAAGATATACCCGTTTCGAACGAAGGCCACAGAGTGGTCCAAATAGCCACTTGCAGATCCTACAGAAAGAGTGTTTCAAACCTGAACTATCAAAGGAAGGTTCAACTCTGGGATTTGAATGCAAACATCACCAAGAAGTTTCTGAGAATGCTTCTGTTTAGTTTTTATGTGAAGATATTCCCGTTTCCAAAGACATCTTCGGAGAGGTCCACATATCCACTTGCAGATTCCACAAAAAGAGAGTTTCAACACTGCTCTATCCATAGGAGGGTTCAACTCTGTGAGTTGAATGCAATCATCACAGAGAAGTTTCTGAGAAGGCTTCTCTCCAGTTTTTATGTGACCATAATTCGTTTTCCACCACAGGCCTGAAAGCGCTCCAAATGTCCACTTGCAGACACTACGAAAAGCATGTTTCAGAACTACTCTATGAAAAGCAACGTGAAACTCTGGGAGTTGAACACAAACATCACAGAGAAGTTTCTGAGAATGCTTCTGTTTTAGTTCTGTGCGTTTTATCCCGTTTCCAACGAAATCCTCAGAGAGGCCCAAATATCCACTTGCAGATTCCACAGAAAGAGTGATTGGAAACTGCTGTTTGAAAAGGAACCTTCAACTCTGTGAGTTGAATGCAATCATCACAAAGAAGTTTCTGACAATGCTTCTATCTAGCTTTTACGGGAAGATAATTCCTTTTCCACCACAGGCCTCAAAGCCCTCCAAATGTCCACTTGCAGATTCTGGAAAAAGAGTGTTTCAAAGCTTCTCTCTCGAAAGGAAAGTTCAACTCTGTGAGTTGAATGCAAGCATCACAAAGAAGTTTCTCAGAATGCTACTGTCTAGCTTTTATATGAAGCTATTTCCTTTACTACCATAGGCCTCAAAGCGGTCCATATCTCCACTTGCAGATTCTACACAAAGAGAGTTTCCAAACTGCTCTGTCAAAGGGAATGTTCAACCCTGTGACTTGAATGCAATCATCACAAAGTAGTTTCTGAGAATGCTTCTGTTTAGTTCTGTGCGGTTTATCCCGTTTCCAACGAAATCCTCAGAGAGGCCTAAATATCCACTTGCACATTCTACAAATAGTGTGTTTCGAAACTGCTCCATCCAAAGGAATGTTCAGCTCTGTGAGTTAAACTCAGTCGTCACCAAGAGTTTTCTGTGAATGCTTCTGTTTTAGTTCTGTGCGGGTTATCCCATTTCCAACGAAATCCTCAGAGCGGTCCAAATATCTACTTGCAGTTTCTACAGAAAGACCGTTTCAAACCTGAACTATCAAAGAAAGGTTCAACACTGTGAGTTGAATGCAAACATCACGAAGAAGGTTCTGAGAATGCTTCTGTTTAGTTCTGTGCAGTTTATCCCGTTTCCAACGAAATGCTCAGAGAGGACCAAATATCCACTTGCAGTTTCTACAAAAAGAGTGTTTCAAAGCTGAACTATCAAAGAAAGGTTCAGCACTGTGAGTTGAATGCAAACATCACGAAGAGGGTTCTGAGAATGCTTCTGTCTTCTTTTTATAGGAAGTTATTTCCTTTACTACGGTACTCCTCAAAGAGTGCAATTATCCCCTTGCAGTTTCTACAAAAAGAGTGTTTCAAACCTGAACTATCAAAGAAAGGTTCCACACTGTGAGTTGAATGCAGACATCACGAAGAAGGTTCTGAGAATGCTTCTGTTTAGTCAGCTGAAATTATCCCGTTTCCAACGAATTCCTCACAGAGGTCCAAATATGCACTTGCAGATTCTGCAGAAAGTGTGTTTCTAAACTGCTACATCGCAAGGAATGCTCAGCTCTGTGAGTTCAACTCAATCATCCCAAAGAATTTTCTGAGAAAGCTTCTGTCTAGATGTCATGTGAAGATATACCCGTTTCGAACGAAGGACACAGAGTGGTCCAAATATCCACTTGTAGATCCTGCAAAAAGAGTGTTTCAAACGTGAACTTTGAAAGGAAAGTTCAACTCGGGGATTTGAATGCAAACATCACAAAGAAGATTCTGAGACTGCTTCTGTATAGTTTTTATATGAAGATGATTCCGTTTCCAACGAAATCTTCAAAGAGGTCTACATGTCCCCTTGCAGATGCCACATAAAGAGAGTTTCAAAACTGTGCTCTCAAAAGGAGTGTTCAACTCCGTGAGTTGAATGCAGTCATCACAGAGAAGCTTCTGAGAATGCTTCTATCTAGTATTTAGGTGAAGATATTTCCTTTTCCACCACAAACCACAAAGCCCTCCAAACGTCCACTTGCAGATTCTAGAAAAAGAGTGTTTCATAGCTGCTCTTTCCAAAGGAAAGTTCAACTCTGGGAGTTGAATACAAACATCACCAAAAAGTTCCTGAGAATGCATCTGTCTAGTTTTTCTATGAAGCTATTCCCTTTACTACCATAGGCCCCAAAGCGCTCCAAATCTCCACTTGCACATTCCACAAGAAGAGTGTTTCCAAACTGCTCTATCAATACGAATGTTCAACTCTGTGAGGTGAATGCAATCATCACAAAGCAGTTTCTGAGAATGCTTCCGTTTAGTTAGGTGCAGTTATCGCGTTTCCAACGAAATCCTCAGAGAGGTCCAAATATCCACTTGTAGATTCTACAAAAAGTGTGTCTCAAACCTGCTCCATCCAAAGGAATGTTCAGCTCTGTGAGTTAAACTCAATCATCACAAAGTATTTTCTGAGAATGCTTCTGTCTAGATTTTATGCGAAGATATACCCGTTTCGAACGAAGGCCACAGAGTGGTCCAAATAGCCACTTGCAGATCCTACAGAAACAGTGTTTCAAACCTGAACTATCAAAGGAAGGTTCAACTCTGGGATTTGAATGCAAACATCACCAAGAAGTTTCTGAGAATGCTTCTGTTTAGTTTTTATGTGAAGATATTCCCGTTTCCAAAGACATCTTCGGAGAGGTCCACATATCCACTTGCAGGTTCCACAAAAAGAGAGTTTCAACACTGCTCTATCCATAGGAGGGTTCAACTCTGTGAGTTGAATGCAATCATCACAGAGAAGTTTCTGAGAAGGCTTCTCTCCAGTTTTTATGTGACCATAATTCGTTTTCCACCACAGGCCTGAAAGCGCTCCAAATGTCCACTTGCAGACAGTATGAAAAGCATGTTTCAGAACTACTCTATGAGAAGCAATGTGAAACTCTGGGAGTTGAACACAAACATCACAGAGAAGTTTCTGAGAATGCTTCTGTTTAGCTTTTCTGTGAAGATTCTCCCGTTTCCAACGAAATCTTCAAAGAGGTCCAAATATCCACTTGCAGATTCCACAGAAAGTGTGATTGGAAACTGCTCTTTGAAAAGGAACCTTCAACTCTGTGACTTGAATGCAATCATCACAAAGAAGTTTCTGACAATGCTTCTATCTAGCTTTTACGGGAAGATAATTCCTTTTCCACCACAGGCCTCAAAGCCCTCCAAATGTCCACTTGCAGATTCTGGAAAAAGAGTGTTTCAAAGCTTCTCTCTCGAAAGGAAAGTTCAACTCTGTGAGTTGAATGCAAGCATCACAAAGAAGTTTCTGAGAATGCTACTGTCTAGCTTTTATATGAAGCTATTTCCTTTACTAAAATAGGCCTCAAAGCGGTCCATATCTCCACTTGCAGATTCTACACAAAGAGAGTTTCCAAACTGCTCTGTCAAAGGGAATGTTCAACTCTGTGACTTGAATGCAATCATCACAAAGTAGTTTCTGAGAATGCTTCTGTTTAGTTCTGTGCGGTTTATCCCGTTTCCAACGAAATCCTCAGAGAGGACCAAATATCCACTTGCAGATTCTACAAATAGTGTGTTTCGAAACTGCTAAATCCAAAGGAATGTTCAGCTCTGTGAGTTAAACTCAGTCGTCACCAAGAGTTTTCTGTGAATGCTTCTGTTTTAGTTCTGTGCGGGTTATCCCGTTTCCAACGAAATCCTCAGAGAGGTCCAAATATCTACTTGCAGTTTCTACAGAAAGACCGTTTCAAACCTGAACTATCAAAGAAAGGTTCAACACTGTGAGTTGAATGCAAACATCACGAAGAAGGTTCTTAGAATGCTTCTGTTTTAGTTCTGTGCGGTTTATCCCGTTTCCAACGAAATCCTCAGAGAGGACCAAATATCCACTTGCAGTTTCTACAAAAAGAGTGTTTCAAAGCTGCACTATCAAAGAAAGGTTCAGCACTGTGAGTTGAATGCAAACATCACGAAGAGGGCTCTGAGAATTTCTGTTTAGTTCTGTGCGGTTTATCCCGTTTCCAACGAAATCCTCAGAGAGGACCAAATATCCACTTGCAGTTTCTACAAGAAGAGTGTTTCAAAGCTGAACTATCAAAGAAAGGTTCAGCACTGTGAGTTGAATGCAAACATCACGAAGAGGGTTCTGAGAATGCTTCTGTCTTCTTTCTATAGGAAGTTATTTCCTTTACTACGGTAGGCCTCAAAGAAGTGCAATTATCCCCTTGCAGTTTCTACAAAAAGAGTGTTTCAAACCTGAACTATCAAAGAAAGGTTCCACACTGTGAGTTGAATGCAGACATCACGAAGAAGGTTCTGAGAATGCTTCTGTTTAGTCAGCTGAAATTATCCCGTTTCCAACGAATTCCTCAGAGAGGTCCAAATATGCACTTGCAGATTCTGCAGAAAGTGTGTTTCTAAACTGCTACATCGCAAGGAATGTTCAGCTCTGTGAGTTCCACTCAATCATCCCAAAGAATTTTCTGAGAAAGCTTCTGTCTAGATGTCGTGTGAAGATATACCCGTTTCGAACGAAGGACACAGAGTGGTCCAAATATCCACTTGTAGATCCTGCAAAAAGAGTGTTTCAAACGTGAACTTTGAAAGGAAAGTTCAACTCTGGGATTTGAATGCAAACATCACAAAGAAGATTCTGAGACTGCTTCTGTATAGTTTTTATGTGAAGATGATTCCGTTTCCAACGAAATCTTCAAAGAGGTCTACATGTCCCCTTGCAGATGCCACAGAAAGAGAGTTTCAAAACTGCGCTCTCAAAAGGAGTGTTCAACTCCGTGAGTTGAATGCAGTCATCACAGAGAAGCTTCTGAGAATGCTTCTATCTAGTATTTAGGTGAAGATATTTCCTTTTCCACCACAAACCACAAAGCCCTCCAAACGTCCACTTGCAGATTCTAGAAAAAGAGTGTTTCATAGCTGCTCTTTCCAAAGGAAAGTTCAACTCTGGGAGTTGAATACAAACATCACCAAAAAGTTCCTGAGAATGCATCTGTCTAGTTTTTCTATGAAGCTATTCCCTTTACTACCATAGGCCTCAAAGCGCTCCAAATCTCCACTTGCACATTCCACAACAAGAGTGTTTCCAAACTGCTCTATCAATAGGAATGTTCAACTCTGTGAGGTGAATGCAATCATCACAAAGCAGTTTCTGAGAATGCTTCCGTTTAGTTAGGTGCAGTTATCCCGTTTCCAACGAAATCCTCAGAGAGGTCCAAATATCCACTTGTAGATTCTACAAAAAGTGTGTCTCAAACCTGCTCCATCCAAAGGAATGGTCAGCTCTGTGATTTAAACTCAATCATCACAAAGTATTTTCTGAGAATGCTTCTGTCTAGATTTTATGCGAAGATATACCCGTTTCGAACGAAGGCCACAGAGTGGTCCAAATAGCCACTTGCAGATCCTACAGAAAGAGTGTTTCAAACCTGAACTATCAAAGGAAGGTTCAACTCTGGGATTTGAATGCAAACATCACCAAGAAGTTTCTGAGAATGCTTCTGTTTAGTTTTTATGTGAAGATATTCCCGTTTCCAAAGACATCTTCGGAGAGGTCCACATATCCACTTGCAGATTCCACAAAAAGAGAGTTTCAACACTGCTCTATCCATAGGAGGGTTCAACTCTGTGAGTTGAATGCAATCATCACAGAGAAGTTTCTGAGAAGGCTTCTCTCCAGTTTTTATGTGACCATAATTCGTTTTCCACCACAGGCCTGAAAGCGCTCCAAATGTCCACTTGCAGACACTACGAAAAGCATGTTTCAGAACTACTCTATGAAAAGCAACGTGAAACTCTGGGAGTTGAACACAAACATCACAGAGAAGTTTCTGAGAATGCTTCTGTTTAGCTTTTCTGTGAAGATTCTCCCGTTTCCAACGAAATCTTCAAAATAGGTCCAAATATCCACTTGCAGATTCCACAGAAAGAGTGATTGGAAACTGCTGTTTGAAAAGGAACCTTCAACTCTGTGAGTTGAATGCAATCATCACAAAGAAGTTTCTGACAATGCTTCTATCTAGCTTTTACGGGAAGTTAATTCCTTTTCTACCACAGGCCTCAAAGCCCTCCAAATGTCCACTTGCAGATTCTGGAAAAAGAGTGTTTCAAAGCTTCTCTCTCGAAAGGAAAGTTCAACTCTGTGAGTTGAATGCAAGCATCACAAAGAAGTTTCTGAGAATGCTACTGTCTAGCTTTTATATGAAGCTATTTCCTTTACTACCATAGGCCTCAAAGCGGTCCATATCTCCACTTGCAGATTCTACACAAAGAGAGTTTCCAAACTGCTCTGTCAAAGGGAATGTTCAACTACTGTGACTTGAATGCAATCATCACAAAGTAGTTTCTGAGAATGCTTCTGTTTAGTTCTGTGCGGTTTAACCCGTTTCCAACGAAATCCTCAGAGAGGCCTAAATATCCACTTGCACATTCTACAAATAGTGTGTTTCGAAACTGCTCCATCCAAAGGAATGTTCAGCTCTGTGAGTTAAACTCAGTCGTCACCAAGAGTTTTCTGTGAATGCTTCTGTTTTAGTTCTGTGCGGGTTATCCCGTTTCCAACGAAATCCTCAGAGCGGTCCAAATATCTACTTGCAGTTTCTGCAGAAAGACCGTTTCAAACCTGAACTATCAAAGAAAGGTTCAACACTGTGAGTTGAATGCAAACATCACGAAGAAGGTTCTGAGAATGCTTCTGTTTAGTTCTGTGCGGTTTATCCCTTTTCCAACGAAATCCTCAGAGAGGACCAAGTATCCACTTGCAGTTTCTACAAAAAGAGTGTTTCAAAGCTGAACTATCAAAGAAAGTTTCAGCACTGTGAGTTGAATGCAAACATCACGAAGAGGGTTCTGAGAATGCTTCTGTCTTCTTTTTATAGGAAGTTATTTCCTTTACTACGGTAGGCCTCAAAGAAGTGCAATTATCCCCTTGCAGTTTCTACAAAAAGAGTGTTTCAAACCTGAACTATCAAAGAAAGGTTCCACACTGTGAGTTGAATGCAGACATCACGAAGAAGGTTCTGAGAATGCTTCTGTTTAGTCAGCTGAAATTATCCCGTTTCCAACGAATTCCTCAGAGAGGTCCAAATATGCACTTGCAGATTCTGCAGAAAGTGTGTTTCTAAACTGCTACATCGCAAGGAATGTTCACCTCTGTGAGTTCCACTCAATCATCCCAAAGAATTTTCTGAGAAAGCTTCTGTCTAGATGTCATGTGAAGATATACCCGTTTCGAACGAAGGACACAGAGTGGTCCAAATATCCACTTGTAGATCCTGCAAAAAGAGTGTTTCAAACGTGAACTTTGAAAGGAAAGTTCAACTCTGGGATTTGAATGCAAACATCACAAAGAAGATTCTGAGACTGCTTCTGTATAGTTTTTATGTGAAGATGATTCCGTTTCCAACGAAATCTTCAAAGAGGTCTACATGTCCCCTTGCAGATGCCACAGAAAGAGAGTTTCAAAACTGCGCTCTCAAAAGGAGTGTTCAACTCCGTGAGTTGAATGCAGTCATCACAGAGAAGCTTCTGAGAATGCTTCTATCTAGTATTTAGGTGAAGATATTTCCTTTTCCACCACAAACCACAAAGCCCTCCAAACGTCCACTTGCAGATTCTAGAAAAAGAGTGTTTCATAGCTGCTCTTTCCAAAGGAAAGTTCAACTCTGGGAGTTGAATACAAACATCACCAAAAAGTTCCTGAGAATGCATCTGTCTAGTTTTTCTATGAAGCTATTCCCTTTACTACCACAGGCCTCAAAGCGCTCCAAATCTCCACTTGCACATTCCACAACAAGAGTGTTTCCAAACTGCTCTATCAATAGGAATGTTCAACTCTGTGAGGTGAATGCAATCATCACAAAGCAGTTTCTGAGAATGCTTCCGTTTAGTTAGGTGCAGTTATCCCGTTTCCAACGAAATCCTCAGAGAGGTCCAAATATCCACTTGTAGATTCTACAAAAAGTGTGTCTCAAACCTGCTCCATCCAAAGGAATGGTCAGCTCTGTGATTTAAACTCAATCATCACAAAGTATTTTCTGAGAATGCTTCTGTCTAGATTTTATGCGAAGATATACCCGTTTCGAACGAAGGCCACAGAGTGGTCCAAATAGCCACTTGCAGATCCTACAGAAAGAGTGTTTCAAACCTGAACTATCAAAGGAAGGTTCAACTCTGGGATTTGAATGCAAACATCACCAAGAAGTTTCTGAGAATGCTTCTGTTTAGTTTTTATGTGAAGATATTCCCGTTTCCAAAGACATCTTCGGAGAGGTCCACATATCCACTTGCAGATTCCACAAAAAGAGAGTTTCAACACTGCTCTATCCATAGGAGGGTTCAACTCTGTGAGTTGAATGCAATCATCACAGAGAAGTTTCTGAGAAGGCTTCTCTCCAGTTTTTATGTGACCATAATTCGTTTTCCACCACAGGCCTGAAAGCGCTCCAAATGTCCACTTGCAGACACTACGAAAAGCATGTTTCAGAACTACTCTATGAAAAGCAACGTGAAACTCTGGGAGTTGAACACAAACATCACAGAGAAGTTTCTGAGAATGCTTCTGTTTTAGTTCTGTGCGTTTTATCCCGTTTCCAACGAAATCCTCAGAGAGGCCCAAATATCCACTTGCAGATTCCACAGAAAGAGTGATTGGAAACTGCTGTTTGAAAAGGAACCTTCAACTCTGTGAGTTGAATGCAATCATCACAAAGAAGTTTCTGACAATGCTTCTGTTTTAGTTCTGTGCGGTTTATCCCGTTTCCAACGAAATCCTCAGAGAGGACCAAACATCCACTTGCAGTTTCTACAAAAAGAGTGTTTCAAAGCTGCACTATCAAAGAAAGGTTCAGCACTGTGAGTTGAATGCAAACATCACGAAGAGGGCTCTGAGAATTCTTCTGTTTAGTTCTGTGCGGTTTATCCCGTTTCCAACGAAATCCTCAGAGAGGACCAAATATCCACTTGCAGTTTCTACAAGAAGAGTGTTTCAAAGCTGAACTATCAAAGAAAGGTTCAGCACTGTGAGTTGAATGCAAACATCACGAAGAGGGTTCTGAGAATGCTTCTGTCTTCTTTTTATAGTAAGTTATCTCCTTTACTACGGTAGGCCTCAAAGAAGTGCAATGATCCCCTTGCAGTTTCTACAAAAAGAGTGTTTCAAACCTGAACTATCAAAGAAAGGTTCCACACTGTGAGTTGAATGCAGACATCACGAAGAAGGTTCTGAGAATGCTTCTGTTTAGTCAGCTGAAATTATCCCGTTTCCAACGAATTCCTCAGAGAGGTCCACATATGCACTTGCAGATTCTGCAGAAAGTGTGTTTCTAAACTGCTACATCGCAAGGAGTGTTCAGCTCTGTTTGCTCAACTCAATCATCCCAAAGAATTTTCTGAGAAAGCTTCTGTCTAGATGTCATGTGAAGATATACCCGTTTCGAACGAAGGACACAGAGTGGTCCAAATATCCACTTGTAGATCCTGCAAAAAGAGTGTTTCAAACGTGAACTTTGAAAGGAAAGTTCAACTCTGGGATTTGAATGCAAACATCACAAAGAAGATTCTGAGACTGCTTCTGTATAGTTTTTATGTGAAGATGATTCCGTTTCCAACGAAATCTTCAAAGAGGTCTACATGTCCCCTTGCAGATGCCACAGAAAGAGAGTTTCAAAACTGCGCTCTCAAAAGGAGTGTTCAACTCCGTGAGTTGAATGCAGTCATCACAGAGAAGCTTCTGAGAATGCTTCTATCTAGTATTTAGGTGAAGATATTTCCTTTTCCACCACAAACCACAAAGCCCTCCAAACGTCCACTTGCAGATTCTAGAAAAAGAGTGTTTCATAGCTGCTCTTTCCAAAGGAAAGTTCAACTCTGGGAGTTGAATACAAACATCACCAAAAAGTTACCTGAGAATGCATCTGTCTAGTTTTTCTATGAAGCTATTCCCTTTACTACCATAGGCCTCAAAGCGCTCCAAATCTCCACTTGCACATTCCACAACAAGAGTGTTTCCAAACTGCTCTATCAATAGGAATGTTCAACTCTGTGAGGTGAATGCAATCATCACAAAGCAGTTTCTGAGAATGCTTCCGTTTAGTTAGGTGCAGTTATCCCGTTTCCAACGAAATCCTCAGAGAGGTCCAAATATCCACTTGTAGATTCTACAAAAAGTGTGTCTCAAACCTGCTCCATCCAAAGGAATGTTCAGCTCTGTGATTTAAACTCAATCATCACAAAGTATTTTCTGAGAATGCTTCTGTCTAGATTTTATGCGAAGATATACCCGTTTCGAACGAAGGCCACAGAGTGGTCCAAATAGCCACTTGCAGATCCTACAAAAAGAGTGTTTCAAACCTGAACTATCAAAGGAAGGTTCAACTCTGGGATTTGAATGCAAACATCACCAAGAAGTTTCTGAGAATGCTTCTGTTTAGTTTTTATGTGAAGATATTCCCGTTTCCAAAGACATCTTCGGAGAGGTCCACATATCCACTTGCAGATTCCACAAAAAGAGAGTTTCAACACTGCTCTATCCATAGGAGGGTTCAACTCTGTGAGTTGAATGCAATCATCACAGAGAAGTTTCTGAGAAGGCTTCTCTCCAGTTTTTATGTGACCATAATTCGTTTTCCACCACAGGCCTGAAAGCGCTCCAAATGTCCACTTGCAGACACTACGAAAAGCATGTTTCAGAACTACTCTATGAAAAGCAACGTGAAACTCTGGGAGTTGAACACAAACATCACAGAGAAGTTTCTGAGAATGCTTCTGTTTTAGTTCTGTGCGTTTTATCCCGTTTCCAACGAAATCCTCAGAGAGGCCCAAATATCCACTTGCAGATTCCACAGAAAGAGTGATTGGAAACTGCTGTTTGAAAAGGAACCTTCAACTCTGTGAGTTGAATGCAATCATCACAAAGAAGTTTCTGACAATGCTTCTATCTAGCTTTTACGGGAAGATAATTCCTTTTCCTCCACAGGCCTCAAAGCTCCCCAAATGTCCACTTGCACATTCTGGAAAAAGAGTGTTTCAAAGCTTCTCTCTCGAAAGGAAAGTTCAACTCTGTGAGTTGAATGCAAGCATCACAAAGAAGTTTCTGAGAATGCTACTGTCTAGCTTTTATATGAAGCTATTTCCTTTACTACCATAGGCCTCAAAGCGGTCCATATCTCCACTTGCAGATTCTACACAAAGAGAGTTTCCAAACTGCTCTGTCAAAGGGAATGTTCAACTCTGTGACTTGAATGCAATCATCACAAAGTAGTTTCTGAGAATGCTTCTGTTTAGTTCTGTGCGGTTTATCCCGTTTCCAACGAAATCCTCAGAGAGGCCCAAATATCCACTTGCACATTCTACAAATAGTGTGTTTCGAAACTGATCCATCCAAAGGAATGTTCAGCTCTGTGAGTTAAACTCAGTCGTCACCAAGAGTTTTCTGTGAATGCTTCTGTTTTAGTTCTGTGCGGGTTATCCCGTTTCCAACGAAATCCTCAGAGAGGTCCAAATATCTACTTGCAGTTTCTACAGAAAGACCGTTTCAAACCTGAACTATCAAAGAAAGGTTCAACACTGTGAGTTGAATGCAAACATCACGAAGAAGGTTCTGAGAATGCTTCTGTTTAGTTCTGTGCAGTTTATCCCGTTTCCAACGAAATCCTCAGAGAGGACCAAATATCCACTTGCAGTTTCTACAAAAAGAGTGTTTCAAAGCTGAACTATCAAAGAAAGGTTCAGCGCTGTGAGTTGAATGCAAACATCACGAAGAGGGTTCTGAGAATGCTTCTGTCTTCTTTCTATAGGAAGTTATTTCCTTTACTACGGTAGGCCTCAAAGAAGTGCAATTATCCCCTTGCAGTTTCTACAAAAAGAGTGTTTCAAACCTGAACTATCAAAGAAAGGTTCCACACTGTGAGTTGAATGCAGACATCACGAAGAAGGTTCTGAGAATGCTTCTGTTTAGTCAGCTGAAATTATCCCGTTTCCAACGAATTCCTCAGAGAGGTCCAAATATGCACTTGCAGATTCTGCAGAAAGTGTGTTTCTAAACTGCTACATCACAAGGAAATGTTCAGCTCTGTGAGTTCAACTCAATCATCCCAAAGAATTTTCTGAGAAAGCTTCTGTCTATATGTCATGTGAAGATATACCCGTTTCGAACGGAGGACACAGAGTGGTCCAAATATCCACTTGTAGATCCTTCAAAAAGAGTGTTTCAAACGTGAACTTTGAAAGGAAAGTTCAACTCTGGGATTTGAATGCAAACATCACAAAGAAGATTCTGAGACTGCTTCTGTATAGTTTTTATGTGAAGATGATTCCGTTTCCAACGAAATCTTCAAAGAGGTCCACATGTCCCCTTGCGGATGCCACAGAAAGAGAGTTTCAAAACTGCGCTCTCAAAAGGAGTGTTCAACTCCGTGAGTTGAATGCAGTCATCACAGAGAAGCTTCTGAGAATGCTTCTATCTAGTATTTAGGTGAAGATATTTCCTTTTCCACCACAAACCACAAAGCCCTCCAAACGTCCACTTGCAGATTCTAGAAAAAGAGTGTTTCATAGCTGCTCTTTCCAAAGGAAAGTTCAACTCTGGGAGTTGAATACAAACATCACCAAAAAGTTCCTGAGAATGCATCTGTCTAGTTTTTCTATGAAGCTATTCCCTTTACTACCATAGGCCTCAAAGCGCTCCAAATCTCCACTTGCACATTCCACAACAAGAGTGTTTCCAAACTGCTCTATCAATAGGAATGTTCAACTCTGTGAGGTGAATGCAATCATCACAAAGCAGTTTCTGAGAATGCTTCCGTTTAGTTAGGTGCAGTTATCGCGTTTCCAACGAAATCCTCAGAGAGGTCCAAATATCCACTTGTAGATTCTACAAAAAGTGTGTCTCAAACCTGCTCCATCCAAAGGAATGTTCAGCTCTGTGAGTTAAACTCAATCATCACAAAGTATTTTCTGAGAATGCTTCTGGCTAGATTTTATGTGAAGATGTACCCGTTTCAAACGAAGGCCACAGAGTGGTTCAAATATCCACTTGAAGATCCTACAAAAAGAGTGTTTCAAACCTGAACTATCACAGGAAGGTTCAACTCTGGGATTTGAATGCAAACATCACCAAGAAGTTTCTGAGAATGCTTCTGTTTAGTTTTTATGTGAAGATATTCCCGTTTCCAAAGACATCTTCGGAGAGGTCCACATATCCACTTGCAGATTCCACAAAAAGAGAGTTTCAACAATGCTCTATCCATAGGAGGGTTGAAATCTGTGAGTTGAATGCAATCATCACAAAGAAGTTTCTGAGAAGGCTTCTCTCCAGTTTTTATGGGACCATAATTCGTTTTCCACCACAGGCCTGAAAGCGCTCCAAATGTCCACTTGTAGACACTACGAAAAGCATGTTTCAGAACTTCTCTATGAAAAGCAATGTGAAACTCTGGGAGTTGAACACAAACATCACAGAGAAGTTTCTGAGAATGCTTCTGTTTAGCTTTTCTGTGAAGATTCTCCCGTTTCCAACGAAATCTTCAAAGAGGTCCAAATATCCACTTGCAGATTCCACAGAAAGAGTGTTTGGAAACTGCTGTTTGTAAAGGAACCTTCATCTCTGTGAGTTGAATGCAATCATCACAAAGAAGTTTCTGACAATGCTTCTATCTAGCTTTTACGGGAAGTTAATTCCTTTTCCACCACAGGCCTCAAAGCCCTCCAAATGTCCACTTGCAGATTCTGGAAAAAGAGTGTTTCAAAGCTTCTCTCTCGAAAGGAAAGTTCAACTCTGTGAGTTGAATGCAAGCATCACAAAGAAGTTTCTGAGAATGCTACTGTCTAGCTTTCATATGAAGCTATTACCTTTACTACCATAGGTCTCAAAGCGGTCCATATCTCCACTTGCAGATTCTACACAAAGAGAGTTTCCAAACTGCTCTGTGAAAGGGAATGTTCAACTCTGTGACTTGAATGCAATCGTCACAAAGTAGTTTCTGAGAATGCTTCTGTTTAGTTCTGTGCGGTTTATCCCGTTTCCAACGAAATCCTCAGAGAGGCCCAAATATCCACTTGCACATTCTACAAATAGTGTGTTTCAAAACTGCTCCATCCAAAGGAATGTTCAGCTCTGTGAGTTAAACTCAGTCGTCACCAAGAGTTTTCTGTGAATGCTTCTGTTTTAGTTCTGTGCAGTTTATCCCGTTTCCAACGAAATCCTCAGAGAGGTCCAAATATCTACTTGCAGTTTCTACAGAAAGACCGTTTCCAACCTCAACTATCAAAGAAAGCTTCAACACTGTGAGTTGAATGCAAACATCACGAAGAAGGTTCTGAGAATGCTTCTGTTTAGTTCTGTGCGGTTTAACCCGTTTCCAACGAAATCCTCAGAGAGGACCAAATATCCACTTGCAGTTTCTACAAGAAGAGTGTTTCAAAGCTGAACTATCAAAGAAAGGTTCAGCACTGTGAGTTGAATGCAAACATCACGAAGAGGGTTACTGAGAATGCTTTCTGTCTTCTTTCTATAGGAAGTTATTTCCTTTACTACGGTAGGCCTCAAAGAAGTGCAATTATCCCCTTGCAGTTTCTACAAAAAGAGTGTTTCAAACCTGAACTATCAAAGTAAGGTTCCACACTGTGAGTTGAATGCAGACATCACGAAGAAGGTTCTGAGAATGCTTCTGTTTAGTCAGCTGAAATTATCCCGTTTCCAACGAATTCCTCAGAGAGGTCCAAATATGCACTTGCAGATTCTGCAGAAAGTGTGTTTCTAAACTGCTACATCGCAAGGAATGTTCAGCTCTGTGAGTTCCACTCAATCATCCCAAAGAATTTTCTGAGAAAGCTTCTGTCTAGATGTCGTGTGAAGATATACCCGTTTCGAACGAAGGACACAGAGTGGTCCAAATATCCACTTGTAGATCCTGCAAAAAGAGTGTTTCAAACGTGAACTTTGAAAGGAAAGTTCAACTCTGGGATTTGAATGCAAACCATCACAAAGAAGATTCTGAGACTGCTTCTGTATAGTTTTTATGTGAAGATGATTCCTTTTCCAACCAAATCTTCAAAGAGGTCTACATGTCCCCTTGCAGATGCCACAGAAAGAGAGTTTCAAAACTGCGCTCTCAAAAGGAGTGTTCAACTCCGTGAGTTGAATGCAGTCATCACAGAGAAGCTTCTGAGAATGCTTCTATCTAGTATTTAGGTGAAGATATTTCCTTTTCCACCACAAACCACAAAGCCCTCCAAACGTCCACTTGCAGATTCTAGAAAAAGAGTGTTTCATAGCTGCTCTTTCCAAAGGAAAGTTCAACTCTGGGGGTTGAATACAAACATGACCAAAAAGTTCCTGAGAATGCATCTGTCTAGTTTTTCTATGAAGCTATTCCCTTTACTACCACAGGCCTCAAAGCGCTCCAAATCTCCACTTGCACATTCCACAACAAGAGTGTTTCCAAACTGCTCTATCAATAGGAATGTTCAACTCTGTGAGGTGAATGCAATCATCACAAAGCAGTTTCTGAGAATGCTTCCGTTTAGTTAGGTGCAGTTATCCCGTTTCCAACGAAATCCTCAGAGAGGTCCAAATATCCACTTGTAGATTCTACAAAAAGTGTGTCTCAAACCTGCTCCATCCAAAGGAATGGTCAGCTCTGTGATTTAAACTCAATCATCACAAAGTATTTTCTGAGAATGCTTCTGTCTAGATTTTATGCGAAGATATACCCGTTTCGAACGAAGGCCACAGAGTGGTCCAAATAGCCACTTGCAGATCCTACAGAAAGAGTGTTTCAAACCTGAACTATCAAAGGAAGGTTCAACTCTGGGATTTGAATGCAAACATCACCAAGAAGTTTCTGAGAATGCTTCTGTTTAGTTTTTATGTGAAGATATTCCCGTTTCCAAAGACATCTTCGGAGAGGTCCACATATCCACTTGCAGATTCCACAAAAAGAGAGTTTCAACACTGCTCTATCCATAGGAGGGTTCAACTCTGTGAGTTGAATGCAATCATCACAGAGAAGTTTCTGAGAAGGCTTCTCTCCAGTTTTTATGTGACCATAATTCGTTTTCCACCACAGGCCTGAAAGCGCTCCAAATGTCCACTTGCAGACACTACGAAAAGCATGTTTCAGAACTACTCTATGAAAAGCAATGTGAAACTCTGGGAGTTGAACACAAACATCACAGAGAAGTTTCTGAGAATGCTTCTGTTTAGCTTTTCTGTGAAGATTCTCCCGTTTCCAACGAAATCTTCAAAGAGGTCCAAATATCCACTTGCAGATTCCACAGAAAGAGTGATTGGAAACTGCTCTTTGAAAAGGAACCTTCAACTCTGTGAGTTGAATGCAATCATCACAAAGAAGTTTCTGACAATGCTTCTATCTAGCTTTTACGGGAAGATAATTCCTTTTCCACCACAGGCCTCAAAGCCCTCCAAATGTCCACTTGCAGATTCTGGAAAAAGAGTGTTTCAAAGCTTCTCTCTCGAAAGGAAAGTTCAACTCTGTGAGTTGAATGCAAGCATCACAAAGAAGTTTCTGAGAATGCTACTGTCTAGCTTTTATATGAAGCTATTTCCTTTACTACCATAGGCCTCAAAGCGGTCCATATCTCCACTTGCAGATTCTACACAAAGAGAGTTTCCAAACTGCTCTGTCAAAGGGAATGTTCAACTCTGTGACTTGAATGCAATCATCACAAAGTAGTTTCTGAGAATGCTTCTGTTTAGTTCTGTGCGGTTTATCCCGTTTCCAACGAAATCCTCAGAGAGGCCCAAATATCCACTTGCACATTCTACAAATAGTGTGTTTCGAAACTGCTCCATCCAAAGGAATGTTCAGCTCTGTGAGTTAAACTCAGTCGTCACCAAGAGTTTTCTGTGAATGCTTCTGTTTTAGTTCTGTGCGGGTTATCCCGTTTCCAACGAAATCCTCAGAGAGGTCCAAATATCTACTTGCAGTTTCTACAGAAAGACCGTTTCAAACCTGAACTATCAAAGAAAGGTTCAACACTGTGAGTTGAATGCAAACATCACGAAGAAGGTTCTGAGAATGCTTCTGTTTAGTTCTGTGCAGTTTATCCCGTTTCCAACGAAATCCTCAGAGAGGACCAAATATCCACTTGCAGTTTCTACAAAAAGAGTGTTTCAAAGCTGAACTATCAAAGAAAGGTTCAGCACTGTGAGTTGAATGCAAACATCACGAAGAGGGTTCTGAGAATGCTTCTGTCTTCTTTTTATAGGAAGTTATTTCCTTTACTACGGTACTCCTCAAAGAGTGCAATTATCCCCTTGCAGTTTCTACAAAAAGAGTGTTTCAAACCTGACCTGTCAAAGAAAGGTTCCACACTGTGAGTTGAATGCAGACATCACGAAGAAGGTTCTGAGAATGCTTCTGTTTAGTCAGCTGAAATTATCCCGTTTCCAACGAATTCCTCACAGAGGTCCAAATATGCACTTGCAGATTCTGCAGAAAGTGTGTTTCTAAACTGCTACATCGCAAGGAATGCTCAGCTCTGTGAGTTCAACTCAATCATCCCAAAGAATTTTCTGAGAAAGCTTCTGTCTAGATGTCATGTGAAGATATACCCGTTTCGAACGAAGGACACAGAGTGGTCCAAATATCCACTTGTAGATCCTGCAAAAAGAGTGTTTCAAACGTGAACTTTGAAAGGAAAGTTCAACTCGGGGATTTGAATGCAAACATCACAAAGAAGATTCTGAGACTGCTTCTGTGTAGTTTTTATGTGAAGATGATTCCGTTTCCAACGAAATCTTCAAAGAGGTCTACATGTCCCCTTGCAGATGCCACAGAAAGAGAGTTTCAAAACTGCGCTCTCAAAAGGAGTGTTCAACTCCGTGAGTTGAATGCAGTCATCACAGAGAAGCTTCTGAGGATGCTTCTATCTAGTATTTAGGTGAAGATATTTCCTTTTCCACCACAAACCACAAAGCCCTCCAAACGTCCACTTGCAGATTCTAGAAAAACAGTGTTTCATAGCTGCTCTTTCCAAAGGAAAGTTCAACTCTGGGAGTTGAATACAAACATCACCAAAAAGTTCCTGAGAATGCATCTGTCTAGTTTTTCTATGAAGCTATTCCCTTTACTACCATAGGCCTCAAAGCGCTCCAAATCTCCACTTGCACATTCCACAACAAGAGTGTTTCCAAACTGCTCTATCAATAGGAATGTTCAACTCTGTGAGGTGAATGCAATCATCACAAAGCAGTTTCTGAGAATGCTTCCGTTTAGTTAGGTGCAGTTATCCCGTTTCCAACGAAATCCTCAGAGAGGTCCAAATATCCACTTGTAGATTCTACAAAAAGTGTGTCTCAAACCTGCTCCATCCAAAGGAATGTTCAGCTCTGTGATTTAAACTCAATCATCACAAAGTATTTTCTGAGAATGCTTTCTGTCTAGATTTTATGCGAAGATATACCCGTTTCGAACGAAGGCCACAGAGTGGTCCAAATAGCCACTTGCAGATCCTACAAAAAGAGTGTTTCAAACCTGAACTATCAAAGGAAGGTTCAACTCTGGGATTTGAATGCAAACATCACCAAGAAGTTTCTGAGAATGCTTCTGTTTAGTTTTTATGTGAAGATATTCCCGTTTCCAAAGACATCTTCGGAGAGGTCCACATATCCACTTGCAGATTCCACAAAAAGAGAGTTTCAACACTGCTCTATCCATAGGAGGGTTCAACTCTGTGAGTTGAATGCAATCATCACAGAGAAGTTTCTGAGAAGGCTTCTCTCCAGTTTTTATGTGACCATAATTCGTTTTCCACCACAGGCCTGAAAGCGCTCCAAATGTCCACTTGCAGACACTACGAAAAGCATGTTTCAGAACTACTCTATGAAAAGCAACGTGAAACTCTGGGAGTTGAACACAAACATCACAGAGAAGTTTTCTGAGAATGCTTCTGTTTTAGTTCTGTGCGTTTTATCCCGTTTCCAACGAAATCCTCAGAGAGGCCCAAATATCCACTTGCAGATTCCACAGAAAGAGTGATTGGAAACTGCTGTTTGAAAAGGAACCTTCAACTCTGTGAGTTGAATGCAATCATCACAAAGAAGTTTCTGACAATGCTTCTGTTTTAGTTCTGTGCGGTTTATCCCGTTTCCAACGAAATCCTCAGAGAGGACCAAATATCCACTTGCAGTTTCTACAAAAAGAGTGTTTCAAAGCTGCACTATCAAAGAAAGGTTCAGCACTGTGAGTTGAATGCAAACATCACGAAGAGGGCTCTGAGAATTCTTCTGTTTAGTTCTGTGCGGTTTATCCCGTTTCCAACGAAATCCTCAGAGAGGACCAAATATCCACTTGCAGTTTCTACAAGAAGAGTGTTTCAAAGCTGAACTATCAAAGAAAGGTTCAGCACTGTGAGTTGAATGCAAACATCACGAAGAGGGTTCTGAGAATGCTTCTGTCTTCTTTCTATAGGAAGTTATTTCCTTTACTACGGTAGGCCTCAAAGAAGTGCAATTATCCCCTTGCAGTTTCTACAAAAAGAGTGTTTCAAACCTGAACTATCAAAGAAAGGTTCCACACTGTGAGTTGAATGCAGACATCACGAAGAAGGTTCTGAGAATGCTTCTGTTTAGTCAGCTGAAATTATCCCGTTTCCAACAAATTCCTCAGAGAGGTCCAAATATGCACTTGCAGATTCTGCAGAAAGTGTGTTTCTAAACTGCTACATCGCAAGGAATGTTCAGCTCTGTGAGTTCCACTCAATCATCCCAAAGAATTTTCTGAGAAAGCTTCTGTCTAGATGTCGTGTGAAGATATACCCGTTTCGAACGAAGGACACAGAGTGGTCCAAATATCCACTTGTAGATCCTGCAAAAAGAGTGTTTCAAACGTGAACTTTGAAAGGAAAGTTCAACTCTGGGATTTGAATGCAAACATCACAAAGAAGATTCTGAGACTGCTTCTGTATAGTTTTTATGTGAAGATGATTCCGTTTCCAACGAAATCTTCAAAGAGGTCTACATGTCCCCTTGCAGATGCCACAGAAAGAGAGTTTCAAAACTGCGCTCTCAAAAGGAGTGTTCAACTCCGTGAGTTGAATGCAGTCATCACAGAGAAGCTTCTGAGAATGCTTCTATCTAGTATTTAGGTGAAGATATTTCCTTTTCCACCACAAACCACAAAGCCCTCCAAACGTCCACTTGCAGATTCTAGAAAAAGAGTGTTTCATAGCTGCTCTTTCCAAAGGAAAGTTCAACTCTGGGAGTTGAATACAAACATCACCAAAAAGTTCCTGAGAATGCATCTGTCTAGTTTTTCTATGAAGCTATTCCCTTTACTACCACAGGCCTCAAAGCGCTCCAAATCTCCACTTGCACATTCCACAACAAGAGTGTTTCCAAACTGCTCTATCAATAGGAATGTTCAACTCTGTGAGGTGAATGCAATCATCACAAAGCAGTTTCTGAGAATGCTTCCGTTTAGTTAGGTGCAGTTATCCCGTTTCCAACGAAATCCTCAGAGAGGTCCAAATATCCACTTGTAGATTCTACAAAAAGTGTGTCTCAAACCTGCTCCATCCAAAGGAATGGTCAGCTCTGTGATTTAAACTCAATCATCACAAAGTATTTTCTGAGAATGCTTCTGTCTAGATTTTATGCGAAGATATACCCGTTTCGAACGAAGGCCACAGAGTGGTCCAAATAGCCACTTGCAGATCCTACAGAAAGAGTGTTTCAAACCTGAACTATCAAAGGAAGGTTCAACTCTGGGATTTGAATGCAAACATCACCAAGAAGTTTCTGAGAATGCTTCTGTTTAGTTTTTATGTGAAGATATTCCCGTTTCCAAAGACATCTTCGGAGAGGTCCACATATCCACTTGCAGATTCCACAAAAAGAGAGTTTCAACACTGCTCTATCCATAGGAGGGTTCAACTCTGTGAGTTGAATGCAATCATCACAGAGAAGTTTCTGAGAAGGCTTCTCTCCAGTTTTTATGTGACCATAATTCGTTTTCCACCACAGGCCTGAAAGCGCTCCAAATGTCCACTTGCAGACACTACGAAAAGCATGTTTCAGAACTACTCTATGAAAAGCAACGTGAAACTCTGGGAGTTGAACACAAACATCACAGAGAAGTTTCTGAGAATGCTTCTGTTTTAGTTCTGTGCGTTTTATCCCATTTCCAACGAAATCCTCAGAGAGGCCCAAATATCCACTTGCAGATTCCACAGAAAGAGTGATTGGAAACTGCTGTTTGAAAAGGAACCTTCAACTCTGTGAGTTGAATGCAATCATCACAAAGAAGTTTCTGACAATGCTTCTGTTTTAGTTCTGTGCGGTTTATCCCGTTTCCAACGAAATCCTCAGAGAGGACCAAATATCCACTTGCAGTTTCTACAAAAAGAGTGTTTCAAAGCTGCACTATCAAAGAAAGGTTCAGCACTGTGAGTTGAATGCAAACATCACGAAGAGGGCTCTGAGAATTCTTCTGTTTAGTTCTGTGCGGTTTATCCCGTTTCCAACGAAATCCTCAGAGAGGACCAAATATCCACTTGCAGTTTCTACAAGAAGAGTGTTTCAAAGCTGAACTATCAAAGAAAGGTTCAGCACTGTGAGTTGAATGCAAACATCACGAAGAGGGTTCTGAGAATGCTTCTGTCTTCTTTCTATAGGAAGTTATTTCCTTTACTACGGTAGGCCTCAAAGAAGTGCAATTATCCCCTTGCAGTTTCTACAAAAAGAGTGTTTCAAACCTGAACTATCAAAGAAAGGTTCCACACTGTGAGTTGAATGCAGACATCACGAAGAAGGTTCTGAGAATGCTTCTGTTTAGTCAGCTGAAATTATCCCGTTTCCAACGAATTCCTCAGAGAGGTCCAAATATGCACTTGCAGATTCTGCAGAAAGTGTGTTTCTAAACTGCTACATCGCAAGGAATGTTCAGCTCTGTGAGTTCCACTCAATCATCCCAAAGAATTTTCTGAGAAAGCTTCTGTCTAGATGTCGTGTGAAGATATACCCGTTTCGAACGAAGGACACAGAGTGGTCCAAATATCCACTTGTAGATCCTGCAAAAAGAGTGTTTCAAACGTGAACTTTGAAAGGAAAGTTCAACTCTGGGATTTGAATGCAAACATCACAAAGAAGATTCTGAGACTGCTTCTGTATAGTTTTTATGTGAAGATGATTCCGTTTCCAACGAAATCTTCAAAGAGGTCTACATGTCCCCTTGCAGATGCCACAGAAAGAGAGTTTCAAAACTGCGCTCTCAAAAGGAGTGTTCAACTCCGTGAGTTGAATGCAGTCATCACAGAGAAGCTTCTGAGAATGCTTCTATCTAGTATTTAGGTGAAGATATTTCCTTTTCCACCACAAACCACAAAGCCCTCCAAACGTCCACTTGCAGATTCTAGAAAAAGAGTGTTTCATAGCTGCTCTTTCCAAAGGAAAGTTCAACTCTGGGAGTTGAATACAAACATCACCAAAAGGTTCCTGAGAATGCATCTGTCTAGTTTTTCTATGAAGCTATTCCCTTTACTACCACAGGCCTCAAAGCGCTCCAAATCTCCACTTGCACATTCCACAACAAGAGTGTTTCCAAACTGCTCTATCAATAGGAATGTTCAACTCTGTGAGGTGAATGCAATCATCACAAAGCAGTTTCTGAGAATGCTTCCGTTTAGTTAGGTGCAGTTATCCCGTTTCCAACGAAATCCTCAGAGAGGTCCAAATATCCACTTGTAGATTCTACAAAAAGTGTGTCTCAAACCTGCTCCATCCAAAGGAATGGTCAGCTCTGTGATTTAAACTCAATCATCACAAAGTATTTTCTGAGAATGCTTCTGTCTAGATTTTATGCGAAGATATACCCGTTTCGAACGAAGGCCACAGAGTGGTCCAAATAGCCACTTGCAGATCCTACAGAAAGAGTGTTTCAAACCTGAACTATCAAAGGAAGGTTCAACTCTGGGATTTGAATGCAAACATCACCAAGAAGTTTCTGAGAATGCTTCTTTTTAGTTTTTATGTGAAGATATTCCCGTTTCCAAAGACATCTTCGGAGAGGTCCACATATCCACTTGCAGATTCCACAAAAAGAGAGTTTCAACACTGCTCTATCCATAGGAGGGTTCAACTCTGTGAGTTGAATGCAATCATCACAGAGAAGTTTCTGAGAAGGCTTCTCTCCAGTTTTTATGTGACCATAATTCGTTTTCCACCACAGGCCTGAAAGCGCTCCAAATGTCCACTTGCAGACACTACGAAAAGCATGTTTCAGAACTACTCTATGAAAAGCAACGTGAAACTCTGGGAGTTGAACACAAACATCACAGAGAAGTTTCTGAGAATGCTTCTGTTTAGCTTTTCTGTGAAGATTCTCCCGTTTCCAACGAAATCTTCAAAGAGGTCCAAATATCCACTTGCGGATTCCACAGAAAGAGTGATTGGAAACTGCTGTTTGAAAAGGAACCTTCAACTCTGTGAGTTGAATGCAATCATCACAAAGAAGTTTCTGACAATGCTTCTATCTAGCTTTTGCCGGAAGATAATTCCTTTTCCACCACAGGCCTCAAAGCCCTCCAAATGTCCACTTGCAGATTCTGGAAAAAGAGTGTTTCAAAGCTTCTCTCTCGAAAGGAAAGTTCAACTCTGTGAGTTGAATGCAAGCATCACAAAGAAGTTTCTGAGAATGCTACTGTCTAGCTTTTATATGAAGCTATTTCCTTTACTACCATAGGCCTCAAAGCGGTCCATATCTCCACTTGCAGATTCTACACAAAGAGAGTTTCCAAACTGCTCTGTCAAAGGGAATGTTCAACTCTGTGACTTGAATGCAATCATCACAAAGTAGTTTCTGAGAATGCTTCTGTTTAGTTCTGTGCGGTTTATCCCGTTTCCAACGAAATCCTCAGAGAGGCCTAAATATCCACTTGCACATTCTACAAATAGTGTGTTTCGAAACTGCTCCATCCAAAGGAATGTTCAGCTCTGTGAGTTAAACTCAGTCGTCACCAAGAGTTTTCTGTGAATGCTTCTGTTTTAGTTCTGTGCGGGTTATCCCGTTTCCAACGAAATCCTCAGAGAGGTCCAAATATCTACTTGCAGTTTCTACAGAAAGACCGTTTCAAACCTGAACTATCAAAGAAAGGTTCAACACTGTGAGTTGAATGCAAACATCACGAAGAAGGTTCTGAGAATGCTTCTGTTTAGTTCTGTGCAGTTTATCCCGTTTCCAACGAAATCCTCAGAGAGGACCAAATATCCACTTGCAGTTTCTACAAAAAGAGTGTTTCAAAGCTGAACTATCAAAGAAAGGTTCAGCACTGTGAGTTGAATGCAAACATCACGAAGAGGGTTCTGAGAATGCTTCTGTCTTCTTTTTATAGGAAGTTATTTCCTTTACTACGGTACTCCTCAAAGAGTGCAATTATCCCCTTGCAGTTTCTACAGAAAGAGTGTTTCAAACCTGAACTATCAAAGAAAGGTTCCACACTGTGAGTTGAATGCAGACATCACGAAGAAGGTTCTGAGAATGCTTCTGTTTAGTCAGCTGAAATTATCCCGTTTCCAACGAATTCCTCACAGAGGTCCAAATATGCACTTGCAGATTCTGCAGAAAGTGTGTTTCTAAACTGCTACATCGCAAGGAATGCTCAGCTCTGTGAGTTCAACTCAATCATCCCAAAGAATTTTCTGAGAAAGCTTCTGTCTAGATGTCATGTGAAGATATACCCGTTTCGAACGAAGGACACAGAGTGGTCCAAATATCCACTTGTAGATCCTGCAAAAAGAGTGTTTCAAACGTGAACTTTGAAAGGAAAGTTCAACTCGGGGATTTGAATGCAAACATCACAAAGAAGATTCTGAGACTGCTTCTGTATAGTTTTTATGTGAAGATGATTCCGTTTCCAACGAAATCTTCAAAGAGGTCTACATGTCCCCTTGCAGATGCCACAGAAAGAGAGTTTCAAAACTGCGCTCTCAAAAGGAGTGTTCAACTCCGTGAGTTGAATGCAGTCATCACAGAGAAGCTTCTGAGGATGCTTCTATCTAGTATTTAGGTGAAGATATTTCCTTTTCCACCACAAACCACAAAGCCCTCCAAACGTCCACTTGCAGATTCTAGAAAAACAGTGTTTCATAGCTGCTCTTTCCAAAGGAAAGTTCAACTCTGGGAGTTGAATACAAACATCACCAAAAAGTTCCTGAGAATGCATCTGTCTAGTTTTTCTATGAAGCTATTCCCTTTACTACCATAGGCCTCAAAGCGCTCCAAATCTCCACTTGCACATTCCACAACAAGAGTGTTTCCAAACTGCTCTATCAATAGGAATGTTCAACTCTGTGAGGTGAATGCAATCATCACAAAGCAGTTTGCTGAGAATGCTTCCGTTTAGTTAGGTGCAGTTATCCCGTTTCCAACGAAATCCTCAGAGAGGTCCAAATATCCACTTGTAGATTCTACAAAAAGTGTGTCTCAAACCTGCTCCATCCAAAGGAATGTTCAGCTCTGTGAGTTAAACTCAATCATCACAAAGTATTTTCTGAGAATGCTTCTGTCTAGATTTTATGCGAAGATATACCCGTTTCGAACGAAGGCCACAGAGTGGTCCAAATATCCACTTGCAGATCCTACAAAAAGAGTGTTTCAAACCTGAACTATCAAAGGAAGGTTCAACTCTGGGATTTGAATGCAAACATCACCAAGAAGTTTCTGAGAATGCTTCTGTTTAGTTTTTATGTGAAGATATTCCCGTTTCCAAAGACATCTTCGGAGAGGTCCACATATCCACTTGCAGATTCCACAAAAAGAGAGTTTCAACACTGCTCTATCCATAGGAGGGTTCAACTCTGTGAGTTGAATGCAATCATCACAGAGAAGTTTCTGAGAAGGCTTCTCTCCAGTTTTTATGTGACCATAATTCGTTTTCCACCACAGGCCTGAAAGCGCTCCAAATGTCCACTTGCAGACACTACGAAAAGCATGTTTCAGAACTACTCTATGAAAAGCAACGTGAAACTCTGGGAGTTGAACACAAACATCACAGAGAAGTTTCTGAGAATGCTTCTGTTTTAGTTCTGTGCGTTTTATCCCGTTTCCAACGAAATCCTCAGAGAGGCCCAAATATCCACTTGCAGATTCCACAGAAAGAGTGATTGGAAACTGCTGTTTGAAAAGGAACCTTCAACTCTGTGAGTTGAATGCAATCATCACAAAGAAGTTTCTGACAATGCTTCTGTTTTAGTTCTGTGCGGTTTATCCCGTTTCCAACGAAATCCTCAGAGAGGACCAAACATCCACTTGCAGTTTCTACAAAAAGAGTGTTTCAAAGCTGCACTATCAAAGAAAGGTTCAGCACTGTGAGTTGAATGCAAACATCACGAAGAGGGCTCTGAGAATTCTTCTGTTTAGTTCTGTGCGGTTTATCCCGTTTCCAACGAAATCCTCAGAGAGGACCAAATATCCACTTGCAGTTTCTACAAGAAGAGTGTTTCAAAGCTGAACTATCAAAGAAAGGTTCAGCACTGTGAGTTGAATGCAAACATCACGAAGAGGGTTCTGAGAATGCTTCTGTCTTCTTTCTATAGGAAGTTATTTCCTTTACTACGGTAGGCCTCAAAGAAGTGCAATTATCCCCTTGCAGTTTCTACAAAAAGAGTGTTTCAAACCTGAACTATCAAAGAAAGGTTCCACACTGTGAGTTGAATGCAGACATCACGAAGAAGGTTCTGAGAATGCTTCTGTTTAGTCAGCTGAAATTATCCCGTTTCCAACGAATTCCTCAGAGAGGTCCAAATATGCACTTGCAGATTCTGCAGAAAGTGTGTTTCTAAACTGCTACATCGCAAGGAATGTTCAGCTCTGTTGAGTTCCACTCAATCATCCCAAAGAATTTTCTGAGAAAGCTTCTGTCTAGATGTCGTGTGAAGATATACCCGTTTCGAACGAAGGACACAGAGTGGTCCAAATATCCACTTGTAGATCCTGCAAAAAGAGTGTTTCAAACGTGAACTTTGAAAGGAAAGTTCAACTCTGGGATTTGAATGCAAACATCACAAAGAAGATTCTGAGACTGCTTCTGTATAGTTTTTATGTGAAGATGATTCCGTTTCCAACGAAATCTTCAAAGAGGTCTACATGTCCCCTTGCAGATGCCACAGAAAGAGAGTTTCAAAACTGCGCTCTCAAAAGGAGTGTTCAACTCCGTGAGTTGAATGCAGTCATCTCAGAGAAGCTTCTGAGAATGCTTCTATCTAGTATTTAGGTGAAGATATTTCCTTTTCCACCACAAACCACAAAGCCCTCCAAACGTCCACTTGCAGATTCTAGAAAAAGAGTGTTTCATAGCTGCTCTTTCCAAAGGAAAGTTCAACTCTGGGAGTTGAATACAAACATCACCAAAAAGTTCCTGAGAATGCATCTGTCTAGTTTTTCTATGAAGCTATTCCCTTTACTACCATAGGCCTCAAAGCGCTCCAAATCTCCACTTGCACATTCCACAACAAGAGTGTTTCCAAACTGCTCTATCAATAGGAATGTTCAACTCTGTGAGGTGAATTCAATCATCACAAAGCAGTTTCTGAGAATGCTTCCGTTTAGTTAGGTGCAGTTATCCCGTTTCCAACGAAATCCTCAGAGAGGTCCAAATATCCACTTGTAGATTCTACAAAAAGTGTGTCTCAAACCTGCTCCATCCAAAGGAATGTTCAGCTCTGTGATTTAAACTCAATCATCACAAAGTATTTTCTGAGAATGTTTCTGTCTAGATTTTATGCGAAGATATACCCGTTTCGAACGAAGGCCACAGAGTGGTCCAAATAGCCACTTGCAGATCCTACAAAAAGAGTGTTTCAAACCTGAACTATCAAAGGAAGGTTCAACTCTGGGATTTGAATGCAAACATCACCAAGAAGTTTCTGAGAATGCTTCTGTTTAGTTTTTATGTGAAGATATTCCCGTTTCCAAAGACATCTTCGGAGAGGTCCACATATCCACTTGCAGATTCCACAAAAAGAGAGTTTCAACACTGCTCTATCCATAGGAGGGTTCAACTCTGTGAGTTGAATGCAATCACCACAGAGAAGTTTCTGAGAAGGCTTCTCTCCAGTTTTTATGTGACCATAATTCGTTTTCCACCACAGGCCTGAAAGCGCTCCAAATGTCCACTTGCAGACACTACGAAAAGCATGTTTCAGAACTACTCTATGAAAAGCAACGTGAAACTCTGGGAGTTGAACACAAACATCACAGAGAAGTTTCTGAGAATGCTTCTGTTTAGCTTTTCTGTGAAGATTCTCCCGTTTCCAACGAAATCTTCAAAGAGGTCGAAATATCCACTTGCAGATTCCACAGAAAGAGTGATTGGAAACTGCTGTTTGAAAAGGAACCTTCAACTCTGTGAGTTGAATGCAATCATCACAAAGAAGTTTCTGACAATGCTTCTATCTAGCTTTTACGGGAAGATAATTCCTTTTCCACCACAGGCCTCAAAGCTCCCCAAATGTCCACTTGCACATTCTGGAAAAAGAGTGTTTCAAAGCTTCTCTCTCGAAAGGAAAGTTCAACTCTGTGAGTTGAATGCAAGCATCACAAAGAAGTTTCTGAGAATGCTACTGTCTAGCTTTTATATGAAGCTATTTCCTTTACTACCATAGGCCTCAAAGCGGTCCATATCTCCACTTGCAGATTCTACACAAAGAGAGTTTCCAAACTGCTCTGTCAAAGGGAATGTTCAACTCTGTGACTTGAATGCAATCATCACAAAGTAGTTTCTGAGAATGCTTCTGTTTAGTTCTGTGCGGTTTATCCCGTTTCCAGCGAAATCCTCAGAGAGGCCCAAATATCCACTTGCACATTCTACAAATAGTGTGTTTCGAAACTGCTCCATCCAAAGGAATGTTCAGCTCTGTGAGTTAAACTCAGTCGTCACCAAGAGTTTTCTGTGAATGCTTCTGTTTTAGTTCTGTGCGGTTTATCCCGTTTCCAACGAAATCCTCAGAGAGGTCCAAATATCTACTTGCAGTTTCTACAGAAAGACCGTTTCCAACCTGAACTATCAAAGAAAGGTTCAACACTGTGAGTTGAATGCAAACATCACGAAGAGGGTTCAGAGAATGCTTCTGTTTAGTTCTGTGCGGTTTATCCCGTTTCCAACGAAATCCTCAGAGAGGACCAAATATCCACTTGCAGTTTCTACAAGAAGAGTGTTTCAAAGCTGAACTATCAAAGAAAGGTTCAGCACTGTGAGTTGAATGCAAACATCACGAAGAGGGTTCTGAGAATGCTTCTGTCTTCTTTCTATAGGAAGTTATTTCCTTTACTACGGTAGGCCTCAAAGAAGTGCAATTATCCCCTTGCAGTTTCTACAAAAAGAGTGTTTCAAACCTGAACTATCAAAGAAAGGTTCCACACTGTGAGTTGAATGCAGACATCACGAAGAAGGTTCTGAGAATGCTTCTGTTTAGTCAGCTGAAATTATCCCGTTTCCAACGAATTCCTCAGAGAGGTCCAAATATGCACTTGCAGATTCTGCAGAAAGTGTGTTTCTAAACTGCTACATCACAAGGAATGTTCAGCTCTGTGAGTTCCACTCAATCATCCCAAAGAATTTTCTGAGAAAGCTTCTGTCTAGATGTCGTGTGAAGATATACCCGTTTCGAACGAAGGACACAGAGTGGTCCAAATATCCACTTGTAGATCCTGCAAAAAGAGTGTTTCAAACGTGAACTTTGAAAGGAAAGTTCAACTCTGGGATTTGAATGCAAACATCACAAAGAAGATTCTGAGACTGCTTCTGTATAGTTTTTATGTGAAGATGATTCCGTTTCCAACGAAATCTTCAAAGAGGTCTACATGTCCCCTTGCAGATGCCACAGAAAGAGAGTTTCAAAACTGCGCTCTCAAAAGGAGTGTTCAACTCCGTGAGTTGAATGCAGTCATCACAGAGAAGCTTCTGAGAATGCTTCTATCTAGTATTTAGGTGAAGATATTTCCTTTTCCACCACAAACCACAAAGCCCTCCAAACGTCCACTTGCAGATTCTAGAAAAAGAGTGTTTCATAGCTGCTCTTTCCAAAGGAAAGTTCAACTCTGGGAGTTGAATACAAACATCACCAAAAAGTTCCTGAGAATGCATCTGTCTAGTTTTTCTATGAAGCTATTCCCTTTACTACCATAGGCCTCAAAGCGCTCCAAATCTCCACTTGCACATTCCACAACAAGAGTGTTTCCAAACTGCTCTATCAATAGGAATGTTCAACTCTGTGAGGTGAATGCAATCATCACAAAGCAGTTTCTGAGAATGCTTCCGTTTAGTTAGGTGCAGTTATCCCGTTTCCAACGAAATCCTCAGAGAGGTCCAAATATCCACTTGTAGATTCTACAAAAAGTGTGTCTCAAACCTGCTCCATCCAAAGGAATGGTCAGCTCTGTGATTTAAACTCAATCATCACAAAGTATTTTCTGAGAATGCTTCTGTCTAGATTTTATGCGAAGATATACCCGTTTCGAACGAAGGCCACAGAGTGGTCCAAATAGCCACTTGCAGATCCTACAGAAAGAGTGTTTCAAACCTGAACTATCAAAGGAAGGTTCAACTCTGGGATTTGAATGCAAACATCACCAAGAAGTTTCTGAGAATGCTTCTGTTTAGTTTTTATGTGAAGATATTCCCGTTTCCAAAGACATCTTCGGAGAGGTCCACATATCCACTTGCAGATTCCACAAAAAGAGAGTTTCAACACTGCTCTATCCATAGGAGGGTTCAACTCTGTGAGTTGAATGCAATCATCACAGAGAAGTTTCTGAGAAGGCTTCTCTCCAGTTTTTTTGTGACCATAATTCATTTTCCACCACAGGCCTGAAAGCGCTCCAAATGTCCACTTGCAGACACTACGAAAAGCATGTTTCAGAACTACTCTATGAAAAGCAACGTGAAACTCTGGGAGTTGAACACAAACATCACAGAGAAGTTTCTGAGAATGCTTCTGTTTTAGTTCTGTGCGTTTTATCCCGTTTCCAACGAAATCCTCAGAGAGGCCCAAATATCCACTTGCAGATTCCACAGAAAGAGTGATTGGAAACTGCTGTTTGAAAAGGAACCTTCAACTCTGTGAGTTGAATGCAATCATCACAAAGAAGTTTCTGACAATGCTTCTGTTTTAGTTCTGTGCGGTTTATCCCGTTTCCAACGAAATCCTCAGAGAGGACCAAACATCCACTTGCAGTTTCTACAAAAAGAGTGTTTCAAAGCTGCACTATCAAAGAAAGGTTCAGCACTTGTGAGTTGAATGCAAACATCACGAAGAGGGCTCTGAGAATTCTTCTGTCTTCTTTTTATAGGAAGTTATTTCCTTTACTACGGTACTCCTCAAAGAGTGCAATTATCCCCTTGCAGTTTCTACAAAAAGAGTGTTTCAAACCTGACCTATCAAAGAAAGGTTCCACACTGTGAGTTGAATGCAGACATCACGAAGAAGGTTCTGAGAATGCTTCTGTTTAGTCAGCTGAAATTATCCCGTTTCCAACGAATTCCTCACAGAGGTCCAAATATGCACTTGCAGATTCTGCAGAAAGTGTGTTTCTAAACTGCTACATCGCAAGGAATGCTCAGCTCTGTGAGTTCTACTCAATCATCCCAAAGAATTTTCTGAGAAAGCTTTCTCTGTCTAGATGTCATGTGAAGATATACCCGTTTCGAACGAAGGACACAGAGTGGTCCAAATATCCACTTGTAGATCCTGCAAAAAGAGTGTTTCAAACGTGAACTTTGAAAGGAAAGTTCAACTCTGGGATTTGAATGCAAATATCACAAAGAAGATTCTGAGACTGCTTCTGTATAGTTTTTATGTGAAGATGATTCCGTTTCCAACGAAATCTTCAAAGAGGTCTACATGTCCCCTTGCAGATGCCACAGAAAGAGAGTTTCAAAACTGCGCTCTCAAAAGGAGTGTTCAACTCCGTGAGTTGAATGCAGTCATCACAGAGAAGCTTCTGAGAATGCTTCTATCTAGTATTTAGGTGAAGATATTTCCTTTTCCACCACAAACCACAAAGCCCTCCAAACGTCCACTTGCAGATTCTAGAAAAAGAGTGTTTCATAGCTGCTCTTTCCAAAGGGAAAGTTCAACTCTGGGAGTTGAATACAAACATCACCAAAAAGTTCCTGAGAATGCATCTGTCTAATTTTTCTATGAAGCTATTCCCTTTACTACCATAGGCCTCAAAGCGCTCCAAATCTCCACTTCCACATTCCACAACAAGAGTGTTTCCAAACTGCTCTATCAATAGGAATGTTCAACTCTGTGAGGTGAATGCAATCATCACAAAGCAGTTTCTGACAATGCTTCCGTTTAGTTAGGTGCAGTTATCCCGTTTCCAACGAAATCCTCAGAGAGGTCCAAATATCCACTTGTAGATTCTACAAAAAGTGTGTCTCAAACCTGCTCCATCCAAAGGAATGGTCAGCTCTGTGATTTAAACTCAATCATCACAAAGTATTTTCTGAGAATGCTTCTGTCTAGATTTTATGCGAAGATATACCCGTTTCGAACGAAGGCCACAGAGTGGTCCAAATAGCCACTTGCAGATCCTACAAAAAGAGTGTTTCAAACCTGAACTATCAAAGGAAGGTTCAACTCTGGGATTTGAATGCAAACATCACCAAGAAGTTTCTGAGAATGCTTCTGTTTAGTTTTTATGTGAAGATATTCCCGTTTCCAAAGACATCTTCGGAGAGGTCCACATATCCACTTGCAGATTCCACAAAAAGAGAGTTTCAACACTGCTCTATCCATAGGAGGGTTCAACTCTGTGAGTTGAATGCAATCATCACAGAGAAGTTTCTGAGAAGGCTTCTCTCCAGTTTTTATGTGACCATAATTCGTTTTCCACCACAGGCCTGAAAGCGCTCCAAATGTCCACTTGCAGACACTACGAAAAGCATGTTTCAGAACTACTCTATGAAAAGCAACGTGAAACTCTGGGAGTTGAACACAAACATCACAGAGAAGTTTCTGAGAATGCTTCTGTTTTAGTTCTGTGCGTTTTATCCCGTTTCCAACGAAATCCTCAGAGAGGCCCAAATATCCACTTGCAGATTCCACAGAAAGAGTGATTGGAAACTGCTGTTTGAAAAGGAACCTTCAACTCTGTGAGTTGAATGCAATCATCACAAAGAAGTTTCTGACAATGCTTCTGTTTTAGTTCTGTGCGGTTTATCCCGTTTCCAACGAAATCCTCAGAGAGGACCAAACATCCACTTGCAGTTTCTACAAAAAGAGTGTTTCAAAGCTGCACTATCAAAGAAAGGTTCAGCACTGTGAGTTGAATGCAAACATCACGAAGAGGGCTCTGAGAATTCTTCTGTTTAGTTCTGTGCGGTTTATCCCGTTTCCAACGAAATCCTCAGAGAGGACCAAATATCCACTTGCAGTTTCTACAAGAAGAGTGTTTCAAAGCTGAACTATCAAAGAAAGGTTCAGCACTGTGAGTTGAATGCAAACATCACGAAGAGGGTTCTGAGAATGCTTCTGTCTTCTTTCTATAGGAAGTTATTTCCTTTACTACGGTAGGCCTCAAAGAAGTGCAATTATCCCCTTGCAGTTTCTACAAAAAGAGTGTTTCAAACCTGAACTATCAAAGAAAGGTTCCACACTGTGAGTTGAATGCAGACATCATGAAGAAGGTTCTGAGAATGCTTCTGTTTAGTCAGCTGAAATTATCCCGTTTCCAACGAATTCCTCAGAGAGGTCCAAATATGCACTTGCAGATTCTGCAGAAAGTGTGTTTCTAAACTGCTACATCGCAAGGAATGTTCAGCTCTGTGAGTTCCACTCAATCATCCCAAAGAATTTTCTGAGAAAGCTTCTGTCTAGATGTCGTGTGAAGATATACCCGTTTCGAACGAAGGACACAGAGTGGTCCAAATATCCACTTGTAGATCCTGCAAAAAGAGTGTTTCAAACGTGAACTTTGAAAGGAAAGTTCAACTCTGGGATTTGAATGCAAACATCACAAAGAAGATTCTGAGACTGCTTCTGTATAGTTTTTATGTGAAGATGATTCCGTTTCCAACGAAATCTTCAAAGAGGTCTACATGTCCCCTTGCAGATGCCACAGAAAGAGAGTTTCAAAACTGCGCTCTCAAAAGGAGTGTTCAACTCCGTGAGTTGAATGCAGTCATCACAGAGAAGCTTCTGAGAATGCTTCTATCTAGTATTTAGGTGAAGATATTTCCTTTTCCACCACAAACCACAAAGCCCTCCAAACGTCCACTTGCAGATTCTAGAAAAAGAGTGTTTCATAGCTGCTCTTTCCAAAGGAAAGTTCAACTCTGGGAGTTGAATACAAACATCACCAAAAAGTTCCTGAGAATGCATCTGTCTAGTTTTTCTATGAAGCTATTCCCTTTACTACCACAGGCCTCAAAGCGCTCCAAATCTCCACTTGCACATTCCACAACAAGAGTGTTTCCAAACTGCTCTATCAATAGGAATGTTCAACTCTGTGAGGTGAATGCAATCATCACAAAGCAGTTTCTGAGAATGCTTCCGTTTAGTTAGGTGCAGTTATCCCGTTTCCAACGAAATCCTCAGAGAGGTCCAAATATCCACTTGTAGATTCTACAAAAAGTGTGTCTCAAACCTGCTCCATCCAAAGGAATGGTCAGCTCTGTGATTTAAACTCAATCATCACAAAGTATTTTCTGAGAATGCTTCTCTCCAGTTTTTATGTGACCATAATTCGTTTTCCACCACAGGCCTGAAAGCGCTCCAAATGTCCACTTGCAGACACTACGAAAAGCATGTTTCAGAACTACTCTATGAAAAGCAACGTGAAACTCTGGGAGTTGAACACAAACATCACAGAGAAGTTTCTGAGAATGCTTCTGTTTAGCTTTTCTGTGAAGATTCTCCCGTTTCCAACGAAATCTTCAAAGAGGTCGAAATATCCACTTGCAGATTCCACAGAAAGAGTGATTGGAAACTGCTGTTTGAAAAGGAACCTTCAACTCTGTGAGTTGAATGCAATCATCACAAAGAAGTTTCTGACAATGCTTCTATCTAGCTTTTACGGGAAGATAATTCCTTTTCCACCACAGGCCTCAAAGCTCCCCAAATGTCCACTTGCACATTCTGGAAAAAGAGTGTTTCAAAGCTTCTCTCTCGAAAGGAAAGTTCAACTCTGTGAGTTGAATGCAAGCATCACAAAGAAGTTTCTGAGAATGCTACTGTCTAGCTTTTATATGAAGCTATTTCCTTTACTACCATAGGCCTCAAAGCGGTCCATATCTCCACTTGCAGATTCTACACAAAGAGAGTTTCCAAACTGCTCTGTCAAAGGGAATGTTCAACTCTGTGACTTGAATGCAATCATCACAAAGTAGTTTCTGAGAATGCTTCTGTTTTAGTTCTGTGCGTTTTATCCCGTTTCCAACGAAATCCTCAGAGAGGCCCAAATATCCACTTGCAGATTCTACAAATAGTGTGTTTCGAAACTGCTCCATCCAAAGGAATGTTCAGCTCTGTGAGTTAAACTCAGTCGTCACCAAGAGTTTTCTGTGAATGCTTCTGTTTTAGTTCTGTGCGGTTTATCCCGTTTCCAACGAAATCCTCAGAGAGGACCAAATATCCACTTGCAGTTTCTACAAAAAGAGTGTTTCAAAGCTGCACTATCAAAGAAAGGTTCAGCACTGTGAGTTGAATGCAAACATCACGAAGAGGGCTCTGAGAATTCTTCTGTTTAGTTCTGTGCGGTTTATCCCGTTTCCAACGAAATCCTCAGAGAGGACCAAATATCCACTTGCAGTTTCTACAAGAAGAGTGTTTCAAAGCTGAACTATCAAAGAAAGGTTCAGCACTGTGAGTTGAATGCAAACATCACGAAGAGGGTTCTGAGAATGCTTCTGTCTTCTTTCTATAGGAAGTTATTTCCTTTACTACGGTAGGCCTCAAAGAAGTGCAATTATCCCCTTGCAGTTTCTACAAAAAGAGTGTTTCAAACCTGAACTATCAAAGAAAGGTTCCACACTGTGAGTTGAATGCAGACATCACGAAGAAGGTTCTGAGAATGCTTCTGTTTAGTCAGCTGAAATTATCCCGTTTCCAACGAATTCCTCAGAGAGGTCCAAATATGCACTTGCAGATTCTGCAGAAAGTGTGTTTCTAAACTGCTACATCGCAAGGAATGTTCAGCTCTGTGAGTTCCACTCAATCATCCCAAAGAATTTTCTGAGAAAGCTTCTGTCTAGATGTCATGTGAAGATATACCCGTTTCGAACGAAGGACACAGTAGTGGTCCAAATATCCACTTGTAGATCCTGCAAAAAGAGTGTTTCAAACGTGAACTTTGAAAGGAAAGTTCAACTCTGGGATTTGAATGCAAACATCACAAAGAAGATTCTGAGACTGTTTCTGTATAGTTTTTATGTGAAGATGATTCCGTTTCCAACGAAATCTTCAAAGAGGTCTACATGTCCCCTTGCAGATGCCACAGAAAGAGAGTTTCAAAACTGCGCTCTCAAAAGGAGTGTTCAACTCCGTGAGTTGAATGCAGTCATCACAGAGAAGCTTCTGAGAATGCTTCTATCTAGTATTTAGGTGAAGATATTTCCTTTTCCACCACAAACCACAAAGCCCTCCAAACGTCCACTTGCAGATTCTAGAAAAAGAGTGTTTCATAGCTGCTCTTTCCAAAGGAAAGTTCAACTCTGGGAGTTGAATACAAACATCACCAAAAAGTTCCTGAGAATGCATCTGTCTAGTTTTTCTATGAAGCTATTCCCTTTACTACCATAGGCCTCAAAGCGCTCCAAATCTCCACTTGCACATTCCACAACAAGAGTGTTTCCAAACTGCTCTATCAATAGGAATGTTCAACTCTGTGAGGTGAATGCAATCATCACAAAGCAGTTTCTGAGAATGCTTCCGTTTAGTTAGGTGCAGTTATCCCGTTTCCAACGAAATCCTCAGAGAGGTCCAAATATCCACTTGTAGATTCTACAAAAAGTGTGTCTCAAACCTGCTCCATCCAAAGGAATGTTCAGCTCTGTGATTTAAACTCAATCATCACAAAGTATTTTCTGAGAATGCTTCTGTCTAGATTTTATGCGAAGATATACCCGTTTCGAACGAAGGCCACAGAGTGGTCCAAATAGCCACTTGCAGATCCTACAAAAAGAGTGTTTCAAACCTGAACTATCAAAGGAAGGTTCAACTCTGGGATTTGAATGCAAACATCACCAAGAAGTTTCTGAGAATGCTTCTGTTTAGTTTTTATGTGAAGATATTCCCGTTTCCAAAGACATCTTCGGAGAGGTCCACATATCCACTTGCAGATTCCACAAAAAGAGAGTTTCAACACTGCTCTATCCATAGGAGGGTTCAACTCTGTGAGTTCAATGCAATCATCACAGAGAAGTTTCTGAGAAGGCTTCTCTCCAGTTTTTATGTGACCATAATTCGTTTTCCACCACAGGCCTGAAAGCGCTCCAAATGTCCACTTGCAGACACTACGAAAAGCATGTTTCAGAACTACTCTATGAAAAGCAACGTGAAACTCTGGGAGTTGAACACAAACATCACAGAGAAGTTTCTGAGAATGCTTCTCTTTAGCTTTTCTGTGAAGATTCTCCCGTTTCCAACGAAATCTTCAAAGAGGTCCAAATATCCACTTGCAGATTCCACAGAAAGAGTGATTGGAAACTGCTCTTTGAAAAGGAACCTTCAACTCTGTGAGTTGAATGCAATCATCACAAAGAAGTTTCTGACAATGCTTCTATCTAGCTTTTACGGGAAGATAATTCCTTTTCCACCACAGGCCTCAAAGCCCTCCAAATGTCCACTTGCAGATTCTGGAAAAAGAGTGTTTCAAAGCTTCTCTCTCGAAAGGAAAGTTCAACTCTGTGAGTTGAATGCAAGCATCACCAAGAAGTTTCTGAGAATGCTACTGTCTAGCTTTTATATGAAGCTATTTCCTTTACTACCATAGGCCTCAAAGCGGTCCATATCTCCACTTGCAGATTCTACACAAAGAGAGTTTCCAAACTGCTCTGTCAAAGGGAATGTTCAACTCTGTGACTTGAATGCAATCATCACAAAGTAGTTTCTGAGAATGCTTCTGTTTTAGTTCTGTGCGGTTTATCCCGTTTCCAACGAAATCCTCAGAGAGGCCCAAATATCCACTTGCAGATTCTACAAATAGTGTGTTTCGAAACTGCTCCATCCAAAGGAATGTTCAGCTCTGTGAGTTAAACTCAGTCGTCACCAAGAGTTTTCTGTGAATGCTTCTGTTTTAGTTCTGTGCGGTTTATCCCGTTTCCAACGAAATCCTCAGAGAGGACCAAATATCCACTTGCAGTTTCTACAAAAAGAGTGTTTCAAAGCTGCACTATCAAAGAAAGGTTCAGCACTGTGAGTTGAATGCAAACACCACGAAGAGGGCTCTGAGAATTCTTCTGTTTAGTTCTGTGCGGTTTATCCCGTTTCCAACGAAATCCTCAGAGAGGACCAAATATCCACTTGCAGTTTCTACAAGAAGAGTGTTTCAAAGCTGAACTATCAAAGAAAGGTTCAGCACTGTGAGTTGAATGCAAACATCACGAAGAGGGTTCTGAGAATGCTTCTGTCTTCTTTCTATAGGAAGTTATTTCCTTTACTACGGTAGGCCTCAAAGAAGTGCAATTATCCCCTTGCAGTTTCTACAAAAAGAGTGTTTCAAACCTGAACTATCAAAGAAAGGTTCCACACTGTGAGTTGAATGCAGACATCACGAAGAAGGTTCTGAGAATGCTTCTGTTTAGTCAGCTGAAATTATCCCGTTTCCAACGAATTCCTCAGAGAGGTCCAAATATGCACTTGCAGATTCTGCAGAAAGTGTGTTTCTAAACTGCTACATCGCAAGGAATGTTCAGCTCTGTGAGTTCCACTCAATCATCCCAAAGAATTTTCTGAGAAAGCTTCTGTCTAGATGTCGTGTGAAGATATACCCGTTTCGAACGAAGGACACAGAGTGGTCCAAATATCCACTTGTAGATCCTGCAAAAAGAGTGTTTCAAACGTGAACTTTGAAAGGAAAGTTCAACTCTGGGATTTGAATGCAAACATCACAAAGAAGATTCTGAGACTGCTTCTGTATAGTTTTTATGTGAAGATGATTCCGTTTCCAACGAAATCTTCAAAGAGGTCTACATGTCCCCTTGCAGATGCCACAGAAAGAGAGTTTCAAAACTGCGCTCTCAAAAGGAGTGTTCAACTCCGTGAGTTGAATGCAGTCATCACAGAGAAGCTTCTGAGAATGCTTCTATCTAGTATTTAGGTGAAGATATTTCCTTTTCCACCACAAACCACAAAGCCCTCCAAACGTCCACTTGCAGATTCTAGAAAAAGAGTGTTTCATAGCTGCTCTTTCCAAAGGAAAGTTCAACTCTGGGAGTTGAATACAAACATCACCAAAAAGTTCCTGAGAATGCATCTGTCTAGTTTTTCTATGAAGCTATTCCCTTTACTACCATAGGCCTCAAAGCGCTCCAAATCTCCACTTGCACATTCCACAACAAGAGTGTTTCCAAACTGCTCTATCAATAGGAATGTTCAACTCTGTGAGGTGAATGCAATCATCACAAAGCAGTTTCTGAGAATGCTTCCGTTTAGTTAGGTGCAGTTATCCCGTTTCCAACGAAATCCTCAGAGAGGTCCAAATATCCACTTGTAGATTCTACAAAAAGTGTGTCTCAAACCTGCTCCATCCAAAGGAATGTTCAGCTCTGTGATTTTAACTCAATCATCACAAAGTATTTTCTGAGAATGCTTCTGTCTAGATTTTATGCGAAGATATACCCATTTCGAACGAAGGCCACAGAGTGGTCCAAATAGCCACTTGCAGATCCTACAGAAAGAGTGTTTCAAACCTGAACTATCAAAGGAAGGTTCAACTCTGGGATTTGAATGCAAACATCACCAAGAAGTTTCTGAGAATGCTTCTGTTTAGTTTTTATGTGAAGATATTCCCGTTTCCAAAGACATCTTCGGAGAGGTCCACATATCCACTTGCAGATTCCACAAAAAGAGAGTTTCAACACTGCTCTATCCATAGGAGGGTTCAACTCTGTGAGTTGAATGCAATCATCACAGAGAAGTTTCTGAGAAGGCTTCTCTCCAGTTTTTATGTGACCATAATTCGTTTTCCACCACAGGCCTGAAAGCGCTCCAAATGTCCACTTGCAGACACTACGAAAAGCATGTTTCAGAACTACTCTATGAAAAGCAACGTGAAACTCTGGGAGTTGAACACAAACATCACAGAGAAGTTTCTGAGAATGCTTCTGTTTAGCTTTTCTGTGAAGATTCTCCCGTTTCCAACGAAATCTTCAAAGAGGTCGAAATATCCACTTGCAGATTCCACAGAAAGAGTGATTGGAAACTGCTGTTTGAAAAGGAACCTTCAACTCTGTGAGTTGAATGCAATCATCACAAAGAAGTTTCTGACAATGCTTCTATCTAGCTTTTACGGGAAGATAATTCCTTTTCCACCACAGGCCTCAAAGCTCCCCAAATGTCCACTTGCACATTCTGGAAAAAGAGTGTTTCAAAGCTTCTCTCTCGAAAGGAAAGTTCAACTCTGTGAGTTGAATGCAAGCATCACAAAGAAGTTTCTGAGAATGCTACTGTCTAGCTTTTATATGAAGCTATTTCCTTTACTACCATAGGCCTCAAAGCGGTCCATATCTCCACTTGCAGATTCTACACAAAGAGAGTTTCCAAACTGCTCTGTCAAAGGGAATGTTCAACTCTGTGACTTGAATGCAATCATCACAAAGTAGTTTCTGAGAATGCTTCTGTTTAGGTCTGTGCGGTTTATCCCGTTTCCAACGAAATCCTCAGAGAGGCCCAAATATCCACTTGCACATTCTACAAATAGTGTGTTTCGAAACTGCTCCATCCAAAGGAATGTTCAGCTCTGTGAGTTAAACTCATTCGTCACCATGAGTTTTCTGTGAATGCTTCTGTTTTAGTTCTGTGCGGGTTATCCCGTTTCCAACGAAATCCTCAGAGAGGTCCAAATATCTACTTGCAGTTTCTACAGAAAGACCGTTTCAAACCTGAACTATCTAAGAAAGGTTCAACACTGTGAGTTGAATGCAAACATCACGAAGAAGGTTCTGAGAATGCTTCTGTTTAGTTCTGTGCAGTTTATCCCGTTTCCAACGAAATCCTCAGAGAGGACCAAATATCCACTTGCAGTTTCTACAAAAAGAGTGTTTCAAAGCTGAACTATCAAAGAAAGGTTCAGCACTGTGAGTTGAATGCAAACATCACGAAGAGGGTTCTGAGAATGCTTCTGTCTTCTTTTTATAGGAAGTTATTTCCTTTACTACGGTACTCCTCAAAGAGTGCAATTATCCCCTTGCAGTTTCTACAGAAAGAGTGTTTCAAACCTGAACTATCAAAGAAAGGTTCCACACTGTGAGTTGAATGCAGACATCACGAAGAAGGTTCTGAGAATGCTTCTGTTTAGTCAGCTGAAATTATCCCGTTTCCAACGAATTCCTCACAGAGGTCCAAATATGCACTTGCAGATTCTGCAGAAAGTGTGTTTCTAAACTGCTACATCGCAAGGAATGCTCAGCTCTGTGAGTTCAACTCAATCATCCCAAAGAATTTTCTGAGAAAGCTTCTGTCTAGATGTCATGTGAAGATATACCCGTTTCGAACGAAGGACACAGAGTGGTCCAAATATCCACTTGTAGATCCTGCAAAAAGAGTGTTTCAAACGTGAACTTTGAAAGGAAAGTTCAACTCGGGGATTTGAATGCAAACATCACAAAGAAGATTCTGAGACTGCTTCTGTATAGTTTTTATGTGAAGATGATTCCGTTTCCAACGAAATCTTCAAAGAGGTCTACATGTCCCCTTGCAGATGCCACAGAAAGAGAGTTTCAAAACTGCGCTCTCAAAAGGAGTGTTCAACTCCGTGAGTTGAATGCAGTCATCACAGAGAAGCTTCTGAGAATGCTTCTATCTAGTATTTAGGTGAAGATATTTCCTTTTCCACCACAAACCACAAAGCCCTCCAAACGTCCACTTGCAGATTCTAGAAAAACAGTGTTTCATAGCTGCTCTTTCCAAAGGAAAGTTCAACTCTGGGAGTTGAATACAAACATCACCAAAAAGTTCCTGAGAATGCATCTGTCTAGTTTTTCTATGAAGCTATTCCCTTTACTACCATAGGCCTCAAAGCGCTCCAAATCTCCACTTGCACACTCCACAACAAGAGTGTTTCCAAACTGCTCTATCAATAGGAATGTTCAACTCTGTGAGGTGAATGCAATCATCACAAAGCAGTTTCTGAGAATGCTTCCGTTTAGTTAGGTGCAGTTATCGCGTTTCCAACGAAATCCTCAGAGAGGTCCAAATATCCACTTGTAGATTCTACAAAAAGTGTGTCTCAAACCTGCTCCATCCAAAGGAATGTTCAGCTCTGTGAGTTAAACTCAATCATCACAAAGTATTTTCTGAGAATGCTTCTGTCTAGATTTTATGCGAAGATATACCCGTTTCGAACGAAGGCCACAGAGTGGTCCAAATATCCACTTGCAGATCCTACAAAAAGAGTGTTTCAAACCTGAACTATCAAAGGAAGGTTCAACTCTGGGATTTGAATGCAAACATCACCAAGAAGTTTCTGAGAATGCTTCTGTTTAGTTTTTATGTGAAGATATTCCCGTTTCCAAAGACATCTTCGGCGAGGTCCACATATCCACTTGCAGATTCCACAAAAACATAGTTTCAACACTGCTCTATCCATACGAGGGTTCAACTCTGTGAGTTGAATGCAATCATCGCAGAGAAGTTTCTGAGAAGGCTTCTCTCCAGTTTTTATGTGACCATAATTCGTTTTCCACCACAGGCCTGAAAGCGCTCCAAATGTCCACTTGCAGACACTACGAAAAGCATGTTTCAGAACTACTCTATGAAAAGCAACGTGAAACTCTGGGAGTTGAACACAAACATCACAGAGAAGTTTCTGAGAATGCTTCTGTTTAGCTTTTCTGTGAAGATTATACCGTTTCCAAGGAAATCTTCAAAATAGGTCCAAATATCCACTTGCAGATTCCACAGAAAGAGTGATTGGAAACTGCTGTTTGAAAAGGAACCTTCAACTCTGTGAGTTGAATGCAATCATCACAAAGAAGTTTCTGACAATGCTTCTATCTAGCTTTTACGGGAAGATAATTCCTTTTCCACCACAGGCCTCAAAGCCCTCCAAATGTCCACTTGCAGATTCCGGAAAAAGAGTGTTTCAAAGCTTCTCTCTCGAAAGGAAAGTTCAACTCTGTGAGTTGAATGCAAGCATCACAAAGAAGTTTCTGAGAATGCTACTGTCTAGCTTTTATATGAAGCTATTTCCTTTACTACCATAGGCCTCAAAGCGGTCCATATCTCCACTTGCAGATTCTACACAAAGAGAGTTTCCAAACTGCTCTGTCAAAGGGAATGTTCAACTCTGTGACTTGAATGCAATCATCACAAAGTAGTTTCTGAGAATGCTTCTGTTTTAGTTCTGTGCGTTTTATCCCGTTTCCAACGAAATCCTCAGAGAGGCCCAAATATCCACTTGCAGATTCTACAAATAGTGTGTTTCGAAACTGCTCCATCCAAAGGAATGTTCAGCTCTGTGAGTTAAACTCAGTCGTCACCAAGAGTTTTCTGTGAATGCTTCTGTTTTAGTTCTGTGCGGTTTATCCCGTTTCCAACGAAATGCTCAGAGAGGACCAAATATCCACTTGCAGTTTCTACAAAAAGAGTGTTTCAAAGCTGCACTATCAAAGAAAGGTTCAGCACTGTGAGTTGAATGCAAACATCACGAAGAGGGCTCTGAGAAATCTTCTGTTTAGTTCTGTGCGGTTTATCCCGTTTCCAACGAAATCCTCAGAGAGGACCAAATATCCACTTGCAGTTTCTACAAGAAGAGTGTTTCAAAGCTGAACTATCAAAGAAAGGTTCAGCACTGTGAGTTGAATGCAAACATCACGAAGAGGGTTCTGAGAATGCTTCTGTCTTCTTTCTATAGGAAGTTATTTCCTTTACTACGGTAGGCCTCAAAGAAGTGCAATTATCCCCTTGCAGTTTCTACAAAAAGAGTGTTTCAAACCTGAACTATCAAAGAAAGGTTCCACACTGTGAGTTGAATGCAGACATCACGAAGAAGGTTCTGAGAATGCTTCTGTTTAGTCAGCTGAAATTATCCCGTTTCCAACGAATTCCTCAGAGAGGTCCAAATATGCACTTGCAGATTCTGCAGAAAGTGTGTTTCTAAACTGCTACATCGCAAGGAATGTTCAGCTCTGTGAGTTCCACTCAATCATCCCAAAGAATTTTCTGAGAAAGCTTCTGTCTAGATGTCGTGTGAAGATATACCCGTTTCGAACGAAGGACACAGAGTGGTCCAAATATCCACTTGTAGATCCTGCAAAAAGAGTGTTTCAAACGTGAACTTTGAAAGGAAAGTTCAACTCTGGGATTTGAATGCAAACATCACAAAGAAGATTCTGAGACTGCTTCTGTATAGTTTTTATGTGAAGATGATTCGGTTTCCAACGAAATCTTCAAAGAGGTCTACATGTCCCCTTGCAGATGCCACAGAAAGAGAGTTTCAAAACTGCGCTCTCAAAAGGAGTGTTCAACTCCGTGAGTTGAATGCAGTCATCACAGAGAAGCTTCTGAGAATGCTTCTATCTAGTATTTAGGTGAAGATATTTCCTTCTCCACCACAAACCACAAAGCCCTCCAAACGTCCACTTGCAGATTCTAGAAAAAGAGTGTTTCATAGCTGCTCTTTCCAAAGGAAAGTTCAACTCTGGGAGTTGAATACAAACATCACCAAAAAGTTCCTGAGAATGCATCTGTCTAGTTTTTCTATGAAGCTATTCACTTTACTACCATAGGCCTCAAAGCGCTCCAAATCTCCACTTGCACATTCCACAACAAGAGTGTTTCCAAACTGCTCTATCAATAGGAATGTTCAACTCTGTGAGGTGAATGCAATCATCACAAAGCAGTTTCTGAGAATGCTTCCGTTTAGTTAGGTGCAGTTATCCCGTTTCCAACGAAATCCTCAGAGAGGTCCAAATATCCACTTGTAGATTCTACAAAAAGTGTGTCTCAAACCTGCTCCATCCAAAGGAATGTTCAGCTCTGTGATTTAAACTCAATCATCACAAAGTATTTTCTGAGAATGCTTTCTGTCTAGATTTTATGCGAAGATATACCCGTTTCGAACGAAGGCCACAGAGTGGTCCAAATAGCCACTTGCAGATCCTACAGAAAGAGTGTTTCAAACCTGAACTATCAAAGGAAGGTTCAACTCTGGGATTTGAATGCAAACATCACCAAGAAGTTTCTGAGAATGCTTCTGTTTAGTTTTTATGTGAAGATATTCCCGTTTCCAAAGACATCTTCGGAGAGGTCCACATATCCACTTGCAGGTTCCACAAAAAGAGAGTTTCAACACTGCTCTATCCATAGGGAGGGTTCAACTCTGTGAGTTGAATGCAATCATCACAGAGAAGTTTCTGAGAAGGCTTCTCTCCAGTTTTTATGTGACCATAATTCGTTTTCCACCACAGGCCTGAAAGCGCTCCAAATGTCCACTTGCAGACACTACGAAAAGCATGTTTCAGAACTACTCTATGAAAAGCAATGTGAAATTCTGGGAGTTGAACACAAACATCACAGAGAAGTTTCTGAGAATGCTTCTGTTTAGCTTTTCTGTGAAGATTCTCCCGTTTCCAACGAAATCTTCAAAGCGGTCCAAATATCCACTTGCAGATTCCACAGAAAGAGTGATTGGAAACTGCTGTTTGAAAAGGAACCTTCAACTCTGTGAGTTGAATGCAATCATCACAAAGAAGTTTCTGACAATGCTTCTATCTAGCTTTTACGGGAAGATAATTCCTTTTCCACCACAGGCCTCAAAGCCCTCCAAATGTCCACTTGCAGATTCTGGAAAAAGAGTGTTTCAAAGCTTCTCTCTCGAAAGGAAAGTTCAACTCTGTGAGTTGAATGCAAGCATCACAAAGAAGTTTCTGAGAATGCTACTGTCTAACTTTTATATGAAGCTATTTCCTTTACTACCATAGGCCTCAACGGTCCATATCTCCACTTGCAGATTCTACACAAAGAGAGTTTCCAAACTGCTCTGTCAAAGGGAATGTTCAACTCTGTGACTTGAATGCAATCATCACAAAGTAGTTTCTGAGAATGCTTCTGTTTAGTTCTGTGCGGTTTATCCCGTTTCCAACGAAATCCTCAGAGAGGCCTAAATATCCACTTGCACATTCTACAAATAGTGTGTTTCGAAACTGCTCCATCCAAAGGAATGTTCAGCTCTGTGAGTTAAACTCAGTCGTCACCAAGAGTTTTCTGTGAATGCTTCTGTTTTAGTTCTGTGCGGGTTATCCCGTTTCCAACGAAATCCTCAGAGAGGTCCAAATATCTACTTGCAGTTTCTACAGAAAGACCGTTTCAAACCTGAACTATCAAAGAAAGGTTCAACACTGTGAGTTGAATGCAAACATCACGAAGAAGGTTCTGAGAATGCTTTCTGTTTAGTTCTGTGCAGTTTATCCCGTTTCCAACGAAATCCTCAGAGAGGACCAAATATCCACTTGCAGTTTCTACAAAAAGAGTGTTTCAAAGCTGAACTATCAAAGAAAGGTTCAGCACTGTGAGTTGAATGCAAACATCACGAAGAGGGTTCTGAGAATGCTTCTGTCTTCTTTTTATAGGAAGTTATTTCCTTTACTACGGTACTCCTCAAAGAGTGCAATTATCCCCTTGCAGTTTCTACAAAAAGAGTGTTTCAAACCTGAACTATCAAAGAAAGGTTCCACACTGTGAGTTGAATGCAGACATCACGAAGAAGGTTCTGAGAATGCTTCTGTTTAGTCAGCTGAAATTATCCCGTTTCCAACGAATTCCTCACAGAGGTCCAAATATGCACTTGCAGATTCTGCAGAAAGTGTGTTTCTAAACTGCTACATCGCAAGGAATGCTCAGCTCTGTGAGTTCAACTCAATCATCCCAAAGAATTTTCTGAGAAAGCTTCTGTCTAGATGTCATGTGAAGATATACCCGTTTCGAACGAAGGACACAGAGTGGTCCAAATATCCACTTGTAGATCCTGCAAAAAGAGTGTTTCAAACGTGAACTTTGAAAGGAAAGTTCAACTCTGGGATTTGAATGCAAACATCACAAAGAAGATTCTGAGACTGCTTCTGTATAGTTTTTATGTGAAGATGATTCCGTTTCCAACGAAATCTTCAAAGAGGTCTACATGTCCCCTTGCAGATGCCACAGAAAGAGAGTTTCAAAACTGCGCTCTCAAAAGGAGTGTTCAACTCCGTGAGTTGAATGCAGTCATCACAGAGAAGCTTCTGAGAATGCTTCTATCTAGTATTTAGGTGAAGATATTTCCTTTTCCACCACAAACCACAAAGCCCTCCAATCGTCCACTTGCAGATTCTAGAAAAAGAGTGTTTCATAGCTGCTCTTTCCAAAGGAAAGTTCAACTCTGGGAGTTGAATACAAACATCACCAAAAAGTTCCTGAGAATGCATCTGTCTAGTTTTTCTATGAAGCTATTCCCTTTACTACCATAGGCCTCAAAGCGCTCCAAATCTCCACTTGCACATTCCACAACAAGAGTGTTTCCAAACTGCTCTATCAATAGGAATGGTCAACTCTGTGAGGTGAATGCAATCATCACAAAGCAGTTTCTGAGAATGCTTCCGTTTAGTTAGGTGCAGTTATCCCGTTTCCAACGAAATCCTCAGAGAGGTCGAAATATCCACTTGTAGATCCTACAAAAAGTGTGTCTCAAACCTGCTCCATCCAAAGGAATGTTCAGCTCTGTGAGTTAAACTCAATCATCACAAAGTATTTTCTGAGAATGCTTCTGTCTAGATTTTTTGCGAAGATGTACCCGTTTCGAACGAAGGCCACAGAGTGGTCCAAATATCCACTTGCAGATCCTACAAAAAGAGTGTTTCAAACCTGAACTATCAAAGGAAGGTTCAACTCTGGGATTTGAATGCAAACATCACCAAGAAGTTTCTGAGAATGCTTCTGTTTAGTTTTTATGTGAAGATATTCCCGTTTCCAAAGACATCTTCGGAGAGGTCCACATATCCACTTGCAGATTCCACAAAAAGAGAGTTTCAACACTGCTCTATCCATAGGAGGGTTCAACTCTGTGAGTTGAATGCAATCATCACAGAGAAGTTTCTGAGAAGGCTTCTCTCCAGTTTTTATGTGACCATAATTCGTTTTCCACCACAGGCCTGAAAGCGCTCCAAATGTCCACTTGCAGACACTACGAAAAGCATGTTTCAGAACTACTCTATGAAAAGCAATGTGAAACTCTGGGAGTTGAACACAAACATCACAGAGAAGTTTCTGAGAATGCTTCTGTTTAGCTTTTCTGTGAACATTCTCCCGTTTCCAACGAAATCTTCAAAGAGGTCCAAATATCCACTTGCAGATTCCACAGAAAGAGTGATTGGAAACTGCTGTTTGAAAAGGAACCTTCAACTCTGTGAGTTGAAAGCAATCATCACAAAGAAGTTTCTGACAATGCTTCTATCTAGCTTTTACGGGAAGATAATTCCTTTTCCACCACAGGCCTCAAAGCCCTCCAAATGTCCACTTGCAGATTCTGGAAAAAGAGTGTTTCAAAGCTTCTCTCTCGAAAGGAAAGTTCAACTCTGTGAGTTGAATGCAAGCATCACAAAGAAGTTTCTGAGAATGCTGCTGTCTAGCATTTATATGAAGCTATTTCCTTTACTACCATAGGCCTCAAAGCGGTCCATATCTCCACTTGCAGATTCTACGCAAAGAGATTTTCCAAACTGCTCTGTCAAAGGGAATGTTCAACTCTGTGACTTGAATGCAATCATCACAAAGTATTTTCTGAGAATGCTTCTGTTTAGTTCTGTGCGGTTTATCCCGTTTCCAACGAAATCCTCAGAGAGGCCCACATATCCACTTGCACATTCTACAAATAGTGTGTTTCGAAACTGCTCCATCCAAAGGAATGTTCAGCTCTGTGAGTTAAACTCAGTCGTCACCAAGAGTTTTCTGTGAATGCTTCTGTCTTCTTTTTATAGGAAGTTATCTCCTTTACTACGGTAGGCCTCAAAGAAGTGCAATGATCCCCTTGCAGTTTCTACAAAAAGAGTGTTTCAAACCTGAACTATCAAAGAAAGGTTCCACACTGTGAGTTGAATGCAGACATCACGAAGAAGGTTCTGAGAATGCTTCTGTTTAGTCAGCTGAAATTATCCCATTTCCAACGAATTCCTCAGAGAGGTCCACATATGCACTTGCAGATTCTGCAGAAAGTGTGTTTCTAAACTGCTACATCGCAAGGAGTGTTCAGCTCTGTTTGCTCAACTCAATCATCCCAAAGAATTTTCTGAGAAAGCTTCTGTCTAGATGTCATGTGAAGATATACCCGTTTCGAACGAAGGACACAGAGTGGTCCAAATATCCACTTGTAGATCCTGCAAAAAGAGTGTTTCAAACGTGAACTTTGAAAGGAAAGTTCAACTCTGGGATTTGAATGCAAACATCACAAAGAAGATTCTGAGACTGCTTCTGTATAGTTTTTATGTGAAGATGATTCCGTTTCCAACGAAATCTTCAAAGAGGTCTACATGTCCCCTTGCAGATGCCACAGAAAGAGAGTTTCAAAACTACGCTCTCAAAAGGAGTGTTCAACTCCGTGAGTTGAATGCAGTCATCACAGAGAAGCTTCTGAGAATGCTTCTATCTAGTATTTAGGTGAAGATATTTCCTTTTCCACCACAAACCACAAAGCCCTCCAAACGTCCACTTGCAGATTCTAGAAAAAGAGTGTTTCATAGCTGCTCTTTCCAAAGGAAAGTTCAACTCTGGGAGTTGAATACAAACATCACCAAAAAGTTCCTGAGAATGCATCTGTCTAGTTTTTCTATGAAGCTATTCCCTTTACTACCATAGGCCTCAAAGCGCTCCAAATCTCCACTTGCACATTCCACAACAAGAGTGTTTCCAAACTGCTCTATCAATAGGAATGTTCAACTCTGTGAGGTGAATGCAATCATCACAAAGCAGTTTCTGAGAATGCTTCCGTTTAGTTAGGTGCAGTTATCCCGTTTCCAACGAAATCCTCAGAGAGGTCCAAATATCCACTTGTAGATTCTACAAAAAGTGTGTCTCAAACCTGCTCCATCCAAAGGAATGTTCAGCTCTGTGAGTTCAACTCAATCATCACAAAGTATTTTCTGAGAATGCTTCTGTCTAGATTTTATGCGAAGATATACCCGTTTCGAACGAAGGCCACAGAGTGGTCCAAATATCCACTTGCAGATCCTACAAAAAGAGTGTTTCAAACCTGAACTATCAAAGGAAGGTTCAACTCTGGGATTTGAATGCAAACATCACCAAGAAGTTTCTGAGAATGCTTCTGTTTAGTTTTTATGTGAAGATATTCCCGTTTCCAAAGACATCTTCGGAGAGGTCCACATATCCACTTGCAGATTCCACAAAAAGAGAGTTTCAACACTGCTCTATCCATAGAGGGTTCAACTCTGTGAGTTGAATGCAATCATCACAGAGAAGTTTCTGAGAAGGCTTCTCTCCAGTTTTTATGTGACCATAATTCGTTTTCCACCACAGGCCTGAAAGCGCTCCAAATGTCCACTTGCAGACACTACGAAAAGCATGTTTCAGAACTACTCTATGAGAAGCAACGTGAAACTCTGGGAGTTGAACACAAACATCACAGAGAAGTTTCTGAGAATGCTTCTGTTTAGCTTTTCTGTGAAGATTCTCCCGTTTCCAACGAAATCTTCAAAGAGGTCGAAATATCCACTTGCAGATTCCACAGAAAGAGTGATTGGAAACTGCTGTTTGAAAAGGAACCTTCAACTCTGTGAGTTGAATGCAATCATCACAAAGAAGTTTCTGACAATGCTTCTATCTAGCTTTTACGGGAAGATAACTCCTTTTCCACCACAGGCCTCAAAGCCCTCCAAATGTCCACTTGCACATTCTGGAAAAAGAGTGTTTCAAAGCTTCTCTCTCGAAAGGGAAGTTCAACTCTGTGAGTTGAATGCAAGCATCACAAAGAAGTTTCTGAGAATGCTACTGTCTAGCTTTTATATGAAGCTATTTCCTTTACTACCATAGGCCTCAAAGCGGTCCATATCTCCACTTGCAGATTCTACACAAAGAGAGTTTCCAAACTGCTCTGTCAAAGGGAATGTTCAACTCTGTGACTTGAATGCAATCATCACAAAGTAGTTTCTGAGAATGCTTCTGTTTTAGTTCTGTGCGTTTTATCCCGTTTCCAACGAAATCCTCAGAGAGGCCCAAATATCCACTTGCACATTCTACAAATAGTGTGTTTCGAAACTGCTCCATCCAAAGGAATGTTCAGCTCTGTGAGTTAAACTCAGTCGTCACCAAGAGTTTTCTGTGAATGCTTCTGTTTTAGTTCTGTGCGGTTTATCCCGTTTCCAACGAAATCCTCAGAGAGGACCAAATATCCACTTGCAGTTTCTACAAAAAGAGTGTTTCAAAGCTGCACTATCAAAGAAAGGTTCAGCACTGTGAGTTGAATGCAAACATCACGAAGAGGGCTCTGAGAATTCTTCTGTTTATTTCCGTGCGGTTTATCCCGTTTACAACGAAATCCTCAGAGAGGACCAAATATCCACTTGCAGTTTCTACAAGAAGAGTGTTTCAAAGCTGAACTATCAAAGAAAGGTTCAGCACTGTGAGTTGAATGCAAACATCACGAAGAGGGTTCTGAGAATGCTTCTGTCTTCTTTCTATAGGAAGTTATTTCCTTTACTACGGTAGGCCTCAAAGAAGTGCAATTATCCCCTTGCAGTTTCTACAAAAAGAGTGTTTCAAACCTGAACTATCAAAGAAAGGTTCCACACTGTGAGTTGAATGCAGACATCACGAAGAAGGTTCTGAGAATGCTTCTGTTTAGTCAGCTGAAATTATCCCGTTTCCAACGAATTCCTCAGAGAGGTCCAAATATGCACTTGCAGATTCTGCAGAAAGTGTGTTTCTAAACTGCTACATCGCAAGGAATGTTCAGCTCTGTGAGTTCCACTCAATCATCCCAAAGAATTTTCTGAGAAAGCTTCTGTCTAGATGTCCTGTGAAGATATACCCGTTTCGAACGAAGGACACAGAGTGGTCCAAATATCCACTTGTAGATCCTGCAAAAAGAGTGTTTCAAACGTGAACTTTGAAAGGAAAGTTCAACTCTGGGATTTGAATGCAAACATCACAAAGAAGATTCTGAGACTGCTTCTGTATAGTTTTTATGTGAAGATGATTCCGTTTCCAACGAAATCTTCAAAGAGGTCTACATGTCCCCTTGCAGATGCCACAGAAAGAGAGTTTCAAAACTACGCTCTCAAAAGGAGTGTTCAACTCCGTGAGTTGAATGCAGTCATCACAGAGAAGCTTCTGAGAATGCTTCTATCTAGTATTTAGGTGAAGATATTTCCTTTTCCACCACAAACCACAAAGCCCTCCAAACGTCCACTTGCAGATTCTAGAAAAAGAGTGTTTCATAGCTGCTCTTTCCAAAGGAAAGTTCAACTCTGGGAGTTGAATACAAACATCACCAAAAAGTTCCTGAGAATGCATCTGTCTAGTTTTTCTATGAAGCTATTCCCTTTACTACCATAGACCTCAAAGCGCTCCAAATCTCCACTTGCACATTCCACAACAAGAGTGTTTCCAAACTGCTCTATCAATAGGAATGTTCAACTCTGTGAGGTGAATGCAATCATCACAAAGCAGTTTCTGAGAATGCTTCCGTTTAGTTAGGTGCAGTTATCCCGTTTCCAACGAAATCCTCAGAGAGGTCCAAATATCCACTTGTAGATTCTACAAAAAGTGTGTCTCAAACCTGCTCCATCCAAAGGAATGTTCAGCTCTGTGATTTAAACTCAATCATCACAAAGTATTTTCTGAGAATGCTTCTGTCTAGATTTTATGCGAAGATATACCCGTTTCGAACGAAGGCCACAGAGTGGTCCAAATAGCCACTTGCAGATCCTACAGAAAGAGTGTTTCAAACCTGAACTATCAAAGGAAGGCTCAACTCTGGGATTTGAATGCAAACATCACCAAGAAGTTTCTGAGAATGCTTCTGTTTAGTTTTTATGTGAAGATATTCCCGTTTCCAAAGACATCTTCGGAGAGGTCCACATATCCACTTGCAGATTCCACAAAAAGAGAGTTTCAACACTGCTCTATCCATAGGAGGGTTCAACTCTGTGAGTTGAATGCAATCATCACAGAGAAGTTTCTGAGAAGGCTTCTCTCCAGTTTTTATGTGACCATAATTCGTTTTCCACCACAGGCCTGAAAGCGCTCCAAATGTCCACTTGCAGACACTACGAAAAGCATGTTTCAGAACTACTCTATGAAAAGCAACGTGAAACTCTGGGAGTTGAACACAAACATCACAGAGAAGTTTCTGAGAATGCTTCTGTTTTAGTTCTGTGCGTTTTATCCCGTTTCCAACGAAATCCTCAGAGAGGCCCAAATATCCACTTGCAGATTCCACAGAAAGAGTGATTGGAAACTGCTGTTTGAAAAGGAACCTTCAACTCTGTGAGTTGAATGCAATCATCACAAAGAAGTTTCTGACAATGCTTCTGTTTTAGTTCTGTGCGGTTTATCCCGTTTCCAACGAAATCCTCAGAGAGGACCAAACATCCACTTGCAGTTTCTACAAAAAGAGTGTTTCAAAGCTGCACTATCAAAGAAAGGTTCAGCACTGTGAGTTGAATGCAAACATCACGAAGAGGGCTCTGAGAATTCTTCTGTTTAGTTCTGTGCGGTTTATCCCGTTTCCAACGAAATCCTCAGAGAGGACCAAATATCCACTTGCAGTTTCTACAAGAAGAGTGTTTCAAAGCTGAACTATCAAAGAAAGGTTCAGCACTGTGAGTTGAATGCAAACATCACGAAGAGGGTTCTGAGAATGCTTCTGTCTTCTTTCTATAGGAAGTTATTTCCTTTACTACGGTAGGCCTCAAAGAAGTGCAATTATCCCCTTGCAGTTTCTACAAAAAGAGTGTTTCAAACCTGAACTATCAAAGAAAGGTTCCACACTGTGAGTTGAATGCAGACATCACGAAGAAGGTTCTGAGAATGCTTCTGTTTAGTCAGCTGAAATTATCCCGTTTCCAACGAATTCCTCAGAGAGGTCCAAATATGCACTTGCAGATTCTGCAGAAAGTGTGTTTCTAAACTGCTACATCGCAAGGAATGTTCAGCTCTGTGAGTTCCACTCAATCATCCCAAAGAATTTTCTGAGAAAGCTTCTGTCTAGATGTCGTGTGAAGTTATACCCGTTTCGAACGAAGGACACAGAGTGGTCCAAATATCCACTTGTAGATCCTGCAAAAAGAGTGTTTCAAACGTGAACTTTGAAAGGAAAGTTCAACTCTGGGATTTGAATGCAAACATCACAAAGAAGATTCTGAGACTGCTTCTGTATAGTTTTTATGTGAAGATGATTCCGTTTCCAACGAAATCTTCAAAGAGGTCTACATGTCCCCTTGCAGATGCCACAGAAAGAGAGTTTCAAAACTGCGCTCTCAAAAGGAGTGTTCAACTCCGTGAGTTGAATGCAGTCATCACAGAGAAGCTTCTGAGAATGCTTCTATCTAGTATTTAGGTGAAGATATTTCCTTTTCCACCACAAACCACAAAGCCCTCCAAACGTCCACTTGCAGATTCTAGAAAAAGAGTGTTTCATAGCTGCTCTTTCCAAAGGAAAGTTCAACTCTGGGAGTTGAATACAAACATCACCAAAAAGTTCCTGAGAATGCATCTGTCTAGTTTTTCTATGAAGCTATTCCCTTTACTACCACAGGCCTCAAAGCGCTCCAAATCTCCACTTGCACATTCCACAACAAGAGTGTTTCCAAACTGCTCTATCAATAGGAATGTTCAACTCTGTGAGGTGAATGCAATCATCACAAAGCAGTTTCTGAGAATGCTTCCGTTTAGTTAGGTGCAGTTATCCCGTTTCCAACGAAATCCTCAGAGAGGTCCAAATATCCACTTGTAGATTCTACAAAAAGTGTGTCTCAAACCTGCTCCATCCAAAGGAATGTTCAGCTCTGTGAGTTCAACTCAATCAATCACAAAGTATTTTCTGAGAATGCTTCTGTCTAGATTTTATGCGAAGATGTACCCGTTTCGAACGAAGGCCACAGAGTGGTCCAAATATCCACTTGCAGATCCTACAAAATGAGTGTTTCCAACCTGAACTATCAAAGGAAGGTTCAACTCTGGGATTTGAATGCAAACATCACCAAGAAGTTTCTGAGAATGCTTCTGTTTAGTTTTTATGTGAAGATATTCCCGTTTCCAAAGACATCTTCGGAGAGGTCCACATATCCACTTGCAGATTCCACAAAAAGAGAGTTTCAACACTGCTCTATCCATAGGAGGGTTCAACTCTGTGAGTTGAATGCAATCATCACAGAGAAGTTTCTGAGAAGGCTTCTCTCCAGTTTTTATGTGACCATAATTCGTTTTCCACCACAGGCCTGAAAGCGCTCCAAATGTCCACTTGCAGACACTACGAAAAGCATGTTTCAGAACTACTCTATGAAAAGCAATGTGAATCTCTGGGAGTTGAACACAAACATCACAGAGAAGTTTCTGAGAATGCTTCTGTTTAGCTTTTCTGTGAAGATTCTCCCGTTTCCAACGAAATCTTCAAAGAGGTCCAAACATCCACTTGCAGATTCCACAGAAAGAGTGTTTGAAACTGCTGTTTGAAAAGGAACCTTCAACTCTGTGAGTTGAATGCAATCATCACAAAGAAGTTTCTGACAATGCTTCTATCTAGCTTTTACGGGAAGATAATTCCTTTTCCACCACAGGCCTCAAAGCCCTCCAAATGTCCACTTGCAGATTCTGGAAAAAGAGTGTTTCGAAGCTTCTCTCTCGAAAGGAAAGTTCAACTCTGTGAGTTGAATGCAAGCATCACAAAGAAGTTTCTGAGAATGCTACTGTCTAGCTTTTATATGAAGCTATTTCCTTTACTACCATAGTCCTCAAAGCATTCCATATCTCCACTTGCAGATGCTACACAAAGAGAGTTTCCAAACTGCTCTGTCAGAGGGAATGTTCTGCTCTGTGACTTGAATGCAATCATCACGAAGTAGTTTCTGAGAATGCTTCTGTTTTAGTTCTGTGCGGTTTATCCCATTTCCAACGAAATCTTCAGAGAGGCCCAAATATCCACTTGCAGATTCTACAAAGAGTGTGTTTCGAAACTGCTCCATCCAAAGGAATGTTCAGCTCTGTGAGTTAAACTCAGTCGTCACCAAGAGTTTTCTGTGAATGCTTCTGTTTAGTTCTGTGCGGTTTATCCCTTTTCCAACGAAATCCTCAGAGAGGACCAAATATCCACTTGCAGTTTCTACAAAAAGAGTGTTTCAAAGCTGAACTATCAAAGAAAGGTTCAGCAGTGTGAGTTGAATGCAAACATCACGAAGAGGGTTCTGAGAATTCTTCTGTTTAGTTCTGTGCGGTTTATCCCGTTTCCAACGAAATCCTCAGAGAGGACCAAATATCCACTTGCAGTTTCTACAAGAAGAGTGTTTCAAAGCTGAACTATCAAAGAAAGGTTCAGCACTGTGAGTTGAATGCAAACATCACGAAGAGGGTTCTGAGAATGGTTCTGTCTTCTTTCTATAGGAAGTTATTTCCTTTACTACGGTAGGCCTCAAAGAAGTGCCATTATCCCCTTGCAGTTTCTACAAAAAGAGTGTTTCAAACCTGAACTATCAAAGAAAGGTTCCACACTGTGAGTTGAATGCAGACATCACGAAGAAGGTTCTGAGAATGCTTCTGTTTAGTCAGCTGAAATTATCCCGTTTCCAACGAATTCCTCAGAGAGGTCCAAATATGCACTTGCAGATTCTGCAGAAAGTGTGTTTCTAAACTGCTACATCGCAAGGAATGTTCAGCTCTGTGAGTTCCACTCAATCATCCCAAAGAATTTTCTGAGAAAGCTTCTGTCTAGATGTCATGTGAAGATATACCCGTTTCGAACGAAGGACACAGAGTGGTCCAAATATCCACTTGTAGATCCTGCAAAAAGAGTGTTTCAAACGTGAACTTTGAAAGGCAAGTTCAACTCTGGGATTTGAATGCAAACATCACAAAGAAGATTCTGAGACTGCTTCTGTATAGTTTTTATGTGAAGATGATTCCGTTTCCAACGAAATCTTCAAAGAGGTCTACATGTCCCCTTGCAGATGCCACAGAAAGAGAGTTTCAAAACTGCGCTCTCAAAAGGAGTGTTCAACTCCGTGAGTTGAATGCAGTCATCACAGAGAAGCTTCTGAGAATGCTTCTATCTAGTATTTAGGTGAAGATATTTCCTTTTCCACCACAAACCACAAAGCCCTCCAAACGTCCACTTGCAGATTCTAGAAAAAGAGTGTTTCATAGCTGCTCTTTCCAAAGGAAAGTTCAACTCTGGGAGTTGAATACAAACATCACCAAAAAGTTCCTGAGAATGCATCTGTCTAGTTTTTCTATGAAGCTATTCCCTTTACTACCATAGGCCTCAAAGCGCTCCAAATCTCCACTTGCACATTCCACAACAAGAGTGTTTCCAAACTGCTCTATCAATAGGAATGTTCAACTCTGTGAGGTGAATGCAATCATCACAAAGCAGTTTCTGAGAATGCTTCCGTTTAGTTAGGTGCAGTTATCCCGTTTCCAACGAAATCCTCAGAGAGGTCCAAATATCCACTTGTAGATTCTACAAAAGGTGTGTCTCAAACCTGCTCCATCCAAAGGAATGTTCAGCTCTGTGAGTTAAACTCAATCATCACAAAGTATTTTCTGAGAATGCTTCTGTCTAGATTTTATGCGAAGATATACCCGTTTCGAACGAAGGCCACAGAGTGGTCCAAATATCCACTTGCAGATCCTACAAAAAGAGTGTTTCAAACCTGAACTATCAAAGGAAGGTTCAACTCTGGGATTTGAATGCAAACATCACCAAGAAGTTTCTGAGAATGCTTCTGTTTAGTTTTTATGTGAAGATATTCCCGTTTCCAAAGACATCTTCGGAGAGGTCCACATATCCACTTGCAGATTCCACAAAAAGAGAGTTTCAACACTGCTCTATCCATAGGAGGGTTCAACTCTGTGAGTTGAATGCAATCATCACAGAGAAGTTTCTGAGAAGGCTTCTCTCCAGTTTTTATGTGACCATAATTCGTTTTCCACCACAGGCCTGAAAGCGCTCCAAATGTCCACTTGTAGACACTACGAAAAGCATGTTTCAGAACTACTCTATGAAAAGCAATGTGAAACTCTGGGAGTTGAACACAAACATCACAGAGAAGTTTCTGAGAATGCTTCTGTTTAGCTTTTCTGTGAAGATACTCCCGTTTCCAACGAAATCTTCAAAGAGGTCCAAATATCCACTTGCAGATTCCACAGAAAGAGTGATTGGAAACTGCTGTTTGAAAAGGAACCTTCAACTCTGTGAGTTGAATGCAATCATCACAAAGAAGTTTCTGACAATGCTTCTATCTAGCTTTTACGGGAAGATAATTCCTTTTCCACCACAGGCCTCAAAGCTCCCCAAATGTCCACTTGCACATTCTGGAAAAAGAGTGTTTCAAAGCTTCTCTCTCGAAAGGAAAGTTCAACTCTGTGAGTTGAATGCAAGCATCACAAAGAAGTTTCTGAGAATGCTACTGTCTAGCTTTTATATGAAGCTATTTCCTTTACTACCATAGGCCTCAAAGCGGTCCATATCTCCACTTGCAGATTCTACACAAAGAGAGTTTCCAAACTGCTCTGTCAAAGGGAATGTTCAACTCTGTGACTTGAATGCAATCATCACAAAGTAGTTTCTGAGAATGCTTCTGTTTTAGTTCTGTGCGTTTTATCCCGTTTCCAACGAAATCCTCAGAGAGGCCCAAATATCCACTTGCAGATTCTACAAATAGTGTGTTTCGAAACTGCTCCATCCAAAGGAATGTTCAGCTCTGTGAGTTAAACTCAGTCGTCACCAAGAGTTTTCTGTGAATGCTTCTGTTTTAGTTCTGTGCGGTTTATCCCGTTTCCAACGAAATCTTCAGAGAGGACCAAATATCCACTTGCAGTTTCTACAAAAAGAGTGTTTCAAAGCTGCACTATCAAAGAAAGGTTCAGCACTGTGAGTTGAATGCAAACATCACGAAGAGGGTTCTGAGAATTCTTCTGTTTAGTTCTGTGCGGTTTATCCCGTTTCCAACGAAATCCTCAGAGAGGACCAAATATCCACTTGCAGTTTCTACAAGAAGAGAGTTTCAAAGCTGAACTATCAAAGAAAGGTTCAGCACTGTGAGTTGAATGCAAACATCACGAAGAGGGTTCTGAGAATGCTTCTGTCTTCTTTTTATAGGAAGTTATTTCCTTTACTACGGTAGGCCTCAAAGCAGTGCAATTATCCCCTTGCAGTTTCTACAAAAAGAGTGTTTCAAACCTGAACTATCAAAGAAAGCTTCCACACTGTGAGTTGAATGCAGACATCACGAAGAAGGTTCTGAGAATGCTTCTGTTTAGTCAGCTGAAATTATCCCGTTTCCAACGAATTCCTCAGAGAGGTCCAAATATGCACTTGCAGATTCTGCAGAAAGTGTGTTTCTAAACTGCTACATCGCAAGGAATGTTCAGCTCTGTGAGTTCAACTCAATCATCCCAAAGAATTTTCTGAGAAAGCTTCTGTCTAGATGTCCTGTGAAGATATACCCGTTTCGAACGAAGGACACAGAGTGGTCCAAATATCCACTTGTAGATCCTGCAAAAAGAGTGTTTCAAACGTGAACTTTGAAAGGAAAGTTCAACTCTGGGATTTGAATGCAAACATCACAAAGAAGATTCTGAGACTGCTTCTGTATAGTTTTTATGTGAAGATGATTCCGTTTCCAACGAAATCTTCAAAGAGGTCTACATGTCCCCTTGCAGATGCCACAGAAAGAGAGTTTCAAAACTGCGCTCTCAAAAGGAGTGTTCAACTCCGTGAGTTGAATGCAGTCATCTCAGAGAAGCTTCTGAGAATGCTTCTCTCTAGTATTTAGGTGAAGATATTTCCTTTTCCACCACAAACCACAAAGCCCTCCAAACGTCCACTTGCAGATTCTAGAAAAACAGTGTTTCATAGCTGCTCTTTCCAAAGGAAAGTTCAACTCTGGGAGTTGAATACAAACATCACCAAAAAGTTCCTGAGAATGCATCTGTCTAGTTTTTCTATGAAGCTATTCCCTTTACTACCATAGGCCTCAAAGCGCTCCAAATCTCCACTTGCACATTCCACAACAAGAGTGTTTCCAAACTGCTCTATCAATAGGAATGTTCAACTCTGTGAGGTGAATGCAATCATCACAAAGCAGTTTCTGAGAATGCTTCCGTTTAGTTAGGTGCAGTTATCGCGTTTCCAACGAAATCCTCAGAGAGGTCCAAATATCCACTTGTAGATTCTACAAAAAGTGTGTCTCAAACCTGCTCCATCCAAAGGAATGTTCAGCTCTGTGAGTTAAACTCAATCATCACAAAGTATTTTCTGAGAATGCTTCTCTCCAGTTTTTATGTGACCATAATTCGTTTTCCACCACAGGCCTGAAAGCGCTCCAAATGTCCACTTGTAGACACTACGAAAAGCATGTTTCAGAACTACTCTATGAAAAGCAATGTGAAACTCTGGGAGTTGAACACAAACATCACAGAGAAGTTTCTGAGAATGCTTCTGTTTAGCTTTTCTGTGAAGATTCTCCCGTTTCCAACGAAATCTTCAAAGAGGTCCAAATATCCACTTGCAGATTCCACAGAAAGAGTGTTTGGAAACTGCTGTTTGGAAAGGAACCTTCAACTCTGTGAGTTGAATGCAATCATCACAAAGAAGTTTCTGACAATGCTTCTATCTAGCTTTTACGGGAAGATAATTCCTTTTCCACCACAGGCCTCAAAGCCCTCCAAATGTCCACTTGCAGATTCTGGAAAAAGAGTGTTTCAAAGCTTCTCTCTCGAAAGGAAAGTTCAACTCTGTGAGTTGAATGCAAGCATCACAAAGAAGTTTCTGAGAATGCTACTGTCTAGCTTTTATATGAAGCTATTTCCTTTACTACCATAGGCCTCAAAGCGGTCCATATCTCCACTTGCAGATTCTACACAAAGAGAGTTTCCAAACTGCTCTGTCAAAGGGAATGTTCAACTCTGTGACTTGAATGCAATCATCACAAAGTAGTTTCTGAGAATGTTTCTGTTTAGTTCTGTGCGGTTTATCCCGTTTCCAACGAAATCCTCAGAGAGGCCCCAATATCCACTTGCACATTCTACAGATAGTGTGTTTCGAAACTGCTCCATCCAAAGGAATGTTCAGCTCTGTGAGTTAAACTCAGTCGTCACCAAGAGTTTTCTGTGAATGCTTCTGTTTTAGTTCTGTGCGGTTTATCCCGTTTCCAACGAAATCCTCAGAGAGGTCCAAATATCTACTTGCAGTTTCTACAGAAAGACCGTTTCCAACCTGAACTATCAAAGAAAGGTTCAACACTGTGAGTTGAATGCAAACATCACGAAGAAGGTTCAGAGAATGCTTCTGTTTTAGTTCTGTGCGGTTTATCCCGTTTCCAACGAAATCCTCAGAGAGGACCAAACATCCACTTGCAGTTTCTACAAAAAGAGTGTTTCAAAGCTGCACTATCAAAGAAAGGTTCAGCACTGTGAGTTGAATGCCGAACATCACGAAGAGGGCTCTGAGAATTCTTCTGTCTTCTTTTTATAGGAAGTTATCTCCTTTACTACGGTAGGCCTCAAAGAAGTGCAATGATCCCCTTGCAGTTTCTACAAAAAGAGTGTTTCAAACCTGAACTATCAAAGAAAGGTTCCACACTGTGAGTTGAATGCAGACATCACGAAGAAGGTTCTGAGAATGCTTCTGTTTAGTCAGCTGAAATTATCCCGTTTCCAACGAATTCCTCAGAGAGGTCCACATATGCACTTGCAGATTCTGCAGAAAGTGTGTTTCTAAACTGCTACATCACAAGGAGTGTTCAGCTCTGTTTGCTCAACTCAATCATCCCAAAGAATTTTCTGAGAAAGCTTCTGTCTAGATGTCATGTGAAGATATACCCGTTTCGAACGAAGGACACAGAGTGGTCCAAATATCCACTTGTAGATCCTGCAAAAAGAGTGTTTCAAACGTGAACTTTGAAAGGAAAATTCAACTCAGGGATTTGAATGCAAACATCACAAAGAAGATTCTGAGACTGCTTCTGTATAGTTTTTATGTGAAGATGATTCCGTTTCCAACGAAATCTTCAAAGAGGTCTACATGTCCCCTTGCAGATGCCACAGAAAGAGAGTTTCAAAACTGCACTCTCAAAAGGAGTGTTCAACTCCGTGAGTTGAATGCAGTCATCACAGAGAAGCTTCTGAGAATGCTTCTATCTAGTATTTAGGTGAAGATATTTCCTTTTCCACCACAAACCACAAAGCCCTCCAAACGTCCACTTGCAGATTCTAGAAAAAGAGTGTTTCATAGCTGCTCTTTCCAAAGGAAAGTTCAACTCTGGGAGTTGAATACAAACATCACCAAAAAGTACCTGAGAATGCATCTGTCTAGTTTTTCTATGAAGCTATTCCCTTTACTACCACAGGCCTCAAAGCGCTCCAAATCTCCACTTGCACATTCCACAACAAGAGTGTTTCCAAACTGCTCTATCAATAGGAATGTTCAACTCTGTGAGGTGAATGCAATCATCACAAAGCAGTTTCTGAGAATGCTTCCGTTTAGTTAGGTGCAGTTATCCCGTTTCCAACGAAATCCTCAGAGAGGTCCAAATATCCACTTGTAGATTCTACAAAAGGTGTGTCTCAAACCTGCTCCATCCAAAGGAATGTTCAGCTCTGTGAGTTAAACTCAATCATCACAAAGTATTTTCTGAGAATGCTTCTGTCTAGATTTTATGCGAAGATATACCCGTTTCGAACGAAGGCCACAGAGTGGTCCAAATAGCCACTTGCAGATCCTACAGAAAGAGTGTTTCAAACCTGAACTATCAAAGGAAGGTTCAACTCTGGGATTTGAATGCAAACATCACCAAGAAGTTTCTGAGAATGCTTCTGTTTAGTTTTTATGTGAAGATATTCCCGTTTCCAAAGACATCTTCGGAGAGGTCCACATATCCACTTGCAGATTCCACAAAAAGAGAGTTTCAACACTGCTCTATCCATAGGAGGGTTCAACTCTGTGAGTTGAATGCAATCATCACAGAGAAGTTTCTGAGAAGGCTTCTCTCCAGTTTTTATGTGACCATAATTCGTTTTCCACCACAGGCCTGAAAGCGCTCCAAATGTCCACTTGCAGACACTACGAAAAGCATGTTTCAGAACTACTCTATGAAAAGCAACGTGAAACTCTGGGAGTTGAACACAAACATCACAGAGAAGTTTCTGAGAATGCTTCTGTTTTAGTTCTGTGCGTTTTATCCCGTTTCCAACGAAATCCTCAGAGAGGCCCAAATATCCACTTGCAGATTCCACAGAAAGAGTGATTGGAAACTGCTGTTTGAAAAGGAACCTTCAACTCTGTGAGTTGAATGCAATCATCACAAAGAAGTTTCTGACAATGCTTCTGTTTTAGTTCTGTGCGGTTTATCCCGTTTCCAACGAAATCCTCAGAGAGGACCAAACATCCACTTGCAGTTTCTACAAAAAGAGTGTTTCAAAGCTGCACTATCAAAGAAAGGTTCAGCACTGTGAGTTGAATGCAAACATCACGAAGAGGGCTCTGAGAATTCTTCTGTTTAGTTCTGTGCGGTTTATCCCGTTTCCAACGAAATCCTCAGAGAGGACCAAATATCCACTTGCAGTTTCTACAAGAAGAGTGTTTCAAAGCTGAACTATCAAAGAAAGGTTCAGCACTGTGAGTTGAATGCAAACATCACGAAGAGGGTTCTGAGAATGCTTCTGTCTTCTTTCTATAGGAAGTTATTTCCTTTACTACGGTAGGCCTCAAAGAAGTGCAATTATCCCCTTGCAGTTTCTACAAAAAGAGTGTTTCAAACCTGAACTAACAAGGAAAGGTTCCACACTGTGAGTTGAATGCAGACATCACGAAGAAGGTTCTGAGAATGCTTCTGTTTAGTCAGCTGAAATTATCCCGTTTCCAACGAATTCCTCAGAGAGGTCCAAATATGCACTTGCAGATTCTGCAGAAAGTGTGTTTCTAAACTGCTACATCGCAAGGAATGTTCAGCTCTGTGAGTTCCACTCAATCATCCCAAAGAATTTTCTGAGAAAGCTTCTGTCTAGATGTCATGTGAAGATATACCCGTTTCGAACGAAGGACACAGAGTGGTCCAAATATCCACTTGTAGATCCTGCAAAAAGAGTGTTTCAAACGTGAACTTTGAAAGGAAAGTTCAACTCTGGGATTTGAATGCAAACATCACAAAGAAGATTCTGAGACTGCTTCTGTATAGTTCTTATGTGAAGATGATTCCGTTTCCAACGAAATCTTCAAAGAGGTCTACATGTCCCCTTGCAGATGCCACAGAAACAGAGTTTCAAAACTGCGCTCTCAAAAGGAGTGTTCAACTCCGTGAGTTGAATGCAGTCATCACAGAGAAGCTTCTGAGAATGCTTCTATCTAGTATTTAGGTGAAGATATTTCCTTTTCCACCACAAACCACAAAGCCCTCCAAACGTCCACTTGCAGATTCTAGAAAAAGAGTGTTTCATAGCTGCTCTTTCCAAAGGAAAGTTCAACTCTGGGAGTTGAATACAAACATCACCAAAAAGTTCCTGAGAATGCATCTGTCTAGTTTTTCTATGAAGCTATTCCCTTTACTACCATAGGCCTCAAAGCGCTCCAAATCTCCACTTGCACATTCCAGATGAAGAGTGTTTCCAAACTGCTCTATCAATAGGAATGTTCAACTCTGTGAGGTGAATGCAATCATCACAAAGCAGTTTCTGAGAATGCTTCCGTTTAGTTAGGTGCAGTTATCGCGTTTCCAACGAAATCCTCAGAGAGGTCCAAATATCCACTTGTAGATTCTACAAATGTGTGTCTCAAACCTGCTCCATCCAAAGGAATGTTCAGCTCTGTGAGTTAAACTCAATCATCACAAAGTATTTTCTGAGAATGCTTCTGTCTAGATTTTATGCGAAGATATACCCGTTTCGAACGAAGGCCACAGAGTGGTCCAAATAGCCACTTGCAGATCCTACAGAAAGAGTGTTTCAAACCTGAACTATCAAAGGAAGGTTCAACTGCTGGGATTTGAATGCAAACATCACCAAGAAGTTTCTGAGAATGCTTCTGTTTAGTTTTTATGTGAAGATATTCCCGTTTCCAAAGACATCTTCGGAGAGGTCCACATATCCACTTGCAGATTCCACAAAAAGAGAGTTTCAACACTGCTCTATCCATAGGAGGGTTCAACTCTGTGAGTTGAATGCAATCATCACAGAGAAGTTTCTGAGAAGGCTTCTCTCCAGTTTTTATGTGACCATAATTCGTTTTCCACCACAGGCCTGAAAGCGCTCCAAATGTCCACTTGTAGACACTACGAAAAGCATGTTTCAGAACTACTCTATGAAAAGCAATGTGAAACTCTGGGAGTTGAACACAAACATCACAGAGAAGTTTCTGAGAATGCTTCTGTTTAGCTTTCCTGTGAAGATTCTCCCGTTTCCAACGAAATCTTCAAAATAGGTCCAAATATCCACTTGCAGATTCCACAGAAAGAGTGATTGGAAACTGCTCTTTGAAAAGGAACCTTCAACTCTGTGAGTTGAATGCAATCATCACAAAGAAGTTTCTGACAATGCTTCTATCTAGCTTTTACGGGAAGATAATTCCTTTTCCACCACAGGCCTCAAAGCCCTCCAAATGTCCACTTGCAGATTCTGGAAAAAGAGTGTTTCAAAGCTTCTCTCTCGAAAGGAAAGTTCAACTCTGTGAGTTGAATGCAAGCATCACAAAGAAGTTTCTGAGAATGCTACTGTCTAGCTTTTATATGAAGCTATTTCCTTTACTACCATAGGCCTCAAAGCGGTCCGTATCTCCACTTGCAGATTCTACACAAAGAGAGTTTCCAAACTGCTCTGTCAAAGGGAATGTTCAACTCTGTGACTTGAATGCAATCATCACAAAGTAGTTTCTGAGAATGCTTCTGTTTAGTTCTGTGCGGTTTATCCCGTTTCCAACGAAATCCTCAGAGAGGCCTAAATATCCACTTGCACATTCTACAAATAGTGTGTTTCGAAACTGCTCCATCCAAAGGAATGTTCAGCTCTGTGAGTTAAACTCAGTCGTCACCAAGAGTTTTCTGTGAATGCTTCTGTTTTAGTTCTGTGCGGGTTATCCCGTTTCCAACGAAATCCTCAGAGAGGTCCAAATATCTACTTGCAGTTTCTACAGAAAGACCGTTTCAAACCTGAACTATCAAAGAAAGGTTCAACACTGTGAGTTGAATGCAAACATCACGAAGAAGGTTCTGAGAATGCTTCTGTTTAGTTCTGTGCAGTTTATCCCGTTTCCAACGAAATGCTCAGAGAGGACCAAATATCCACTTGCAGTTTCTACAAAAAGAGTGTTTCAAAGCTGAACTATCAAAGAAAGGTTCAGCACTGTGAGTTGAATGCAAACATCACGAAGAGGGTTCTGAGAATGCTTCTGTCTTCTTTTTATAGGAAGTTATTTCCTTTACTACGGTACTCCTCAAAGAGTGCAATTATCCCCTTGCAGTTTCTACAAAAAGAGTGTTTCAAACCTGAACTATCAAAGAAAGGTTCCACACTGTGAGTTGAATGCAGACATCACGAAGAAGGTTCTGAGAATGCTTCTGTTTAGTTCTGTGCGGTTTATCCCGTTTCCAACGAAATCCTCAGAGAGGCCCACATATCCACTTGCACATTCTACAAATAGTGTGTTTCGAAACTGCTCCATCCAAAGGAATGCTCAGCTCTGTGAGTTCAAATCAATCATCCCAAACAATTTTCTGAGAAAGCTTCTGTCTAGATGTCATGTGAAGATATACCCGTTTCGAACGAAGGACACAGAGTGGTCCAAATATCCACTTGTAGATCCTGCAAAAAGAGTGTTTCAAACGTGAACTTTGAAAGGAAAGTTCAACTCTGGGATTTGAATGCAAACATCACAAAGAAGATTCTGAGACTGCTTCTGTATAGTTTTTATGTGAAGATGATTCCGTTTCCAACGAAATCTTCAAAGAGGTCTACATGTCCCCTTGCAGATGCCACAGAAAGAGAGTTTCAAAACTGCGCTCTCAAAAGGAGTGTTCAACTCCGTGAGTTGAATGCAGTCATCACAGAGAAGCTTCTGAGAATGCTTCTGTCTAGTATTTAGGTGAAGATATTTCCTTTTCCACCACAAACCACAAAGCCCTCCAAACGTCCACTTGCAGATTCTAGAAAAAGAGTGTTTCATAGCTGCTCTTTCCAAAGGAAAGTTCAACTCTGGGAGTTGAATACAAACATCACCAAAAAGTTCCTGAGAATGCATTCTGTCTAGTTTTTCTATGAAGCTATTCCCTTTACTACCATAGGCCTCAAAGCGCTCCAAATCTCCACTTGCACATTCCACAACAAGAGTGTTTCCAAACTGCTCTATCAATAGGAATGTTCAACTCTGTGAGGTGAATGCAATCATCACAAAGCAGTTTCTGAGAAAGCTTCCGTTTAGTTAGGTGCAGTTATCCCGTTTCCAACGAAATCCTCAGAGAGGTCCAAATATCCACTTGTAGATTCTACAAAAAGTGTGTCTCAAACCTGCTCCATCCAAAGGAATGTTCAGCTCTGTGATTTAAACTCAATCATCACAAAGTATTTTCTGAGAATGCTTCTGTCTAGATTTTATGCGAAGATATACCCGTTTCGAACGAAGGCCACAGAGTGGTCCAAATAGCCACTTGCAGATCCTACAAAAAGAGTGTTTCAAACCTGAACTATCAAAGGAAGGTTCAACTCTGGGATTTGAATGCAAACATCACCAAGAAGTTTCTGAGAATGCTTCTGTTTAGTTTTTATGTGAAGATATTCCCGTTTCCAAAGACATCTTCGGAGAGGTCCACATATCCACTTGCAGATTCCACAAAAAGAGAGTTTCAACACTGCTCTATCCATAGGAGGGTTCAACTCTGTGAGTTGAATGCAATCATCACAGAGAAGTTTCTGAGAAGGCTTCTCTCCAGTTTTTATGTGACCATAATTCGTTTTCCACCACAGGCCTGAAAGCGCTCCAAATGTCCACTTGCAGACACTACGAAAAGCATGTTTCAGAACTACTCTATGAAAAGCAACGTGAAACTCTGGGAGTTGAACACAAACATCACAGAGAAGTTTCTGAGAATGCTTCTGTTTTAGTTCTGTGCGTTTTATCCCGTTTCCAACGAAATCCTCAGAGAGGCCCAAATATCCACTTGCAGATTCCACAGAAAGAGTGATTGGAAACTGCTGTTTGAAAAGGAACCTTCAACTCTGTGAGTTGAATGCAATCATCACAAAGAAGTTTCTGACAATGCTTCTGTTTTAGTTCTGTGCGGTTTATCCCGTTTCCAACGAAATCCTCAGAGAGGACCAAACATCCACTTGCAGTTTCTACAAAAAGAGTGTTTCAAAGCTGCACTATCAAAGAAAGGTTCAGCACTGTGAGTTGAATGCAAACATCACGAAGAGGGCTCTGAGAATTCTTCTGTTTAGTTCTGTGCGGTTTATCCCGTTTCCAACGAAATCCTCAGAGAGGACCAAATATCCACTTGCAGTTTCTACAAGAAGAGTGTTTCAAAGCTGAACTATCAAAGAAAGGTTCAGCACTGTGAGTTGAATGCAAACATCACGAAGAGGGTTCTGAGAATGCTTCTGTCTTCTTTCTATAGGAAGTTATTTCCTTTACTACGGTAGGCCTCAAAGAAGTGCAATTATCCCCTTGCAGTTTCTACAAAAAGAGTGTTTCAAACCTGAACAATCAAAGGAAGGTTCCACACTGTGAGTTGAATGCAGACATCAAGAAGAACGTTCTGAGAATGCTTCTGTTTAGTCAGCTGAAATTATCCCGTTTCCAACGAATTCCTCAGAGAGGTCCAAATATGCACTTGCAGATTCTGCAGAAAGTGTGTTTCTAAACTGCTACATCGCAAGGAATGTTCAGCTCTGTGAGTTCCACTCAATCATCCCAAAGAATTTTCTGAGAAAGCTTCTGTCTAGATGTCATGTGAAGATATACCCGTTTCGAACGAAGGACACAGAGTGGTCCAAATATCCACTTGTAGATCCTGCAAAAAGACTGTTTCAAACGTGAACTTGGAAAGGAAAGTTCAACTCTGGGATTTGAATGCAAACATCACAAAGAAGATTCTGAGACTGCTTCTGTATAGTTTTTATGTGAAGATGATTCCGTTTCCAACGAAATCTTCAAAGAGGTCTACATGTCCCCTTGCGGATGCCACAGAAAGAGAGTTTCAAAACTGCGCTCTCAAAAGGAGTGTTCAACTCCGTGAGTTGAATGCAGTCATCACAGAGAAGCTTCTGAGAATGCTTCTCTCTAGTATTTAGGTGAAGATATTTCCTTTTCCACCACAAACCACAAAGCCCTCCAAACGTCCACTTGCAGATTCTAGAAAAAGAGTGTTTCATAGCTGCTCTTTCCAAAGGAAAGTTCAACTCTGGGAGTTGAATGCAAACATCACCAAAAAGTTCCTGAGAATGCATCTGTCTAGTTTTTCTATGAAGCTATTCCCTTTACTACCATAGGCCTCAAAGCGCTCCAAATCTCCACTTGCACATTCCACAACAAGAGTGTTTCCAAACTGCTCTATCAATAGGAATGTTCAACTCTGTGAGGTGAATGCAATCATCACAAAGCAGTTTCTGAGAATGCTTCCGTTTAGTTAGGTGCACTTATCCCGTTTCCAACGAAATCCTCAGAGAGGTCCAAATATCCACTTGTAGATTCTACAAAAAGTGTGTCTCAAACCTGCTCCATCCAAAGGAATGGTCAGCTCTGTGATTTAAACACAATCATCACAAAGTATTTTCTGAGAATGCTTCTGTCTAGATTTTATGCGAAGATATACCCGTTTCGAACGAAGGCCACAGAGTGGTCCAAATAGCCACTTGCAGATCCTACAGAAAGAGTGTTTCAAACCTGAACTATCAAAGGAAGGTTCAACTCTGGGATTTGAATGCAAACATCACCAAGAAGTTTCTGAGAATGCTTCTGTTTAGTTTTTATGTGAAGATATTCCCGTTTCCAAAGACATCTTCGGAGAGGTCCACATATCCACTTGCAGATTCCACAAAAAGAGAGTTTCAACACTGCTCTATCCATAGGAGGGTTCAACTCTGTGAGTTGAATGCAATCATCACAGAGAAGTTTCTGAGAAGGCTTCTCTCCAGTTTTTATGTGACCATAATTCGTTTTCCACCACAGGCCTGAAAGCGCTCCAAATGTCCACTTGCAGACACTACGAAAAGCATGTTTCAGAACTACTCTATGAAAAGCAACGTGAAACTCTGGGAGTTGAACACAAACATCACAGAGAAGTTTCTGAGAATGCTTCTGTTTTAGTTCTGTGCGTTTTATCCCGTTTCCAACGAAATCCTCAGAGAGGCCCAAATATCCACTTGCAGATTCCACAGAAAGAGTGATTGGAAACTGCTGTTTGAAAAGGAACCTTCAACTCTGTGAGTTGAATGCAATCATCACAAAGAAGTTTCTGACAATGCTTCTGTTTTAGTTCTGTGCGGTTTATCCCGTTTCCAACGAAATCCTCAGAGAGGACCAAACATCCACTTGCAGTTTCTACAAAAAGAGTGTTTCAAAGCTGCACTATCAAAGAAAGGTTCAGCACTGTGAGTTGAATGCAAACATCACGAAGAGGGCTCTGAGAATTCTTCTGTTTAGTTCTGTGCGGTTTATCCCGTTTCCAACGAAATCCTCAGAGAGGACCAAATATCCACTTGCAGTTTCTACAAGAAGAGTGTTTCAAAGCTGAACTATCAAAGAAAGGTTCAGCACTGTGAGTTGAATGCAAACATCACGAAGAGGGTTCTGAGAATGCTTCTGTCTTCTTTCTATAGGAAGTTATTTCCTTTACTACGGTAGGCCTCAAAGAAGTGCAATTATCCCCTTGCAGTTTCTACAAAAAGAGTGTTTCAAACCTGAACTATCAAAGAAAGGTTCCACACTGTGAGTTGAATGCAGACATCACGAAGAAGGGTGTCTGAGAATGCTTCTGTTTAGTCAGCTGAAATTATCCCGTTTCCAACGAATTCCTCAGAGAGGTCCAAATATGCACTTGCAGATTCTGCAGAAAGTGTGTTTCTAAACTGCTACATCGCAAGGAATGTTCAGCTCTGTGAGTTCCACTCAATCATCCCAAAGAATTTTCTGAGAAAGCTTCTGTCTAGATGTCGTGTGAAGATATACCCGTTTCGAACGAAGGACACAGAGTGGTCCAAATATCCACTTGTAGATCCTGCAAAAAGAGTGTTTCAAACGTGAACTTTGAAAGGAAAGTTCAACTCTGGGATTTGAATGCAAACATCACAAAGAAGATTCTGAGACTGCTTCTGTATAGTTTTTATGTGAAGATGATTCCGTTTCCAACGAAATCTTCAAAGAGGTCTACATGTCCCCTTGCAGATGCCACAGAAAGAGAGTTTCAAAACTGCGCTCTCAAAAGGAGTGTTCAACTCCGTGAGTTGAATGCAGTCATCACAGAGAAGCTTCTGAGAATGCTTCTATCTAGTATTTAGGTGAAGATATTTCCTTTTCCACCACAAACCACAAAGCCCTCCAAACGTCCACTTGCAGATTCTAGAAAAAGAGTGTTTCATAGCTGCTCTTTCCAAAGGAAAGTTCAACTCTGGGAGTTGAATACAAACATCACCAAAAAGTTCCTGAGAATGCATCTGTCTAGTTTTTCTATGAAGCTATTCCCTTTACTACCATAGGCCTCAAAGCGCTCCAAATCTCCACTTGCACATTCCACAACAAGAGTGTTTCCAAACTGCTCTATCAATAGGAATGTTCAACTCTGTGAGGTGAATGCAATCATCACAAAGCAGTTTCTGAGAATGCTTCCGTTTAGTTAGGTGCAGTTATCCCGTTTCCAACGAAATCCTCAGAGAGGTCCAAATATCCACTTGTAGATTCTACAAAAAGTGTGTCTCAAACCTGCTCCATCCAAAGGAATGTTCAGCTCTGTGAGTTAAACTCAATCATCACAAAGTATTTTCTGAGAATGCTTCTGTCTAGATTTTATGTGAAGATGTACCCGTTTCGAACGAAGGCCACAGAGTGGTCCAAATATCCACTTGCAGATCCTACAAAAAGAGTGTTTCAAACCTGAACTATCACAGGAAGGTTCAACTCTGGGATTTGAATGCAAACATCACCAAGAAGTTTCTGAGAATGCTTCTGTTTAGTTTTTATGTGAAGATATTCCCGTTTCCAAAGACATCTTCGGAGAGGTCCACATATCCACTTGCAGATTCCACAAAAAGAGAGTTTCAACAATGCTCTATCCATAGGAGGGTTCAAATCTGTGAGTTGAATGCAATCATCACAGAGAAGTTTCTGAGAAGGCTTCTCTCCAGTTTTTATGTGACCATAATTCGTTTTCCACCACAGGCCTGAAAGCGCTCCAAATGTCCACTTGTAGACACTACGAAAAGCATGTTTCAGAACTACTCTATGAAAAGCAATGTGAAACTCTGGGAGTTGAACACAAACATCACAGAGAAGTTTCTGAGAATGCTTCTGTTTAGCTTTTCTGTGAAGATTCTCCCGTTTCCAACGAAATCTTCAAAGAGGTCCAAATATCCACTTGCAGATTCCACAGAAAGAGTGATTGGAAACTGCTCTTTGAAAAGGAACCTTCAACCCTGTGAGTTGAATGCAATCATCACAAAGAAGTTTCTGACAATGCTTCTCTCCAGTTTTTATGTGACCATAATTCGTTTTCCACCACAGGCCTGAAAGCGCTCCAAATGTCCACTTGCAGACACTACGAAAAGCATGTTTCAGAACTACTCTATGAGAAGCAATGTGAAACTCTGGGAGTTGAACACAAACATCACAGAGAAGTTTCTGAGAATGCTTCTGTTTAGCTTTTCTGTGAAGATTCTCCCGTTTCCAACGAAATCTTCAAAGAGGTCCAAATATCCACTTGCAGATTCCACAGAAAGAGTGATTGGAAACTGCTCTTTGAAAAGGAACCTTCAACTCTGTGACTTGAATGCAATCATCACAAAGAAGTTTCTGACAATGCTTCTATCTAGCTTTTACGGGAAGATAATTCCTTTTCCACCACAGGCCTCAAAGCCCTCCAAATGTCCACTTGCAGATTCTGGAAAAAGAGTGTTTCAAAGCTTCTCTCTCGAAAGGAAAGTTCAACTCTGTGAGTTGAATGCAAGCATCACAAAGAAGTTTCTGAGAATGCTACTGTCTAGCTTTTATATGAAGCTATTTCCTTTACTACCATAGGCCTCAAAGCGGTCCATATCTCCACTTGCAGATTCTACAGAAAGAGAGTTTCCAAACTGCTCTGTCAAAGGGAATGTTCAACTCTGTGACTTGAATGCAATCATCACAAAGTAGTTTCTGAGAATGCTTCTGTTTAGTTCTGTGCGGTTTATCCCGTTTCCAACGAAATCCTCAGAGAGGCCCAAATATCCACTTGCACATTCTACAAATAGTGTGTTTCGAAACTGCTCCATCCAAAGGAATGTTCAGCTCTGTGAGTTAAACTCAGTCGTCACCAAGAGTTTTCTGTGAATGCTTCTGTTTTAGTTCTGTGCGGGTTATCCCGTTTCCAACGAAATCCTCAGAGAGGTCCAAATATCTACTTGCAGTTTCTACAGAAAGACCGTTTCAAACCTGAGCTATCAAAGAAAGGTTCAACACTGTGAGTTGAATGCAAACATCACGAAGAAGGTTCTGAGAATGCTTCTGTTTAGTTCTGTGCGGTTTATCCCGTTTCCAACGAAATCCTCAGAGAGGACCAAATATCCACTTGCAGTTTCTACAAGAAGAGTGTTTCAAAGCTGAACTATCAAAGAAAGGTTCAGCACTGTGAGTTGAATGCAAACATCACGAAGAGGGTTCTGAGAATGCTTCTGTCTTCTTTCTATAGGAAGTTATTTCCTTTACTACGGTAGGCCTCAAAGAAGTGCAATTATCCCCTTGCAGTTTCTACAAAAAGAGTGTTTCAAACCTGAACTATCAAAGAAAGGTTCCACACTGTGAGTTGAATGCAGACATCACGAAGAAGGTTCTGAGAATGCTTCTGTTTAGTCAGCTGAAATTATCCCGTTTCCAACGAATTCCTCAGAGAGGTCCAAATATGCACTTGCAGATTCTGCAGAAAGTGTGTTTCTAAACTGCTACATCGCAAGGAATGTTCAGCTCTGTGAGTTCCACTCAATCATCCCAAAGAATTTTCTGAGAAAGCTTCTGTCTAGATGTCGTGTGAAGATATACCCGTTTCGAACGAAGGACACAGAGTGGTCCAAATATCCACTTGTAGATCCTGCAAAAAGAGTGTTTCAAACGTGAACTTTGAAAGGAAAGTTCAACTCTGGGATTTGAATGCAAACATCACAAAGAAGATTCTGAGACTGCTTCTGTATAGTTTTTATGTGAAGATGATTCCGTTTCCAACGAAATCTTCAAAGAGGTCTACATGTCCCCTTGCAGATGCCACAGAAAGAGAGTTTCAAAACTGCGCTCTCAAAAGGAGTGTTCAACTCCGTGAGTTGAATGCAGTCATCACAGAGAAGCTTCTGAGAATGCTTCTATCTAGTATTTAGGTGAAGATATTTCCTTTTCCACCACAAACCACAAAGCCCTCCAAACGTCCACTTGCAGATTCTAGAAAAAGAGTGTTTCATAGCTGCTCTTTCCAAAGGAAAGTTCAACTCTGGGAGTTGAATACAAACATCACCAAAAAGTTCCTGAGAATGCATCTGTCTAGTTTTTCTATGAAGCTATTCCCTTTACTACCATAGGCCTCAAAGCGCTCCAAATCTCCACTTGCACATTCCACAACAAGAGTGTTTCCAAACTGCTCTATCAATAGGAATGTTCAACTCTGTGAGGTGAATGCAATCATCACAAAGCAGTTTCTGAGAATGCTTCCGTTTAGTTAGGTGCAGTTATCCCGTTTCCAACGAAATCCTCAGAGAGGTCCAAATATCCACTTGTAGATTCTACAAAAAGTGTGTCTCAAACCTGCTCCATCCAAAGGAATGGTCAGCTCTGTGATTTAAACTCAATCATCACAAAGTATTTTCTGAGAATGCTTCTGTCTAGATTTTATGCGAAGATATACCCGTTTCGAACGAAGGCCACAGAGTGGTCCAAATAGCCACTTGCAGATCCTACAGAAAGAGTGTTTCAAACCTGAACTATCAAAGGAAGGTTCAACTCTGGGATTTGAATGCAAACATCACCAAGAAGTTTCTGAGAATGCTTCTGTTTAGTTTTTATGTGAAGATATTCCCGTTTCCAAAGACATCTTCGGAGAGGTCCACATATCCACTTGCAGATTCCACAAAAAGAGAGTTTCAACACTGCTCTATCCATAGGAGGGTTCAACTCTGTGAGTTGAATGCAATCATCACAGAGAAGTTTCTGAGAAGGCTTCTCTCCAGTTTTTATGTGACCATAATTCGTTTTCCACCACAGGCCTGAAAGCGCTCCAAATGTCCACTTGCAGACACTACGAAAAGCATGTTTCAGAACTACTCTATGAAAAGCAACGTGAAACTCTGGGAGTTGAACACAAACATCACAGAGAAGTTTCTGAGAATGCTTCTGTTTTAGTTCTGTGCGTTTTATCCCGTTTCCAACGAAATCCTCAGAGAGGCCCAAATATCCACTTGCAGATTCCACAGAAAGAGTGATTGGAAACTGCTGTTTGAAAAGGAACCTTCAACTCTGTGAGTTGAATGCAATCATCACAAAGAAGTTTCTGACAATGCTTCTGTTTTAGTTCTGTGCGGTTTATCCCGTTTCCAACGAAATCCTCAGAGAGGACCAAACATCCACTTGCAGTTTCTACAAAAAGAGTGTTTCAAAGCTGCACTATCAAAGAAAGGTTCAGCACTGTGAGTTGAATGCAAACATCACGAAGAGGGCTCTGAGAATTCTTCTGTTTAGTTCTGTGCGGTTTATCCCGTTTCCAACGAAATCCTCAGAGAGGACCAAATATCCACTTGCAGTTTCTACAAGAAGAGTGTTTCAAAGCTGAACTATCAAAGAAAGGTTCAGCACTGTGAGTTGAATGCAAACATCACGAAGAGGGTTCTGAGAATGCTTCTGTCTTCTTTCTATAGGAAGTTATTTCCTTTACTACGGTAGGCCTCAAAGAAGTGCAATTATCCCCTTGCAGTTTCTACAAAAAGAGTGTTTCAAACCTGAACTATCAAAGAAAGGTTCCACACTGTGAGTTGAATGCAGACATCACGAAGAAGGTTCTGAGAATGCTTCTGTTTAGTCAGCTGAAATTATCCCGTTTCCAACGAATTCCTCAGAGAGGTCCAAATATGCACTTGCAGATTCTGCAGAAAGTGTGTTTCTAAACTGCTACATCGCAAGGAATGTTCAGCTCTGTGAGTTCCACTCAATCATCCCAAAGAATTTTCTGAGAAAGCTCCTGTCTAGATGTCATGTGAAGATATAACCGTTTCGAACGAAGGACACAGAGTGGTCCAAATATCCACTTGTAGATCCTGCAAAAAGAGTGTTTCAAACGTGAACTTTGAAAGGAAAGTTCAACTCTGGGATTGGAATGCAAACATCACTAATAAGATTCTGAGACTGCTTCTGTATAGTTTTGATGTGAAGATGATTCCGTTTCCAACGAAATCTTCCAAGAGGTCTACATGTCCCCTTGCAGATGCCACAGAAAGAGAGTTTCAAAACTGCGCTCTCAAAAGGAGTGTTCAACTCCGTGAGTTGAATGCAGTCATCACAGAGAAGCTTCTGAGAATGCTTCTATCTAGTATTTAGGTGAAGATATTTCCTTTTCCACCACAAACCACAAAGCCCTCCAAACGTCCACTTGCAGATTCTAGAAAAAGAGTGTTTCATAGCTGCTCTTTCCAAAGGAAAGTTCAACTCTGGGAGTTGAATACAAACATCACCAAAAAGTTCCTGAGAATGCATCTGTCTAGTTTTTCTATGAAGCTATTCCCTTTACTACCATAGGCCTCAAAGCGCGCCAAATCTCCACTTGCACATTCCACAACAAGAGTGTTTCCAAACTGCTCTATCAATAGGAATGTTCAACTCTGTGAGGTGAATGCAATCATCACAAAGCAGTTTCTGAGAATGCTTCCGTTTAGTTAGGTGCAGTTATCCCGTTTCCAACGAAATCCTCAGAGAGGTCCAAATATCCACTTGTAGATTCTACAAAAAGTGTGTCTCAAACCTGCTCCATCCAAAGGAATGGTCAGCTCTGTGATTTAAACTCAATCATCACAAAGTATTTTCTGAGAATGCTTCTCTCCAGTTTTTATGTGACCATAATTCGTTTTCCACCACAGGCCTGAAAGCGCTCCAAATGTCCACTTGCAGACACTACGAAAAGCATGTTTCAGAACTACTCTATGAAAAGCAACGTGAAACTCTGGGAGTTGAACACAAACATCACAGAGAAGTTTCTGAGAATGCTTCTGTTTAGCTTTTCTGTGAAGATTCTCCCGTTTCCAACGAAATCTTCAAAGAGGTCCAAATATCTACTTGTAGATTCCACAGAAAGAGTGTTTGGAAACTGCTGTTTCAAAAGGAACCTTCAACTCTGTGAGTTGAATGCAATAATCACAAAGAAGTTTCTGACAATGCTTCTATCTAGCTTTTACGGGAAGATAATTCCTTTTCCTCCACAGGCCTCAAAGCTCCCCAAATGTCCACTTGCACATTCTGGAAAAAGAGTGTTTCAAAGCTTCTCTCTCGAAAGGAAAGTTCAACTCTGTGAGTTGAATGCAAGCATCACAAAGAAGTTTCTGAGAATGCTACTGTCTAGCTTTTATATGAAGCTATTTCCTTTACTACCATAGGCCTCAAAGCGGTCCATATCTCCACTTGCAGATTCTACACAAAGAGAGTTTCCAAAATGCTCTGTCAAAGGGAATGTTCAACTCTGTGACTTGAATGCAATCATCACAAAGTAGTTTCTGAGAATGCTTCTGTTTAGTTCTGTGCGGTTTATCCCGTTTCCAACGAAATCCTCAGAGAGTCCCAAATATCCACTTGCGCATTCTACAAATAGTGTGTTTCGAAACTGCTCCATCCAAAGGAATGTTCAGCTCTGTGAGTTAAACTCAGTCGTCACCAAGAGTTTTCTGTGAATGCTTCTGTTTTAGTTCTGTGCGGTTTATCCCGTTTCCAACGAAATCCTCAGAGAGGTCCAAATATCTACTTGCAGTTTCTACAGAAAGACCGTTTCAAACCTGAACTATCAAAGAAAGGTTCAACACTGTGAGTTGAATGCAAACATCACGAAGAAGGTTCTGAGAATGCTTCTGTTTAGTTCTGTGCGGTTTATCCCGTTTCCAACGAAATCCTCAGAGAGGACCAAATATCCACTTGCAGTTTCTACAAGAAGAGTGTTTCAAAGCTGAACTATCAAAGAAAGGTTCAGCACTGTGAGTTGAATGCAAACATCACGAAGAGGGTTCTGAGAATGCTTCTGTCTTCTTTCTATAGGAAGTTATTTCCTTTACTACGGTAGGCCTCAAAGAAGTGCAATTATCCCCTTGCAGTTTCTACAAAAAGAGTGTTTCAAACCTGAACTATCAAAGAAAGGTTCCACACTGTGAGTTGAATGCAGACATCACGAAGAAGGTTCTGAGAATGCTTCTGTTTAGTCAGCTGAAATTATCCCGTTTCCAACGAATTCCTCAGAGAGGTCCAAATATGCACTTGCAGATTCTGCAGAAAGTGTGTTTCTAAACTGCTACATCGCAAGGAATGTTCAGCTCTGTGAGTTCCACTCAATCATCCCAAAGAATTTTCTGAGAAAGCTTCTGTCTAGATGTCGTGTGAAGATATACCCGTTTCGAACGAAGGACACAGAGTGGTCCAAATATCCACTTGTAGATCCTGCAAAAAGAGTGTTTCAAACGTGAACTTTGAAAGGAAAGTTCAACTCTGGGATTTGAATGCAAACATCACAAAGAAGATTCTGAGACTGCTTCTGTATAGTTTTTATGTGAAGATGATTCCGTTTCCAACGAAATCTTCAAAGAGGTCTACATGTCCCCTTGCAGATGCCACAGAAAGAGAGTTTCAAAACTGCGCTCTCAAAAGGAGTGTTCAACTCCGTGAGTTGAATGCAGTCATCACAGAGAAGCTTCTGAGAATGCTTCTATCTAGTATTTAGGTGAAGATATTTCCTTTTCCACCACAAACCACAAAGCCCTCCAAACGTCCACTTGCAGATTGTAGAAAAAGAGTGTTTCATAGCTGCTCTTTCCAAAGGAAAGTTCAACTCTGGGAGTTGAATACAAACATCACCAAAAAGTTCCTGAGAATGCATCTGTCTAGTTTTTCTATGAAGCTATTCCCTTTACTACCATAGGCCTCAAAGCGCTCCAAATCTCCACTTGCACATTCCACAACAAGAGTGTTTCCAAACTGCTCTATCAATAGGAATGTTCAACTCTGTGAGGTGAATGCAATCATCACAAAGTAGTTTCTGAGAATGCTTCCGTTTAGTTAGGTGCAGTTATCGCGTTTCCAACGAAATCCTCAGAGAGGTCCAAATATCCACTTGTAGATTCTACAAAAAGTGTGTCTCAAACCTGCTCCATCCAAAGGAATGTTCAGCTCTGTGAGTTAAACTCAATCATCACAAAGTATTTTCTGAGAATGCTTCTGTCTAGATTTTATGTGAAGATGTACCCGTTTCGAACGAAGGCCACAGAGTGGTCCAAATATCCACTTGCAGATCCTACAAAAAGAGTGTTTCATACCTGAACTATCACAGGAAGGTTCAACTCTGGGATTTGAATGCAAACATCACCAAGAAGTTTCTGAGAATGCTTCTGTTTAGTTTTTATGTGAAGATATTCCCGTTTCCAAAGACATCTTCGGAGAGGTCCACATATCCACTTGCAGATTCCACAAAAAGAGAGTTTCAACAATGCTCTATCCATAGGAGGGTTCAAATCTGTGAGTTGAATGCAATCATCACAGAGAAGTTTCTGAGAAGGCTTCTCTCCAGTTTTTATGGGACCATAATTCGTTTTCCACCACAGGCTTGAAAGCGCTCCAAATGTCCACTTGCAGACACTACGAAAAGCATGTTTCAGAACTACTCTATGAAAAGCAATGTGAAATTCTGGGAGTTGAACACAAACATCACAGAGAAGTTTCTGAGAATGCTTCTGTTTAGATTTTCTGTGAAGATTCTCCCGTTTCCAACGAAATCTTCAAAGAGGTCCAAATATCCACTTGCAGATTCCACAGAAAGAGTGTTTGGAAACTGCTGTTTGTAAAGGAACCTTCATCTCTGTGAGTTGAATGCAATCATCACAAAGAAGTTTCTGACAATGCTTCTATCTAGCTTTTACGGGAAGATAATTCCTTTTCCACCACAGGCCTCAAAGCCCTCCAAATGTCCACTTGCAGATTCTGGAAAAAGAGTGTTTCAAAGCTTCTCTCTCGAAAGGAAAGTTCAACTCTGTGAGTTGAATGCAAGCATCACAAAGAAGTTTCTGAGAATGCTACTGTCTAGCTTTTATATGAAGCTATTTCCTTTACTACCATAGGCCTCAAAGCGGTCCATATCTCCACTTGCAGATTCTACACAAAGAGAGTTTCCAAACTGCTCTGTCAAAGGGAATGTTCAACTACTGTGACTTGAATGCAATCATCACAAAGTAGTTTCTGAGAATGCTTCTGTTTTAGTTCTGTGCGTTTTATCCCGTTTCCAACGAAATCCTCAGAGAGGCCCAAATATCCACTTGCAGATTCTACAAATAGTGTGTTTCGAAACTGCTCCATCCAAAGGAATGTTCAGCTCTGTGAGTTAAACTCAGTCGTCACCAAGAGTTTTCTGTGAATGCTTCTGTTTTAGTTCTGTGCGGTTTATCCCGTTTCCAACGAAATCCTCAGAGAGGACCAAATATCCACTTGCAGTTTCTACAAAAAGAGTGTTTCAAAGCTGCACTATCAAAGAAAGGTTCAGCACTGTGAGTTGAATGCAAACATCACGAAGAGGGCTCTGAGAATTCTTCTGTTTAGTTCTGTGCGGTTTATCCCGTTTCCAACGAAATCCTCAGAGAGGACCAAATATCCACTTGCAGTTTCTACAAGAAGAGTGTTTCAAAGCTGAACTATCAAAGAAAGGTTCAGCACTGTGAGTTGAATGCAAACATCACGAAGAGGGTTCTGAGAATGCTTCTGTCTTCTTTCTATAGGAAGTTATTTCCTTTACTACGGTAGGCCTCAAAGAAGTGCAATTATCCCCTTGCAGTTTCTACAAAAAGAGTGTTTCAAACCTGAACTATCAAAGAAAGGTTCCACACTGTGAGTTGAATGCAGACATCACGAAGAAGGTTCTGAGAATGCTTCTGTTTAGTCAGCTGAAATTATCCCGTTTCCAACGAATTCCTCAGAGAGGTCCAAATATGCACTTGCAGATTCTGCAGAAAGTGTGTTTCTAAACTGCTACATCGCAAGGAATGTTCAGCTCTGTTGAGTTCCACTCAATCATCCCAAAGAATTTTCTGAGAAAGCTTCTGTCTAGATGTCATGTGAAGATATACCCGTTTCGAACGAAGGACACAGAGTGGTCCAAATATCCACTTGTAGATCCTGCAAAAAGAGTGTTTCAAACGTGAACTTTGAAAGGAAAGTTCAACTCTGGGATTTGAATGCAAACATCACAAAGAAGATTCTGAGACTGCTTCTGTATAGTTTTTATGTGAAGATGATTCCGTTTCCAACGAAATCTTCAAAGAGGTCTACATGTCCCCTTGCAGATGCCACAGAAAGGGAGTTTCAAAACTGCGCTCTCAAAAGGAGTGTTCAACTCCGTGAGTTGAATGCAGTCATCACAGAGAAGCTTCTGAGAATGCTTCTATCTAGTATTTAGGTGAAGATATTTCCTTTTCCACCACAAACTACAAAGCCCTCCAAACGTCCACTTGCAGATTCTAGAAAAAGAGTGTTTCATAGCTGCTCTTTCCAAAGGAAAGTTCAACTCTGGGAGTTGAATACAAACATCACCAAAAAGTTCCTGAGAATGCATCTGTCTAGTTTTTCTATGACGCTATTCCCTTTACTACCATAGGCCTCAAAGCGCTCCAAATCTCCACTTGCACATTCCACAACAAGTGTGTTTCCAAACTGCTCTATCAATAGGAATGTTCAACTCTGTGAGGTGAATGCAATCATCACAAAGCAGTTTCTGAGAATGCTTCCGTTTAGTTAGGTGCAGTTATCCCGTTTCCAACGAAATCCTCAGAGAGGTCCAAATATCCACTTGTAGATTCTACAAAAAGTGTGTCTCAAACCTGCTCCATCCAAAGGAATGGTCAGCTCTGTGATTTAAACTCAATCATCACAAAGTATTTTCTGAGAATGCTTCTGTCTAGATTTTATGCGAAGATATACCCGTTTCGAAAGAAGGCCACAGAGTGGTCCAAATAGCCACTTGCAGATCCTACAAAAAGAGTGTTTCAAACCTGAACTATCAAAGGAAGGTTCAACTCTGGGATTTGAATGCAAACATCACCAAGAAGTTTCTGAGAATGCTTCTGTTTAGTTTTTATGTGAAGATATTCCCGTTTCCAAAGACATCTTCGGAGAGGTCCACATATCCACTTGCAGATTCCACAAAAAGAGAGTTTCAACACTGCTCTATCCATAGGAGGGTTCAACTCTGTGAGTTGAATGCAATCATCACAGAGAAGTTTCTGAGAAGGCTTCTCTCCAGTTTTTATGTGACCATAATTCGTTTTCCACCACAGGCCTGAAAGCGCTCCAAATGTCCACTTGCAGACACTACGAAAAGCATGTTTCAGAACTACTCTATGAAAAGCAACGTGAAACTCTGGGAGTTGAACACAAACATCACAGAGAAGTTTCTGAGAATGCTTCTGTTTAGCTTTTCTGTGAAGATT